>NC_000005.10:174852233-175155263 GCF_000001405.40 Homo sapiens | reverse complement strand
CCCACATCAGCTGTGGATTCCTGACCTCACCTTTGCAGCAGACAGCCATTTACACAAGCACTCTAGGTTTCCAGGAGTGTGAACTGAGGGTGGCTGCTTGGGGACCTACTTCTATTTCTCAAGGCTGTTCAAATCCTTGGGACTTCAGATGATAGTGTCAGCCTGAAACTGGAACATATCTATGGGAGGAAGGCATTCTTTGATGTGTGCCCAGAGAGCAGGGCAGGAATTCTGACAAAATCTATGTGTAGATTAAAGCAAAGCATATTATATTCCTTTTCAAATGTATTCATGGCTCTCCATGGCCAATGGTAGGAATTTGGAGCTCTTTAGCTTGACATTCAAAGTCCTCCACGAACTGGCTCGCTGACCTTCCTAGAGCTATTTCTTACTTAATTCCTCCTTGCACTATTTTCTGTTTGCATGGATATAGCCTGTTCTCCAACTGCATGCACTCCTTCACAGCCATGTGCCTTTGCAGTACTATTTCCTTTGTGTGGAATATGCTTCCTTTTTTCTTCCATCCCTCAAATTCCTACTCTTTTCAAGGACCAGGTCAAATGCCCTGTCTGTCTCCTCACTTATCCCCCAGCCACCTCATTTGTCTGCATTTTGTAATTTTTACGGTATGAGTTTGTATGTCTGTCTCTAACTAGGCTGCAAGTTCTGTGATGGTTGGGGCCATGTTGTACCCATCTTCCTAGGACAACATAAAGTCTTGTGGTTGGAAAGCTCTGGAATCCAGAAGGCTTTGTTTGGTTCACATCCCAGCTCCAGTGCATATTAGCTGTGCAACCTCTACCAGGTATTTATACTAGGCTTTACCTTCAGATTTCACGTTTATAAAATGAGTATAATTGAATTAGGAACTTCATAAGGAGATGATAGAGGTGCAAGAAATGCACTTAAAGATCTTGGCATATAGTAAATGCTTAATAAATGTCAGCTATATTGATGGAATTGTCATTTACTCACAGCACCCAGGATGTTTCCTGATACATAGCAGGTGGTCAATTAACATTAGTTACATAAACATTCATTGCACAATATGGTTATAATTCAAATGAGTACCTGAAATATCCAAGTATTTTGGGTATTTTTAACAGCGTTCAAGTGCTCAGTTAACTAAATTACAGTCATCCATGCACTGAGTTTTCTCCGCCAACAAGAAACCAGGGGCTTTGCATACTACACGCGTCCTGCATGAACCCCTTCCAGGGGTCCTAGTAGAACTCTGGCAGTCATGACTCCTGGGGCTCTGAGATCTCTTGCTTCCCTTTCTCCATCTGACTTTAGATTTTTGTGACTTCTTCACTGTATCCTAGGGAATTTTAAATACAAATTATCACATCACTGAAATATTTTGATATGACAGCTGCTGCTTTGTGCAGCGATATTTCAGTTTCCAGAAAAAAATGTTAAGCACACTTAGAAATATTGGTGATGGGCTTGGGGAGCATGAATGGAACGGTGCTCTTTGAGAATTAAATGCACTTAAAAATAATAATAATGCTAATTTGTCTAAGAATTTGATCTGTGCCAGTGGGTTCTAATATTTTACATGACTTAAAATGCACATGTGAAGGACTTTATGTTGATAGCATGTTGATGACAAAACTATCATACCTATAAAGTCTAATTTATCAGTTAGGCACAGTAAGAGGTTAACAACAATAATTAATAATAAAATAGAGCAATTATAACAATATACTGTAATAAGAGTTATGTGAATGTGTCCTCTTTCTCTTACCTCTCTCAAAACATCATATTGTACTGTAGTCACCTCCGACCATTGCTGACCACAGGCAACTGAAACTGTGGGAAGCAAAACCATGAATAATTGGGGACTACTGTATCTAATAAAACTGAGGGTACAAATTCTCAGAAATTGCATCTCTAGCTGTATTATTTAGAGAAGTGTTTTCTAGATTTCTTGGTCATATATCTCATCAGCTGAAAATTTTTAGCATGTACTCTTACTATAAGTATTTTTTATGTATAAATTATCAGCATGTCACTATTCTTACATATGTATGAATATCATTAAAGACATATAAGTTGAAAACTTTTAACGGATGTCTTTAAGAAATACGAATAGAATTTCTAGCATTTTCTTACTGTAACTATATGGATTGTCATACAATCTCCTTGGAATGTACGTGCCCCACTTTGGAGACACTGCATTAGCTAAATTATATATATATATAAAGAAGCAGGTGTTATCAAATATGTAACAATAAAAGATAAAAAACAATCTAATATTTAATTAAATATTAGATTATTAAATATTAATTTAATAATTTCATCAATAGTGGAATGAATCCATTTATATAATCATACAATTTTTACACAATGAAAAATTAAACACAATTATAAAAAGAAAAATAGAATATTCACTTAGTGTACCATATATTTAAATTCTATAAACAGGCAAAACACTACGTATTTTATGTTGCTTATGAATATTCACCTGTGAAGTCAAGGTAGAGCCTCACGGATGGATGGGATACCCAAGAACTTCAGGATAGTGGTTTTCTCCCCGGGGTAAAGGGGAATGGAGTCAGAGAAGATCATTAAGGAGACATTAAGTAAATTTTCTCATTCAGTTGTCTTATTGCTGCTCCTTTGGAGGTATTGTTCCTTTTACTCTCTCTCTGTCAACTTAGAAGATTCTTTCTGTCTTTGGTTTTCAATGGCCTGATTATGGTTGCCCAGGTTTTTTGTTTGTATTGTTTGTTTTTCTTCCCTTAGGGTTTGGAGTACTTCTTGAATCTGTAGTTTTCATCAATTTTGGAAGATTCTTGGCTGTTGCCTTTTCAATGTTGCCTTTGCTTCATTCTGTCTCTCCTTTCCTTCTGGTCCTCTAATGACATCCATTGAGTTCTTGAACCATGTCTCATCGCTTGTGTCTCCTGTGTCCTTTTCTATATTTCTCATGCTTTTCTCTTCATGCTTAAGTCTGGTTATTTTTTACTGACCTGTCTTCTTGATCACTAATCTTCTCTTCAGCAGCATCTAATCTGCTGATAATGAATTCATTGGGTTATTAATTTTAATACAATATTTTTCACTTCTAGACTTTCCATTTTGTTTAAATTTCAGGTCTCTAGTAAAAACCATCAACTTGTCATATCTTTACTTGAAAATATCAATCACAATAATTTTTTTTAAATTTTATTATTATTATACTTTAAGTTTTAGGGTACATGTGCACAACGAATGTCCATGTCTGATTATCTCAATATATAAATGTGCTGTGGCTCTCTTTCTGCTATCTGTGGGTTTTATTTATTTGTTTGTTTGCTTGCTTGCTTTCTGGCCACTTGTTCTTTTTTTTTTTTCTGGAATGCTTGTTAAGTTTTGATAAAATGTCAGGCAATTTGTGTGAAAAAATATCAGATAATCTTCCAGAGCAGGAAAAAAATATTACCTAAAGCCTCAGATTATCTGACATTTTGCTTCTGGTAAAGATCTTCTCAATTCGATCTGAGAATGAGCTGATTACAAGCTGAATTTTAGCCTTTGTGAGGCCTGGTCTCTTTCCGTTTTACACTTTCTCCTGATTTTAACTTCAGGGCTCCCTCTTTTGCACTCACAGCATTGCCTGAGATGTAAGTGACAGCAGGCTGAGGTGAAAAGAAGCTGAGCAGAGCTTTTGGCATTTTTGCAGATCTGGATGTATGCAAAAGCTGGAGGTCTTTGCCTGTCAAGGGACATGAGTACTAGCGAATCCACTAGCCTTCTGGTCCAAACATCTGAAGAGCTGTAAAGTTTAATATGAACACAGAATAACCATATTCAAAGAACATAGTCTCATTAAAAGAGCATAGTATTTTGTGTTCTTACGTAGATTAAGTAGAGAATGTATTTGGTTTAGGAGCGAGACACCCCTGACTTTATATTCCAGCTCTGCCATTGACCAGCTGCATGTCAGAGGGTACAAGCCCTCCCCTTCTCTGAGACTCAGCTTCACCAACAGTGAAAGAGGGGCTGATATCCTTGTCTCATAGAACAAGGTGAGGTTTTAACATAATGTCATCTCAAAAGCTCCTAGTTGGCCAGGAAAGGTGGCTGATGCCTGTAATCCCAGTCCTTTGGGAGGCTGAGGTCGGCGGGTCACTTGAGGTCAGGAGTTCGAGACCAGCCTGGTCAACATGGCAAAACCCTGTCTCTATTTAAAAATTAGCCAGGAGTGGGGCTGGGCGTGGTGGCTCATGCCTGTAATCCCAGCACTTCAGGAAGCTGAGGCAGGCGGATCATCTGAGGTCAGGAGTTTGAGACCAGCCTGACCAACATGGTAAAACTCCGTCTCTACTAAAAATACAAAAATTAGCTGGGCATGGTGGCGCATGCCTGTAATTCCAGCTACTTGGGAGGCTGAGGCAGGAGAATCACTTGAACCTGGGAGGCAGAGGTTACAGTGAGCCGAGATCGTGCCACTGCACTCCAGCCTAGGCAACAGAGCGAGATTCTGTCAAAAAAAAAAAAAAAAAAAAAAGCCAAGAGTGGTTGTAGGTGCCTGTAATTCCAGCTACTGGGAGGCAGAGGCAGGAGAATCACTTGAACCCAGGAGGCAGAGGTTGCAGTGAGCCAAGATCGCGTCATTGCACTCTAGCCCGGGCTACAAGAGTGAAACTCCATCTCAAAAAAAAAAAAAAGCTCTTAGCACGGTAATCACTCAGTAGACAGAGGGATCACTCAACAAACAATATGATTTCGAGGAGCGGATCTTTGATATTCCATAGGAAGAGCTTACCAAATGCACTAATTTAATAACACCTGGGATGGCAGACACTCCCCTTGGATTGCTTTATGGGGATGTTTCCCAAAGTATGCTGTTTGGTACCCATATTTGAAAAGTGTACAGACACAAATACACAAAAACTCACATGTTTTCCCGTACAAAGAAGTTTGGGAAACATCGTAGCTGATGCAGTTAAACAGGTGTTTATTTTATCTGTTAATTACAAACGATCCCAGAGCCTTTAATATGGGAATTCACTTTGCAATGTGCAAGAGGGAAAGCCTCGAAAGCATTTCCCATGTTTATTTGACCAGGATATTTTCCAGGTGGGGCCCCTATTGGGGAAGTGTTTGAGGAACACCAGTCTGTACAACACTTTGCCATTTACAAAGTTTTTTCCATGCATGTTCTCATTTGCCTCTCCCAGTGATATTATGAAGGAGCTGAGGAATAGATGAAGCTCCTCACTCTCCTTTTGGGGATGAGGAATCAGATTCTCAAAGAGTGTAACTTGCCCACAGTCCCTCTGCTAAGGAATAACGGGGCCAGTTGAGATTCAGACTCATAGCTATATGCCCTTTCCATGGCCCCACTGCCTCATGATGGGATCAAAGCCACGTGGCTGGAAAATGGCAAGATCAGAATTCCAACCTGGTTTTCTGAACCCAGCTCCTGTACACTGTCTGCTATACCAAGCTTCTTTGTGAGTGTGTGTGGGCGAGAAAGAGAAAGTTGTATAGTAAGCCATCAATTAATTGACTTGTTTCCTTTGTCAACTAGCAATTCTGATGTTATCATGCAGAAAATTTGAAACCCTTTATGAGTTGTGGAGCTGTGACCATTTCGCAGGCAGTGCGTGAGAATGTAAGCAATCAGGGCAACTCAATCAAGGCAGGGTCAAAGACAGAGAACAGAATTTTGTGCTATTTGGAAAATAGTTAGCATGCTGATGGAGTTTAGTATTCACAATGCCAGTGATTTTCCCATCCTTTTAGAAATATTTGGCCTGATTAATTCTTGATACCTGTTTTTAATCTCTGAGGTTTAGATTTCATTTATTCATTCAAAAATTAGTTTTGAGATGCTATGTGTTTACAGCTGTGTTCCGAACGCATTGAGGAATAGAAAACAGCTCTGTCCTCAAGGACTTTGCAGCCTGTGGTGGAGACAGACAGACACCATGAAGTATGCTGAATGTTGTCCAGGATGGTCTCGAACTCTTGACCTCAGGTGATCCACCCACCTCAGCCTCCCAAAGTGCTGGGATTACAGGTGTGAGCCACCGCACTCAGCCAAGATTTCTCAGACTTTTCTTATTTTTGATAACCTTGATGGCTTTGAGGAGTGCTAGTCAGGTAAATTACAGGAAACCCCACTATCGAGATTTATGTGACTGGGTCCTGTGTTTGGGGGAGGACGATGACAGAGGTAACGTGCCATTTTCATCACATCCTATCAAGGCTTATCACTGTGATGGTGACTTGAGCACCTGGCGGGGCTGGAGCTTCACTTTCCTCACTGTGACGTCACTCGTTGCCCCTCCCCTTTCCCTGCTGCACCCTTCGGAAGGAAACCAATAAGCATAGCCCACACCCAGCGAGGGAGGAATCATGTCCCACCCACTTGAGGGAAGAATATTTACAAAAATTACTTGGAAACTTTTGCCTGGGAAATCTGCCCATTCTTCCCCATTTATTTATTCAATCATTTATTTTTATCAGTAGGATCTTGTGGATATTTATTTAGTACTTTGGGATATAATCCAACACTACTTTATTTTTTGTTGTTGTTGCTCAAATTGTTCCAGCTTTAGCCATTGGGAGATCTTTCAGTTTGTTTATGTGTCCCTGTTACATACCATAATCATTCTCTGTGTGTGTGTGTTTTTTTTTTTTTTAATAATTTCTACTTTTTGAAATTATAAGCTTTTCCAGGCTTAGTTTGTATATTCCCTGCCTTAGTCCTGTAGTCAGCCATTTCTCCAATGACCCCTGGTTCCTTTAATTGAATGGCATTAGAAACCGAGGTCTGGGGCTGGGCATGGTGGCTCATGCCTGTAATCCCAGCACTTTGGGAGGCCGAGCCTGGTGGGTCACCTGAGGTCAGGGGTTCAAGACCAGCCTGGCCAACTTGGCGAAACCTTTTCTCCATTAAAAATAGAAAAATTAGCTAGGCAAGGTGGTCCATGTCTGTAATCCCAGCTACTCAGGAGGCTGAGGCAGGAGAATCACTTGAAACCGAGAGGCAGAGGTTGCAGTGAGTCGATATCATGCCACTACACTCCAGCCTGGGCGGCTGGAAAAAAAAAAGAAAAAGAAAAGAAACCAGGACCTGGGCCGTTGTTATGCTCATTGCTGCTGGGATGTCATTGCTTTTAGGCCCTCTCAGCTGACAGATCAGGGAAATATATATGTATACTAACCTGTGTAAATACACAATATTTATCAATTTTTTAATGTGTAGCTTTCTGTATCTATATTAAGCTAAGCATAAATTCATACTGGTGTCTCTAACTCTAATCCATTACCAAATGGATTATTCCAGCCTCCTTCCATTGCTTATCTGTTAACTCCCACTCGACTGTGAGAAAGCTGACCCCTACCATCTGCCATCTATTTATTTAATTATTGGACTCCACTATACAGAGAGGTATAAGAATTGTTAACCTGTAACCCCATGGGAAATAACTTTATCAACTAGTTTCTTTAGTCTTATTCTGAAGACTCACTCATTTCTGAAGTTACCTGGATCAGCATCATTTTCCTTCACCTCCTTTACAAATTGCTTAAAACATGTATAACATAGGTTGTTTTGTTATAGTATGTATTCCATCTTGGAATACCTTGACCTTCTAAATGAGTTATTTAAATTTGCATACATTATAATCACCTTTTTGTGGCATAAAGTTCTATAGATTTTGACAAATGTGTATCGTTAATATCCATCATTACATTATTATACAAAATAGTTTCACCACCCTAAAAATTATCCTGTATTTTACCCATTCAACCCTGCCCCAACCCCTAGCAAACACTGATTTTTGTTTTTACTATCTATGTTATACCTTTAACACAATATTATATAATTGGAATCATTTATTTATTAATATGCTTAGATGGTTCATTTATGTTTTTTCATGTCTTGTTAGCTGATTTCCTTTTAACACTGAATAATGTTTCACCGTGTGGATGTACCACAGTTTATCAATTCACCTATTGAAGGACACCTGGGTTGCTTTCTGTTTTTGGTTGTTATGAATAGAGCTGCTATAGATACATCTGCAGGCAGGCTTTTGTATGGAGATACCTTTCAAATCAGTTGGGTGAATATCTAGTTGGAGTATATGGAAAGACCATGGCCAGCTTTGTAAGAAACTGCCAAACTGTCTTTCAAAGTGGCTGTAGCATTTTGCATGCCCACTAGCAATGAATGAGTGTCCATGTTGCTCCACGTCCTGAACAGCATTTGGTGTTGTCAGCACTCGGGGTTTTGCCTATTCTAATAGGTGTGTAGGGATTTCTCATTATTGTTGTCCCTAGTAAGCCTGAGGTTCTGCAGGAGACCAGGGTGTATCTCAGTCCTTATCTCAACTGCACAAGACAGACATTCCCAGAACGGCCATTTATAGACCTCCCCCCAGGAACACATTCCTTTCCCAAGGTATTAATATTAATATTCCTTGCTAAGAAAATAGTTTGGTGATATCTTTCCTACTTGTATGTCTGTTTATAGGCTCTCTGCAAGAAGAAAAATATGGCTGTTTTTGCCCGACCCCGCAGGTAGTCAGACCTTATGGTTGTCTTCCCTTGTTCCATAAAAATCCCTGTTATTCTGTTCTTTTTCAAGGTGCACTGATTTCATATTGTTCAAACACACATGTTTTACAATCAATTTGTACAGTTAACACAATTATCACAGTGGTCCTGAGGTGACATACATCCTCAGAGTATGAAGATAACAGGATTAAGAGATTAAAGTAAAGACAGGCATAAGAAATTATAAAAGTAATATTTGGGAACTGATAAATGTCCATATTAAGATGAAATCTTCACAATTTATGTTCCTCTGCCGTGGCTCCAGCCAGTCCCTCCATTTGGGGTCCCTGACTTCCCATAACAATCCCCTATTGACTTTGCATTTGCATTTAGATCTATGATTCATTTTGAGATAATAATTTTGAAAGGTTTAAGATATGCGTCTATATTCACTTTTTTTGCATATGGACATTAAATCATTCCAGTACTGTTTGTGGAATAGACTGTCCTTTATTTATTGAATTGTCTTTGCTCCTTTGTCAAAGTTCAGTGTTAGTGCAGCTCTTTCTCTTGGCTCTCTCTTCAGTTCCATTTACCCATTCATCTTTTCTTTTGACAAAACCACAACCTTTATTACTGCAGCTTTATAGCAAGTCTCCAACTTGGTCTCTCTTCTTTAGTATTGTATTGGCTATTTTCTGTCATTTGCCTTTATATATAAACTTTAGAATCAGTTTGTCAATATTTATAAAATATCAAAAATTCTTGGGGAAATTTTGATTGGGATCATGTTGAATCTATAGAACAAGTTGGGAAGAATTGATATCTTAATCATATTGAGTCTTCCCATCCATGAATATGGAATATCTCCCCATTTATTTAGAACTTGATTTCATTCATCAGATTTTTATGGTTTTCAGTATATAGATCTTGTACATATCTTGTTAGATTTATATCTCTTTTTTCTTTGTTACCATTGTAAAAGGCATTTTTTGAAAAAAATCATTTTCCATTTGTTTATTGCTGGTATACAGGAAACAACTGACTTTTGTGTATTAACCTTGTATCACATGAAATTGCTAAAATCTCTTGCTAGTTCCAAGATACTTTTAATGATTTGCTGGGATTTTCTACATAGACAATAATGTCATCTGCGAAAAAGACAGTTTTAGTTTTTCTTTTCCAATCTACATACCTTTTATTTTTCTTTCTTTTCTTATTGCACTAGGTAGAAATTTCAGCTCCATATTAAGTAGGAGTGGTGAGAGAGAACATTTGTGTTCTTATTCATAATATTGGAGAAAAATATACAGTTTTTCATAATTATGATATTTGTCATAAATTTCTATAGGTATATTTTTATTAAGAAAATTTCCTTCTATTTCTACTTTGCTATGAGCTTTTATTGTGAATGACTTGGATTTTGTAAAATACTTTTCCTTCATCAATTGGTTTGATGATATTATTTTCTTTCTTTAGTTTGTTGATATGGTGGGTTATATTGATTAAGTTTTGAATGTTGAACCAGTCTTTTATACCCAGAATAAACTTTACATGATTGTGGTGTCTAATTTTTTTTTTTGAGACAGAGTCTTACTCTGTCACCCAGGCTGGAGTGCAGTGGTGCTATCTGCAACCTCTTCCTCCCAGGTTCAAGCAACAAGCAATTCTCATGCCTCAGCCTCTCGAGCAGCTGGAATTACAGGCATGCACCACCACACCCAGCTAATTTTTTTATTTTTAGTAGAGATTGGGTCTCGTCATGTTGGCCAGGCTGGCCTCAAACTCTCAACCTCAAGTGATCGCCTGCTTGGCCTCCCAAAGTGCTGGTATCACAGGTGTGAGCCACCACACCCAGCGTGTAGTGTTTAATTATTTTTATACATTATTGAATCTCATTTACTGTGATTTTTTGAGCATTTTGCATCTATTTTTATGATAGATATTGGTCTGTAGTTTTTTTGTGTGGGATGTCTTTATCTGGTTTTGCTATTAGAGTAGTGCTAGCTCATAGAATGAGCTAGTAGGTTCTCCCTCTGTTTCTATTTTCTGGAAGATATTGTAGATAATTGGTATTATTTCCTTCTTAAATGTTTGGTGGAATTCACCAGTGAAAATCATTTGGGCTGGTACTTGCTTTCTTGGAAAGTTAATTATTGATTTAATTTTCTTAATGGACATGAGCCTACTAGGATTATCTGTTTTTCTTTGTGTGAGTTTTCATAGTTTCATCTTTCAAAGTTTATTCATTTACTTTATCCATTTTATAATCAGTCCACTTCATCTAAGTTACCACCGAATTTATAGGCATTGAGTTGTTCATAACATTTCTTTATTATCTTTTTAATGTCCATGGAATCACTAGTGATAATCCTGCTTTCATTTCTGATATCAGTGATTTGTTACTTCCTCCTCTCTCTCTCAACTTGGCTAGAGGTATTTCAAGTTTATTAATTTTTTTCAAAGAATTAGATTTAGGTTTTCTTTTATTTTCATGTTTTCAGTTATATTGATTTCTGCTCTAATTTTTATTATTTCTTTCCTTCTGCTTGGTGCAAGTTTAAATTGCTTTCTTTTTCTAGTTTCCTAAGCTTAGGATATTGACTTTAGATCTTTCTTCTTTTGTAATATATGTATTTAATGGTATAAATTTCTCTTGAAGGACTGCTTTTGCTGCATCCAACAAATTGATAATTTCTCTTGAGATATCTTCTTTGACCCTTGCATTTTTTTGGGGAATGTTTATTTTACTCTCCTAATATGTGGATATTTTTCAGGTATCTTTCTGTTATTGATTAGTTTAACTCCATTGTGATTTGAATATATATTTTGTACAGTTTCTATTCTTTTACATTTAAGATGTCTCTTGAGTATCTATTTAAGATTTCTATTACCTTGAGTGTGGTGTATGTTAGTGATTGTTCTGTGTGAGCTTCAATAAAATGAGCATCCTGCTGTTGTTCAATGGAATATCCTGTAAATGTCAGTTAGATAAAGTTGATTGATGGTGCTGTTTAATTATATTCTTACTGATTTTCTGTCTGCTTGAGCTAGAAGGTACTGACAGAGAGAAGCTGAAGTTTCCAAATATAAGAGTGGATTTATATATTTCTCTGTTTGGTCCTTTCAGCTTTTGGCTCATGTATTTTGATGTTACGTTATTAGGTGCACACATATTTAGGATTATGATGTCTTTTTGGAGAACTGACCCCTTTATCATTATGGAATTCCCCTATTTATCCCTAATAGTTTTCCTTGTTCTGAAGTTTGGTTTATCTAAAATTAATATAGCTATTTCAGCTTTCTTTTGATTCATGTTAGCATCATGTATCCTCATCCTTTTACTTTTAACAGATATAAGTTTTATATTTAAAAAGAAATTCTTACAGACAATATAGTTGGGTAATTTTTTTTACCCACTCTGACAATCTCTGTCATTTAATTCATTTAATTGAAGTTTTTAGTTTATTCACACTTAAAGTAATTATTGATATACTAATACATATCAGTCATATAATTACATCTACTCATTGCATTTGTTTGTTATTTCTTTTTCTACCTTCTCTGGTCTTAATTTAGCAGTTTATATAACACCTTTTCATGTTCTCTTTTATTATATCCATTAGATTCTTTTAAACATTTTGTTAACAGTTGCCCTAGAGTCCCGAGCATAATTTTTTATCAGTCTATATCTAACAACATTATTCTGTTTCATGGGTAATGAAGATATCTTATAATAGATTAGTTCCAATTCCTCCCTCTGATCCCTTGTGATGTTGCTGTCACTCATTTTGCTTATCAATGTGATATAATCACTCAATATATCATTACTATTATTTCAAATTTATCTTTGCAGCAACATGGATGGAGCTGGAAGGCATTATCCTAAGTGAATTAACACAGAAACAGAAAACCAAATACTGCATGTTCTCACTTATAAGTAGGAGCTAAACACTGAGTATACATGGACACCAAGAAGAAAACAATAGGCAGGCCTTCTTGAGGGTGGAGGATGGGAGAAGAGGGAGAACTAAAAAACTACCTGTCAGGTACTATGCTGATTACCTGGGTGACAAAATTATCTGTATGCCAAACCCCCATGACACACACAATTTACCCAAGTAACAAACCTGCACATGTACACCCAAAACAAAGACAAAAGTTGGAAAAAAAAATTACTTTTTAGATCAATTAAAAATAAGAGAAACAAAAAATATTTTATTTTACCTGTATGTAGTCTGTTCTTCATGCTCTTCATTCTGTAGTCCTAAGTTTCTGACCTATGTCATTTTCCTTCTCCCAGAAGAACTCCTATTCACATTCCTTGAAGGTCGAGCCTGCTGCTGCTGATTTCCCACTATTTTTGTTTGTCTACGAAAGTATACATTTCTTTTACTCTCAGAAGGATAATTTCACTGGCTATAGATTTCTAGATGGGTGTCTTTTTTTTTTCTTTCAATGCTTTAAATACTTCACTCTCTTCTTGCCTGGATATGTTCTGATGAAAAGTCTGCTATAATTATTACATCAATGGGTAGAGTGTTTCCCCTTCTTGCCTCTTCAAGATTTTTCTCTTTGTTTTTGAATTTCTGCAGCATAAATATTATATGTTTAGTTTTATGTATATGTGTGTGTGTGAGAGAGAGAGATAGCAAGCAGGATATATATATATGGATATATGTGTGTATATATACATCCTTAGTTTTATATATATATACACACACACATATATATATATATACACACATATATATATACACACACATATATATATATATATGTCTCTCCAGTATACTGGAGCAGCTCTCCAATATGCTGGAGCAGCTCTCCAGCATATTGGAGATAGATTATATATATATATGGATATATATGTCTCCTGCTTGCTGTTCTCTGAGCTTTCTTGATCTGTGGTGTGATATCTGTTATTAAGTTAAAAAATTCTCAGCCACTTCAGATAACGCTTTTCCTTTTCCCTCTATTGTTCCAATTATGTATATTCTACAACATTTGAAACTGTCTCACAGTTCTTAGATGTTCTGTTATGCTTGTTTTCATTCTTTTTTTTTTTCCATTTCCATTTTAGTTTGGGAAATTTCCATTGACTTATCTTCAGGTCACTAATCCTTTCCTTGGCTGTGTCTTCTGCTGATGAGTGCTTCAAAGGCATTCTTCATTTCTGTCAGAGTGTTTTTTATTTCTACCATTTCCTTTTGATTCTTTCTTAGAGTTTCCATCTCTCTGCTTACATTATCATATATTGTTTTCTATTGGTTACTGTCTCCATTAGAGCCTTTATATATTAATCATGTTTATTTTAAATTTTCTGTATGGTAATCCTAACACCTGTGTCACATCTGAGTCTGGTTCTAATGCTTGTTTCACCTCTTCAGAATTTTTTCCTACCCTTTTGTAATGCCTTCTAATTTTTGTTATTGTTGTTGTTGTTGAAATCCAGTCATGTTGTATTGGGTAATAGTAACTGAGGTAAATAGACCTTTAGTGTGAGAATTTATGTTCATCTGGTAAGAAGTTGTCCTATGTTTAATTTTTCCTGTAGGTAAAGGTGCCAGAGGCTTCCAACTACTCTAGTCCCTGTATTGTCTCTCTTGTTCTGTTTGTACTTCCCTGAGTACTCCTCCTCAGAGAGAGTCTGTACCTTGCACTCTTTCAGATTTACTCTGCTGTTACTGCACTGGAGCCCTGTGGGTGTGATGGTGAGGTGTGGGAAAGGGAAGCCTTCTATAGTTTTATAATTAAGTCATAGCTTCTTAGTGGGTCTTTCCACAAGTGCTGACCCAGTGGTAGAGTTTCCCTCTCCCTTTTTATATGAGATAAGAAGGCTAGTGAGATGCTGGAGCACAGGGAATGGCTTTTGGAAAGTTGGGACAAGGCTCTGGTAATCACTTCCCCTGGAAAGTGGGTCACTTTTATGGAGGAAGCTCTGGGTTTATTTCAGAAGGAGTACTTTCCCCTGTCTCTGCCAGAGCCACTTGGGGATTTTTATTGGCTGTTTACCATAAGAACCTGGTGGGGTTCTTGCAGGTAAAACCTAGGAAAGTATGTGGTTCTTCTGTGGCTCCCAAGAGTGTCTCACTCCCATCCTGGTTCTGCACTCAGTGTATTGGTTTGCTAAAACTGTCATAACAAAGTGTCACAGATGAGATGGTTTAAATACATGAATTTCTTTTCTCATGATTCTGGTAGCAAGAAGCACAAGATCAAGGTGCCATCAGGGTCAGTTTCGCCTGAGGGCTCTCTGGCCTGTAGATGCTCATCTTCTAGCTATTTCCTCATGTATCTGCCCTCTCTACTTGTTTGTGTCCTAATTTCCTCTTCTTATAAGAACACATCAAATTGGATAAGGCCCTACCCTAATGATCTAATTTAACCTGAATTAATTCTTTAAATACCCTGTTCCCAAATAGAATACCATTCTGAAGTACTGAGGATTAGTATGTCAACATATGAATTTAGGGGTGCAAAATTCAGCCCATAGCACTCAGTTCCTAGCAGTTCATTGAAATTACAGTTCATGGCTCCACTGGCGTCTGCTCCACGTGTGCAGATCTTAGCTGTGACTGGCTCTGGATTAACCTGTCCCTTCAGACTTCAGGGTTACAGTTTGCTCTGCAACCTCCATTCTCTGATGAGTCAAAGAAAACCTTCAAACATCAGTTTTTTCAACCTTTTCCCATAAGATAGAGAGTGATGACTTCCAAGCCCTTCACAAGTCAGAACTGAAACCAGATGTCTGGCAGAGTTCTTGAGGATTTTCACAAGCCCTCTCCCCTTTGGAGCCCCGTTAATTGAATCATTTCTCTCCCAGCACCTATCACGGCATGGCATTTTAGTATTTAATAACTTGCTTTGTGTTGGTGATTTGTGTCTCCGCTCACTATATCAGAGACTCCATCAGGGCAGGAACCATGTCTCTTTGGTCCTCTGCTGAATCACCATTGTACAGCACATAATAGATCACAAATAGTGCTTAAATGGATGAATGAAATAAGCCGTTAAAACAGAGCTGCATCTCACTTTAATGTCTTTTTCGATAGAAGAAAATAAAAATGTATTTTCAATATCATTATTATACATTTTGATTCTAAAATTTTTCTCTTTGTACTGTTGAGCCGTTAAAATGCTTTTTGTGGGTTTTTAAGGAAATGCCCTGCTCAGTCACTGCTCTCTGACAAGGCCTCAGCTTTGGAGCCCAGGGCAATGCAGAGTTATGCATGTAAAGCTTAGGGGTGGTCCCAGAATGGTGCCTGCAGGATGAAGCCAAGCTCCCTAGCACTTCAAGTTGGGGTCTTCTTTTGTCTCTGTCTCCTGCAATTTCCTTCCCCATACTCTGTGCACTCATCAAACCAGAGGCGTCTCTTGTTTTTGAATTCACCATATTCTTTCGTATCTCCAAATCTTTCCTTTCTTCCTTTCTCAGGCAGGAAAGCTCAAGCCACTGGTCAGCCTTCCAAAACCAGCTGAAATACCATTTTGTTGGTGCAGCTTGCCTGAGCTTTCTGGCAAGCCCCGTTACCTCCTGCTGTGTGTTCCTTTAGCCTCCATGGGTGAGCACACTCATCCCAGCACCAAACTGGAATTCTCTCTCACCTCTTCCAAATCAGAACCACAAACCCTTTGAGAGTAGGTAGGGGCTGCCTAACTCATCTTTCCATCCGGAGGGTCTCTTGGATGGAAAATAAGAGTTGAATTCAGACCATAAGAATCTCTTCACCATTTCTCCTGGTTGCTTTCTTTTTTTTTTTTTTTATTATTATTTAAGTTTTAGGGTACGTGTGCACAATGTGCAGGTTAGTTACCTATGTATACGTGTGACATGCTGGTGCGCTGCACCCACTAACTCGTCATCTAGCATTAGGTATATCTCCCAATGCTATCCCTCCCCCCTCCCCCCACCTCCCACCCCACAACAGTCCCCAGAGTGTGATGTTCCCCTTCCTCTGTCCATGTGTTCTCATTGTTCAATTCCCACCTATAAGTGAGAATATGCAGTGTTTGGTTTTTTGTTCTTGCGATAGTTTACTGAGAATGATGATTTCCAATTTCATCCATGTCCCTACAAAGGACATGAACTCATCATTTTTTATGGCTGCATAGTATTCCATGGTGTATATGTGCCACATTTTCTTAATAAATTAGGTATTGATGGGACGTATCTCAAAATAATAAGAGCTATCTATGACAAACCCACAGCCAATATCATACTGAATGGGCAAAAACTGGAAGCATTCCCTTTGAAAACTGGCACAAGATAGGGATGCCCTCTCTCACCACTCCTATTCAACATGGTGTTGGAAGTTCTGGCCAGGGCAATTAGGCAGGAGAAGGAAATAAAGGGTATTCAATTAGGAAAAGAGGAAGTCAAATTGTCCCTGTTTGCAGACGACATGATTGTATATCTAGAAAACCCCATTGTCTCAGCCCAAAATCTCCTTAAGCTGATAAGCAACTTCAGCAAAGTCTCAGGATACAAAATCAATGTACAAAAATCACAAGCATTCTTATACACCAACAACAGACAAACAGAGAGCCAAATCATGAGTGAACTCCCATTCACAATTGCTTCAAAGAGAATAAAACACCTAGGAATCCAACTTACAAGGGATGTGAAGGACCTCTTCAAGGAGAACTACAAACCACTGCTCAATGAAATAAAAGAGGATACAAACAAATGGAAGAACATTCCATGCTCATGGGTAGGAAGAATCAATATCGTGAAAATGGCCATACTGCCCAAGGTAATTTATAGATTCAATGCCATCCCCATCAAGCTACCAATGACTTTCTTCACAGAATTGGAAAAAACTACTTTAAAGTTCATATGGAACCAAAAAAGAGCCCGCATTGCCAAGTCAATCCTAAGCCAAAAGAACAAAGCTGGAGGCATCACACTACCTGACTTCAAACTATACTACAAGGCTACAGTCACCAAAACAGCATGGTACTGGTACCAAAACAGAGATATAGATCAATGGAACAGAACAGAGCCCTCAGAAATAACGCCGCATATCTACAACTATCTGATCTTTGACAAACCTGAGAAAAACAAGCAATGGGGAAAGGATTCCCTATTTAATAAATGGTGCTGGGAAAACTGGCTAGGCATATGTAGAAAGCTGAAACTGGATCCCTTCCTTACACCTTATACAAAAATCAGTTCAAGATGGATTAAAGACTTAAATGTTAGACCTAAAACCATAAACACCCTAGAAGAAAACCTAGGCATTACCATTCAGGACATAGGCATGGGCAAGGACTTTATGTCTAAAACACCAAAAACAATGGCAACAAAAGCCATAATTGACAAATGGGATCTCATTAAACTAAAGAGCTTCTGCACAGCAAAAGAAACTACCATCAGAGTGAACAGGCAACCTACAAAATGGGAGAAAATTTTCACAACCTACTCATCTGACAAAGGGCTAATATCCAGAATCTACAATGAACTCAAACAAATTTACAAGAAAAAAAACAAACAACCCCATCAAAAAGTGGGCGAAGGACATGAACAGACACCTCTGAAAAGAAGACATTTATGCAGCCAAAAAACACACGAAAAAATGCTCACCATTACTGGCCATCAGAGAAATGCAAATCAAAACCACAATGAGATACCATCTCAGACCAGTTAGAATGGCAGTCATTAAAAAGTCAGGAAACAACAGGTGCTGGAGAGGATGTGGAGAAATAGGAACACTTTCACACTGTTGGTGGGACAGTAAACTGGTTCAACCATTGTGGAAGTCAGTGTGGCGATTCCTCAGGGATCTAGAACTAGAAATACCATTTGACCCAGCCATCCCATTACTGGGTATATACCCAAAGGACTATAAACCATGCTGTTATAAAGACACATGCACACGTATGTTTATTGAGGCACTATTCACAATAGCAAAGACCTGGAACCAACCCAAATGTCCAACAATGATAGACTGGATTCTCCTGGTTGCTTTCTTCTGCTTTTCACTAACTTTAGGCAGAAATATCAAACTAAAATGATCTCTCTCTCTCTCATCCTATTGTCAGGTCATCCTATAGTTGTTTTTCTCTGAAATTCAGTGTGAAAACCTGCCCCCTGCAAAGCTCTGTCTTTTTAGAGCTTCGGCGTTACTGCCTTGACATATATTATTCAAACATTTCTGAAAACATGTTCCCATGCTTGTTCTTGTTCCCATCAACCAGACAACTGTGTTTATGGGGAGTAACTAAATTTAGTTTCCTCTGTAGAAGTTTAAGTGTCATTTAGAGCAGCTAAACAACTAATTTGAGGAGGCAGTTCCAGCCTTGCGTAGAATGAACCAGCACAGCAACGTGGAGTTTGAACGTATCAGCCAATTTCTTCTTCAACCCATGCAGGCTGTGGTCATCACTAGTTGCTTTGGTCTTTCGTCTTCTGCAAAACACCTAGCATCATATTCTCTGCAGGGTGTGACGCGCAAAGAAGGAAGGAGCAATAGGTAGACATCTCAGTCCAAACCCCAGATGTGTCAGAAATAGCACTTTCTTTTCCATAACGTAATTGAGTTTTGACTCTAAGTCTCCAGTCTGACTGACTGCAAGAAAATTTAACTTTGTGCTTTTTTGTCATTCCCACCAAACACTTATGCAGTGTCAAGGAATCTTAGGGTGGGAAGGTTGGAATGGGTGAGGGGTGGGAGACAGAGCCGCTTGTCCCAGGTCGGCAGTCTGTACAGGTTACTGCTGGGTGAGCCCTCATTCCTGTGCTCAGCCCCCCTCAGGCGGTGGCCTCTTACTACTTTCCTTTGATGCCTGTATGCTCTCTTTTGTTCCTTTTGGCCGTTTCTCTGTGGCCTTGCTGACTCCCTGCTGTTACGTCTGGGAAGTGGTGTTCAAGTCACTTGGACACGACCCACAGAATTCTTTGTCTCTTCTTCCATGCAAGGGGCCTCGCTTCCTATTCTGAGGTTTGGGAAGCTCCATGTCCACAACTTTGGTTACAAGGCTCTGTTATGCCTTGTGTGCCCTCCCTTTTAGATCTTTCACAAAATTCTCCTAGCTCTGTTAAGATCCTAGCTTTTGAATACAATAGCCAGGATGTCTTGTAGACCACTTTTGCTTTCTGCCCTGAAACATACCATTCCCAAGGCAATGAGTCAGCATCCAGCTGATGACTTACCTGAATAAGGGAAAGAAAAGGAGGAAATGTAGGAAGAAAAATAATATAGATTCATATTTCAAAATATCATGTGGCCATAGTTGGAAGGTAGGGGGTCCTCGGGAGGCACAGAGACCATTTCTCATCTCAGCCTCCATAATATGCTGGACCAAAACTCTCCTGCCACCGGACTTGCTTTCTTTTCTGTTTCAAATACAAACAAGTGGAAGAACATTCCACGCTCATGGGTAGGAAGAATCAATATCGTGAAAATGGCCATACTGCCCAAGGTAATTTATAGATTCAATGCCATCCCCATCAAGCTACCAATGACTTTCTTCACAGAATTGGAAAAAACTACTTTAAAGTTCATATGGAACCAAAAAAGAGCCCGCGTCGCCAAGTCAATCCTAAGCCAAAAGAACAAAGCTGGAGGCATCACACTACCTGACTTCAAACTATACTACAAGGCTACAGTCACCAAAACAGCATGGTACTGGTACCAAAACAGAGATATAGATCAATGGAAGAGAACAGAGCCCTCAGAAATAACGCCGCATATCTACAACTATCTGATCTTTGACAAACCTGAGAAAAACAAGCAATGGGGAAAGGATTCCCTATTTAATAAATGGTACTGGGAAAACTGGCTAGCTATATGTAGAAAGCTGAAACTGGATCACTTCCTTACACCTTATACAAAAATCAATTCAAGATGGATTAAAGACTTAAATGTTAGACCTAAAACCATAAAAACCCTAGAAGAAAACCTAGGCATTACCATTCAGGACATAGGCATGGGCAAGGACTTTATGTCTAAAACACCAAAAGCAATGGCAACAAAAGCCAAAATTGACAAATGGGATCTCATTAAACTAAAGAGCTTCTGCACAGCAAAAGAAACTACCATCAGAGTGAACAGGCAACCTACAAAATGGGAGAAAATTTTCGCAACCTACTCATCTGACAAAGGGCTAATATCCAGAATCTACAATGAACTCAAACAAATTTACAAGAAAAAAACAAACAACCCCATCAAAAAGTGGGCAAAGGATATGAACAGACACTTCTCAAAAGAAGACATTTATGCAGCCAAAAGACACATGAAAAAATGCTCACCATCACTGGCCATCAGAGAAATGCAAATCAAAACCACAATGAGATACTATCTCACACCAGTTAGAATAGCAATCATTAAAAAGTCAGGAAACAACAGGTGCTGGAGAGGATGTGGAGAAATAGGAACACTTTTACACTGTTGGTGGGACAGTAAACTGGTTCAACCATTGTGGAAGTCAGTGTGGCGATTCCTCAGGGATCTAGAACTAGAAATACCATTTGACCCAGCCATCCCATTACTGGGTATATACCCAAAGGATTATAAATCATGCTGTTATAAAGACACATGCACACGTATGTTTATTGTGGCACTATTCACAATAGCAAATACTTGGAACCAATCCAAATGTCCAACAATGATAGACTGGATTAAGAAAATGTGGCACATATACACCATGGAATACTATGCAGCCATAAAAAATGATGAGTTCATGTCCTTTGTAGGGACATGGATGAAATTGGAAATCATCATTCTCAGTAAACTATCGCAAGGACAAAAAACCAAACACCGCATGTTCTCACTCATAGGTGGGAATTGAACAATGAGAACACATGGACACAGGAAGGGGAACATCACACTCTAGTGACTGTTGTGGGGTGGGGGAGGGGGGAGGGGGGAGGGATAGCATTAGGAGATATACCTAATGCTAAATGACGAGTTAATGGGTGCAGCGCACCAGCATGGCACATGTATACATATGTAACTAACCTGCACGTTGTGCACATGTACCCTAAAACTTAAAGTATAATAATAATAATAATAATAATAATAATACTACAGTGCAATACTTTGGTTAACTCTCATTGATGGTGACACTAAGTTCGTTGTGTTAACCTAGACTTCTGTCATTTATGTAAGATGGTTACCATTCCAGAGTAGAAATGCGGGAGAAGGACTGACAAGTCACAGGCTGTGCATGTGATGTTCTGAGAAGCCTGCCCGTTCACTCTCCGATGGATGCTTTGATAACCTGTGCATGACAGACCACGCCTCCCACTCTCTCATTGGAATTGGGTATCATATCTGTTAAGAGTGCTGCACCAGGGAGCTGTTGAGGAGATCATGCCTCTCAGTGTGGGAAATGCAAGGGTCTCATAGCCATTGGCTCTAGAGAAACCAGGCTGCCTCCCAGTGGAGAGCCAGGAAGAAAATGAGGTGGGAAAGGAAAGTTGTTGGCTCCAGAGAAAAAGAGATAGTGAAGCACGGCAGAATGTTAAATAGGACTAAAAAAAAAAATCTCTGCTTGGGGAGAACACCTCCAAATGTCATATCCATGACTTCAGTTGCATGGGGGAAATTCGCCTGATTTCATGGAGCCCTCTAAAAATAATTGGGTTGTGGAGGTCTTTATTCTCTAGCATAGATGGCTGTCATTTCTCAAAGCCTGAAGAGGCCACCATTGCTTGTTCAGCCTCTGTCCTTTCAGTAAGTAACAAATACAAATAAGTAAGATAAAGATAAACATGTGATGCAGCTTTCAGATTAGTGGCGCTCAGAGAAGTTGGACGTGAGAAATGTGTATGTGACCTTCTATATTCACCTCTAGTTGCCTAAGGAGAGTTTGGGGCTGTCCCCGGGACCCATGAGGAAGATATGCCAGGGCACAGTGCCCTTCTCTCTACATCAAAGAGACCTCAGTTTGAATCCTGATTCTCTGGGCCGTGCAATGGGGGCAAGTTACTAAACCTCTCTGAGTTCATTTCCTCATCCACCTTACAAAGTTGATCACAGTTGTAAAAGGTAATACATGTGAAGTGCATGTGCAGTGTCCAGAACATAGCTAGACTATTTTCGATAACTTCCTGTGTGTTTAGCATATGCCAGTCACTGCGTTATATGCTTTGCTTGCGTGATCTCATTTAAGAGGAATTTGAACCTGAGAAAGTTGGATATACACATACTTGCATGAAAGAAATTCAACCTCTAGGAATCTGTCTAAAGAAAATAACAGTGTGGGCCGGCCGTGGTAGCTCATGCCTGTAATCCCAGCACTTTGGGAGGCTGAGGCAGGCGGATCACGAGGTCAGGAGATCAAGACCATCCTGGCTAACATGGTGAAACCTCATCTCTACTAAAAATACAAAAAATTAGCCCAGCGTAGTGGCGGGCGCCTGTAGTCGGGAGGCTGAGGCAGGAGAATGGCTTGAACCCTGGAGGCAGAAGTTGCTGTGAGCAGAGATCACGCCACTGATTCCAGCCTGAGGGACAGAGTGAGACTCCATCTCAAAAAAAAAAAAAAAAAAAAGGAAAGAAAGAAAATAACAATGTGCACACGTGGATCTTAATAAAATATTAATTTAACAAGGATCTTGTTAAAATATTTCAACACTGTATGAGTGAAAAAAATCAGAAATAACCAATGTCCTACCATAAGGAAATGATGAAGGAGATGGTTGTATAGCTGTTAAAACGATGCTGCAAAAGAAGACTTAAGGACAGAGAGAGAAATCCACAGTAATTTTAAAAGGTAGCTTTTAAAAATCAGTTTAAAATTGTGTACAAAATGAATGACTTTTTACTTAAATGCACAGGTGTATAAATATATATCCATAGAAGATGAATGACACATGTCAAGTGCTGACAATGATTTCATCCGGATTTGGGTAAAACTGGTCATTTCTGTCTTCATCCTTGTTGTACGTATTTGAATTTTCAGCTTCTTCCCAATGACCATCTGCTTAGTTAAGTAATAAAAACACAACAACAGAAAAAGTTATTTGGAATTTAAACAATTTAAGTGGTAGACACATTTGCATCCCTTTGATGGTTTTCTCTAGTGCCTGGTGAAAGAATTTGGTAGACAAAGCCTCTATTTGATTTTAAACTTTTCAGTTAAGCTGGAAGTAGCACACGGGGGAGACCAGGTAGAGGCTATTAACCCAGTTTTAGGAGTGTCCTGAAAGACGCAGGGAGCCTGGAATCTTGCGGATCATCAGCCAGTGGGAGGTCAGACCTGAGGTGTATTTCGCTGCCCGCGGCTTTCCAGACGCTGTGAGGAAATTTACCGAGAAGGTTTCATGTGGTTTTCAGGCCAGTCAGCTCCTGGAGAATTTGGACACAAGTGGTCTTCATCTGACTCTCCCACCTTCCTCCCACCCATCGGAAGATCTGATTGTCACACTGTCCCATCTTGTGGCAGGGCCTCAAGGGAGTGAGGAGGGGTGAGTAAGGTGTATCCTGGAGAAGTTTAAATATTTCCAGAAAAAATCGAGTCCCAGGCTCAGAGAGGGAGGGATGGGTCTTTTCCCTGGAAATACTGGTAACTTTTTGTATGAAAATGTGAATCTCTTGTGTTTTTAAAACTATGAAACATATCACACATATATATATATGAATAGAATTGTTTTATATATATGCATGTGTGTGCCTATGTGTGTATACTCTACGACTTGCTTTATTCATGTTGATACAAGTAGCTGTAATTCATTTATTTTTCACAGATGTGTACTATTCTAGGGCAAACCTAAAACATAATTTATGTATCCATTTCCTTTTTTAAAACAATTTTTTACTATTACATGAAATGCCATTATGAACTGGGACACAAGTACAATCTTATTGAGAGTACAGGTGGAGCATCCTTACTCTGAAAATCTGAAGTCCAAAATGCTCCAAAATCAGAAAATTTTGAGCGCTAACATAACACCACAAGTGGAAAATTCCACATATAACTACTTAACACTAACTTTCATGCACAAAAGAATTAAAAAATAGTGTATAAAATTACCTCCAAGCTACGTATATGAGGTGTATATGAAACATAAATGACTTGTGTGTTTAGACTTGGGTCCCAACACCAAGACATTTTTTTATGTATATGCAAATATTCTAAAATCTGGAAAACTTCTAAATCTGAATACTTCTGGTTCCAAGAATTTTGGATAAGAGATACTCAACCTGTATATACCCAGGAATAAAATTAAAAGGGTTATAGGGTCATATGATTCTTCAAAATAACTAGGTAACAGTAAATTGCTTTCCAAATGGTTTTATTAATTTACACCACCATAAGTCTTTTACGACAATTTCTATTTATCTTTGTTATCCTCCTTGTTAATTTTAGCATATTCAGACTTTGTTCTTTTGTAAGTTTTGCCAACATAGAGTGGACATTTGTAAGTTGTACTTTCTTGATTATGCTAATGCAAATCATTGTTTCACTTGTTAATGGATCATTTGTGTTTATGCTTTTGTGAAATACCTTTCTGATCTTTGCCTATTTTTTTTTTTTCCTGCTGGGTTGTTTGTTATTTTCTTATTGGTTCGTTAACAATCTTGATGCATTCGATCTAAGCACTTTATCACTTATATGTGTTGCTAACATCTTCTCCAAGTGAGTGGCTTTCCTTTGACTCTTTTGTAATGTTGTCTGATAAACAGTTATTCTTCATTTTAATGTAGTTAAATTTATAATTTCTTCTTTTAGATTTTGCACATGTTAGTCTTATTTAGAACTTTATTTCCTGTTCTATGATAAGAAGTATATTTCCTATATTGTGTTTTAAGTTTTTGTTCATTGACATCTAAAAATTTTAAAGATTTGTATTTCATATGTAAGTCCTTTTCTATATCAAGGTTTTTCAGTAGTGGTATTAGTGCAACTTTGGGCTCTGGAATTCTTTGTTTTGGGGGGATTCCTTGCGCATCGTAGATCTCTACACACTAGATGTCAGTAGCACTGCTCCCTCTCCTCACTCCACAGTAGTGACAGTGAAAATGGTCCCAAGACGTTGCCATTATATTCGCTGGAGATAGGCTGCCAGATTCAGCAAATAAAAACACAAGACACTGGGTCAAATTTGAATTCCATATAAACAACAAATACTTTTTAGTATAAGTAATGTAATATTTAAGGCATAGTTACATCAAAAAATTATGTATTATTTAAATTCAAAAGTAACTGTATGTCCAGTATGTTATCTGGTGATCATACTCAAGTGAGGGGTGGAGTATGTTTTAATTGCCTCCTCTTCACCCTGTTGGTGACCGAGGGATTCAGGCCCTAGGATTATGAGGATGACCAAACGTATCACACCTAATACTGGAGAGATGGGCTTATTAGTCACATATATTCACAGCCCAGGTGAGGAGAATGCTGCACGCAACACAGGGCCACGCAGGGGTTGCACTCAGAAACAGAGTAAACAACCAGGGGCTTTGTAGTATCAGTGGGTGGGGTGCCCCCTGGTTCCCATGGGAGGATGTATTTGGCTGGTAGGGATCTGAAACCTGCTACTCAGAGATAAGCAGGAACTGTGTCTGGTGCCTTTGATAAAGAAAGTTGTTTAGCGAGGGTGGTGAGGGGAACTTGCAACTAGGCCATTCAAGACCCTCCCAATTTTACCAAGTATCAAGGCAGCACAAAATATTGATCCTTGATTTTAGGCCTTCAGTCACAAAGTAGGGAGAAATTGCTCCCTTCCCCAACCTAATTCAGAACCATTGATCCAAATGGAAATGATTTTTGAGCGTGATAATGTTGAAATCCAATTTTATATTATGTATATATATAATGAATTCTCCCAGCACAATTTATTCAATTGTCTCCCCCACCTTCAGTTTGCAATGCCATCTCTTTAATATGTCAAGTTTCCATACATAAGTGAGTCTAGGATAGGTCTTTCTATTCTCTGCCTTTGAACTGTAGCTCCATCCCTAAGAGTACATTCCCAGCCTCAATTAGTGTAGCTTTACAAAGGTCTCAATATCTGGTTGGGCATGTCCTTCACATTCCACTTTATTGGAAAATCAGACCTGTTCTTGTCCCTTTGATCTTCCATATAAATTTAGCATAAAACTCTGAAGTGCTATAAAAAATTTCTATTAGGGTTTTTACTAAAGTCTATGGATTAATTTGAGGATAATTGATATTTTTAACAGAATGATTATTCTTATTCATAAATACAGTATGCATCCTTCTAGCCTTTTCAAACTTTAACATTTTTATTTAAGGTGTGTTTCTTGTGAATAAGATACAGTTGAGGGGCTTTTTTGGTATGGTGAGGTGATCTTAGTTTTTAATTCAAATATTAGATTATTTACATTTAAAAAATTACTGATCTATTTGGATTTATTTCTGCCATCTCACTATTAGGTTCTAGTTGTCCAGCTGTTTTTTGCCCCTTTTGTTTCTTGATGTTTCACGTCGATTAAATTTTTTTTTCTATTGTCTCCCTTCATAACTTTGTTAAATACATTTTTTCTTGAGTGAGCTTTAATATTTATGCAGTCTGTGTCTTTAAAATAAGTTGCTCATTATATGTAAGTTGTCAAATTTATCGCCATACACTTCACAGTCTTTTCTTATTATTGCTTTTAATTTCTGTTCCGTAGACTCAGTAATGATGTTGCATCTTTCATTCCTGATATTGTTAGTTTATGTGCTCTCTCTTTTCTTTCTTGATAAGTGTGACAAATTTAACAATGTTATTAAATTTCTTAAAAAAAACAGCTTAGGGTTTCATCAATTTTCTGTTTGGTTTTTTTTTGGTTTTGTTGATTACTGATCTTATCTTTGTTAACTCATTTTAATGCTTCCTTTGGATTGATTTTTTTCTTTTTTTTCTCTAAGAAGCTTAAATAATTGTCTCGAGAGCCTTTTCTTTTTCTAATATAAGCATGTGATGCTATAAGTTTCCCTCTAAGAACTGTCCTAGCTGCATCTCACAAATTTTGATATGCTGTGTTTTCATTTTCATTTGGCTCGAATGTTTTCTAATTTTTCTTGTGATTTCTTTCTTGACCCACACATTATTTAGAATGTGTCGTTTAATTTCTAAATATTTGAACGCTTTCCAACTAACATTTTGTTGCTTATTTCTAGTTTAACCGCATTGTGAGCAGAGAACATACTTTAAGTTATGTAAATTATTTTAGATTTATTGACATTTATTGGTTTAGTTCGTGGTCTATCTCAGTGAATGACTCGTGTACTTGAAAGAGTGTGTATTCTATTGTTGTTGGATGGAGTGCTTTATAAGTACTAATTAGGTCATATAGGCTAAGAGTATTGTTTATATCTTCTATATCTTTGTTAATTTTCCATCTACATGTTTTATTAAGTACTGAGAGTTAATATCTCTGTCTGTAATTGTGAAATTGGCTATTTCTCCTTTCAGTTCTATCCATTTTTTTATGTATATAGTTAAGCTTTTCTTAGGTACATAGAAATTTAGCAATGCTATGTGTGCTTAATGAATTGACTCTTTAATAATTATGAATATCATGATAGTGTTTCTTGTTCTGAAGTCTACTTTGTTTTATACATCAACTTCTAGCTTTCTTTGGGTTAATGTTTTTATCACATCACTTTTTCCAACCTACTATTTTTACTCTCCCTTTATCTGTATATTTAAAGTGTGTTTCTCATAGATAACAAAGGTTTGGTCTTGTTTTTTATCCACCTTGACAGTTCTACCTTTCAATTGGACTACGTAGATAATTTGCATTTAATGTGCTTATTGATCTGGTAGGATTTCAATCTACCCTCTTGCTATGTCTATTTTATTTGTCCCATATTCCCTTTGATAATTATTTTTCTTACCTTACTTTGGATTGAATAATTTTCATGATTTCATTTGATTCCACAATTAGCTTATTAGCAATAATTCTTTAATTTTAGTGATTTATCTGGGATATGCATTATACATCTTTAAAATATAATAATCCACCTTCAAGTAATATTATACCACTTTTAATATAGTGTTAGAACCTCACAAAAGTGTATTACCATTTCATTCTCTTTTGTGTAGTTTAAAAAACATATATATATATATATATATATATATATATATATATATATATATATTCTGCATATGAGTCATTTGAAAGACATATATATTACAAACAGTTTTCACATTCTCTGGCTTACATATTTGCTTTATTAATGGCATATTCTGAAAAGCAGCTGTTCTCAACTTTGATGAAGTCTAATTTATCATTATTTTATATTTAGTGCTTCTTAAATGCCCTAATAAATATTTGCTTATCTCATTATTGAGAAGATAGTCTCCTATATTTTATTCTGGAATTTGTATAAGCTTAGCTTTTAAATTTAGGTTTATAATCCGCCTCAAATTAATTTTTATATATAGTGTCAGGATATGAGTCAGGATTCATTTTTCCCCACATAGTATCTGGTTGCTCCATCATTATTTATTGAAAATGCCTTCTCCTCCCTCATAAGTCAAGTGGCCATTGTGTAGGGCTATTTCTGGACTCTATATTGATCTACGTATCTATGCTTATGCTGTATAAATAGTCTTAATTAGTATAGCTTTATAGTAAACCTTGAGGCAGTATAAGTCCTCTAACTTTGTTCTCTTTTTTCAAGACTGGCTATTTTACACTCCTTAATTTCCATTTAAAAAAATGGAATCAGCTTGTCTCCTTCTGGAAAAAAAAAAAAAAAAAAGGGGTGAAAGAAAAGGAATGGCCTAAAAGGGGTGGGGAAAGCCTGCAGGCACTCGTACGCAATTATCTCAGAGAAATTATACTTATGTTCACACAAAAACCTGCACATGAGCGGTTCTTAGGAATTTTATTTATAATGACAAAAAACTGAAAACACCCCAGATGTCCTTTGATGGGTGATGGTCAAATAAATTGTAGTATATCCATACCATCGCATACTATGCAGTAAAAAAAAAAGAACGAACTGCTTAACACTGAACTAGTTCAATGGATCTCAAAGGCATGCTGAGTGTAAAACATCACTATCGAAGGGTTAGGTACAATGTGATTTATTTTATGTAACATCCTGAAAATGACAAATAATAGAAACAGAGAACAAATGAGTGGTAGTCAGGGGTGAAGGAGAGGGGAAGGGAGGGAAGTGGCTGTGGCTGCAAAAGATCTGGGCATGTAGAAAGGGCTCCCCAAATGCTTCTTGAGTGAATGGATAGCAGAACAATTGAAATCAGCAGTTCTCAAACTTTCTGTCTCCAAAAAGCCCTGCTTCCTCTCTGGAAACACCATATGTTTTAGAACAGCATCACTATCATTCAGCCTGTGTTTTGAAAGTTAGAAAGAATGAAAGAATTTACTTTCCAGTTTTAGAAATAATTTAATCATGAAAAAATACTAAGCTCTGCCATTTGAGATTCTGAGTAGGTAGAGGTAACCAGTGTAGATCAAATCTTAGCCCTAAGAAAAATCCAGTTACTCATTGGTGAGTGCAGCCTTGATTTCAGAGACTACTATTTCCATTAGGTTACTTGTAAAAATAAGAAATGCCTGAAGATCCTCTTTACATTCCCAAATCCCAATGTGCTTTAGATAATGAAGTCTCACAAACTTCCAGCCACCAAATATTTTTCTCGTTGTCTGCTCCTCAGTTTAAAGCTGAGAAAGAATGCTTTCATGTTACCTGTAGGCAAGACCTGGGTCACGTTCTGTTCTGTAAGTCATATGTTGTCTACTGTTCCATAGACTGCTTGGCAGGAAATCAGAAAACATCATGAAAGCACTGGCACATTGACAGGACAGGAAGGCAGGATGGGCATGTCCATTCAGAGGATGGGGGAATCAAACACTCTGCAGAATGGATCAATCCATTCAGGCGATGTGGGACTCAATTACTTTCAAGGCTGGGTAGTTTCTAGGAATTCCTCAAGAATTAAACCCATACTTATTACGATCCCCCACAAAAGGTATCATTCTAGAAATAATTTAGCTCTTCAACGATGAAAATATACCACTAAATAGCAGTCCATGGCCTTGACTGACTTCTGGAGCATTAAAATGAGGGTCATGAGCAAAGGGTAGTTACTTGAAAAAATCCTTTGATACACTATCACATTAAAATATCAGTGGAAATAATGCGGTTAAACTGGCTATCGATTCACCATGACTAGCTTGGCTATGATCCTGTCAATCTTCATCTCCAGCCATGGTTGAGTGACCACAGGTCCAAATCTGATGCCGAGCTGACCAATCAGGTTCTCTCCTACTGAAATTTGAGCGCAGGAGTGAGGTTTTTGGAGATGGAAAAGAACTGAGGCTAAATCTGGGCAAGGCTCTATGTAGAGTTTTCCTGACCTTGGCTGAGAGGTCTTTTGGAGTAGCCTCATGTCTGGCCCTTCCTGCTGCCAGAGAGATCAGCTCTTCCTTTGCAACCAGAAAGAATGTTCTGAGTCACAGGGGATGGACCAGGCCATTTATTGAGTGCCTACTCTATGCCAGCAATGTATCTATATTATCTGTCAATCCTGACAACAGCTTTGGGTGGGTATTATCATTCCTCTTTATAGAAGAGAGAACTAAAGTTCAGAGATGACACCTGGTAAGTGATGAAATTTAATCTCTGGTTTCTAATCCTATGATTTTTCTACTCACACTGAGACCATGTACAAAACTGGAAGATTACAATAATGAAAACAAAGAAAGAGATACATGCAGAGAGGGAGAAAAGCTAGAAGGAAATAAATCAAAATGTTAGTATTGGTATATTAGGGTGCTGGGACTGAGAATTGTTTCCTTCTTTTCTGAATTTTCCTAATTTTATTTAATATACACTGAAAGCAAAATAAGAACACAGTCAACTCCTGGGACTAGTTCGGGAGTTGGGGGCTTCCCTGAGTGTCTATCGGGGTACCTGTGCCTCTTCAACTGCACTTGCGGCTTTTTCCTTCTCTCCTGGAAGTGATATTTTCCATGACTCACCTCACTCTGGAGACAAAGTGACTTCCTCCTTCCTTCAGAAGACACTGTGATTTAATCACAAATAATTGCCACTCAGAAAGATCGGCATTTTACATCCCTCGGATTTGCTGTCTCTCAAATCAAACAGCTCGGTGAGTCATTAAGCGAGTCAGTATAATAGAGGTTTTACCCACTTAAAAGCCCACCTCTCTCCCACATGCCTCCTGAAGTTATTTTTCCTTGTATTGATTGATCATGATGAAAATACTTCTCTTACCCTCTCATTATGCCATAGAATGTGTTGATAAAGACTCAGGGAGCTCAATTCCTCTCCTGGTTAGAATGAAGGAACTAGTATTTACCAAGTATGTACTTAACGCCCTTGAGTTAGTGCCTTAAATATACTATTTCATTCATTCATTCATGACAAAGATGGGAGAGTGGTGTGAGCATTGCCATTTTTCCTGTAGGGAGACCAAAGCTGAGGGATAGAATAAAAGGCATGGCGCAGGCGATGTGGTGCAGTGGCTGCATTCTCAGCCCAGGTGTCTGGTAGTCAAGGTCCTGACATCTGCTCCACTCCTGACTGTAACTTCTCGTAGCCTCTGGACCTTCACCTGTAAAACAAGGAAGAGTAACAACAGTACCACCATCATGGCAGCATGATGAGGGTTAACATGATCTTTACTTAATGTCATTATCAAAATGACTTTTTTTTTTTTGAGACAGAGTCTCGCTCTGTCATCCAGGCTGGAGTGCAGTGGCATGATCTTGGCTCACTGAATCCTCCGCTTCCCAGGCTCAAGCAAATTTCCTGCCTCAGCCTCCGAGTAGCTGGGATTGCAGGCATGCGTCACCACGCCTGGCTAATTTTTTTTTTTTTTTTTTTTTTTTTTTTTTTTAGTAGAGACGGGATTTTGCCATGTTGGCCAGGCTGGTCTCGAACTCCTGACCTCAAGTGATCTGCCCGCCTCGGCCTCCCAAAGTGCTGGGATTACAGGCGTGAGTCACTGTGCCTGGCCAACACAATGATATTTAAAATGTTCTTTTCGTAGGCCTTGTACCTTTCCTGATAGATACATTCCCAGAGGTTTTAGATTTCTTTTTGGCATTGTGAATTGGATCTTTTTTGCCATTACATTTTTAATTGGGTATTTCTTGTCATTCTTTTAAATGTTAACTGTTTACAGGGGAATGTCAGCTTTATGAGGGGAGAAACTTTATTATGTTCATTGCCATGTTCTGGATTCTTTGAAAGAATATATATAAATATGCCTGGCACATAGTAGGTGTTCATGAAATATTTGTGGGATGGATGGATCTGGCTAACTTACTGTCTCAGTCCATTCAGGGTGCTATAGCAAGATACGATAAAATGAGAGGCTTATAAATAACAGAAACTTACTTCTCATAGTTGTGGAGGCTGGGAAGTCCAAGATCAAGATGCGAGCAGATTCAGTATCTGGTGAGGGTCCACTTCCTGGTCTAGAGAGCATGTCTTCTTGCTGTATCCTAAAGTGGTTGACAGGGCTAGCTAACTCTCTAGGATGTTATAAGGGCATGAGTCCCATCCATGAAGGCCCTGCACTCACCTCCCAAAGACCCCACCTCCTAATACCATCACTTTGTGGGTTTTGATTTCAACATATGAATCTTGGGGATACACAGACATTTCAACTACAGAACTTACTGAATTCCCTTACTGATGCTTGTAGTTTTTTCAGTTGATTCTCTTGAATTTTTAGCTGATAGCAAATCATCTGTAACTTGCAATGGTCTTTTCTTTTCTGGTATTTATACTTTTTCTGTGAAACAGTCTTGGTCTGGGCAGACATCTTTGTAATAGCCCTGTATTAAACAGGAATGCTTCTAATGTTTCAGGACTAAGGATGATGTTCTGAGGGGTTTCTGGTAGCTGCTTTTCATCAGGTTATAAAATTTTCACTTTATTCCAAGTTCCCTGAGGTTTGTTTTTATCTTATTTTTTAATTAGGAATGAGTGTTGGATTTCATTACGTATATATCTGGCATCTGTTGAGATGGTCATGACTTTTTGCCTTGAGTTTCTTGATGCTGTTTTATTAGCTACTGAAAGTGACAAGCATACAGACTAGATACGTAGAAATGTGCATATGAAATTGTTTTAAATGCACACTACATAGTACATGCATGGATGGCAATTGTGTAATTGTGTTACCATCACTCTAGGAGAAGTCATTTCCTCATCTGCCTGCCTTTCTTGCCACACCTTTCCAGTGTCCTTCCCTTAAGGGGAAGAGGTGGCTGATCTGCTCAGTTATTGCAAGATATTTATCAGGGCAGAGTCTCTGTGCATTGGGCCTTTCTTGGCCCTGTTCCCTCTCAGTGGCCTCCTGTTTTGCTCCACATCTCAGAGGTAGTGAGCAAAGCTGATGATCCTTTGGTCACTGGCATCTCCCTCTTCCACTTTTCTCTTCCATGAGGCTGTGAGAGCAGGCGGGGCTAGAAATGGCCCCTTGGGACAGAGCATCCATCTTCTGTCTTCTTTCTTCATGTGGCTTGGTAAAGGGGATGGTAAAGGCCAAATGTCAGACATTCCACTCCAGCCCAGCTTCTTTAGAGGGCCCTGTTTGGCAAGTAGAAACCGGCATGCTGTGGTCCATTTGATTACCGTTCTTTGTGTCTGTCTCTCTCGAGGATTCTGCGAAGAACAGTAATGGCCGAAAGGGCAGGATATGGGCACTCCCAGGCTCCTGACTATAGTACCAGGGATTTGAAGAGGTTTTCAAGAAGGTATCGTAGAGAGAGCTTAATAGTACCCTCCAAAAAGATACATGCGGGTCCTAACCCCTGGGCATCTGTAAATGTTACCTTACTCAGCTATAGAATCTTTGCAGATGTAATTTGTTAAGGATGTTGAGATGAAATCATCCTAGATGGCAAGCCCTAAATTCAATAACTGGTGCCATTATAAGAAGAGGACGGGATGCACAGAGATGCACAGACAGGGAGGATGCCATGTGAAGGCAGAGGCAGAGACTGGAGTGAGGGACGCTGGGGAGCCACCAGAAACTGTGAGGAAGAGAGGAAGGATTCTTCCTCAGAGACTTCAGAGGGATATCAGCAACCTCATTTCCAACTTCTGGCCTGGCCTCCAGGGCTCTGAGAGAATGCCTTTCTGTGGTTTAAACCAGGGTTCCCCATCCCCTGGGCCACAGACTGGTACAGTCCGTAGTTTGTTAGGAACCAGGTCACACAGCAGGAGGTGAGCAGCAGCAGGCGAGGAGGCGAAGCTTCATCTGTGTTTACAGCCGCTCCCCATTGCTTGCATTACCACCTGAGCCCCACCTCCTGTCAGATTGGCAGCAGCGTTAGATTCTTATAAAAGTGTGAACCTTATTGTGAAGTGCAGATGTGAGGGATCTAGGTTGCGCACTCCTTATGAGTATCTAATGCCTGATGATCTGTCACCGTCTCCCATCACCCCTGATGGGACTGTATAGTTGCAGGAAGACAAGCTCAGGCATCCCACTGATTTGACATTATGGAGAGCTAGATAATTATTTCATTATATATTACAGTGTAATAATAATAGAAATAAAGTGCACAATGAATGTAATATGCTTGAATCATCCCAAAACCAGCACCCCCACCCTTTTGGTCTGTGGAAAAATTGTCTTCCACAAAACCAGTCCCAGGTGCTAAAAAGGTTGGAGACTGCTGGTTTAAATCAAGCAGTTTTTGGTTCTTTGTTATGGCAGCCCTAAGAAACTAACCCAGTTTATGAGGCATAAAGAAGTACATTAAGTTTAATGTTTAGCTTGGAGAGCATTTCTTGCTGCTATAACATAAATGACCACATTTAAAAACTTAAATGTGGTGTGTGGTGGCTTATACCTGTAATCCCAGAAATTCAAGAGGCTGAGGCAGGAAGATCCCTTGAGGCCAGGAGTTTGAGACCAGCCTGGGCAAGAAAGTGAAACTCTGTCTCTAGAAAAAAAAAATTCTGGCACAGTGGTGTATGCCTCTAATCCTGGCTACTTGGGAGACTGAGGCAGGAGGATGGCTTGAGCCCAGGAGTTTGAAGCTGTAGTGAGCTATGCTTGTACCACTGTACTCCAGCCTGGGTGACAAGGCAAGACTCTGTCTCAAAAAAAAAAAAAAAATCAAAATACTGTTATTATTTCACAGTAGGAAAATTTTTTCACGTCTAGCTACAGGGAACTGGTTAAATACCTTCTGCAACATCACCTATTGAAATGCACTCTACAGCTATTGCAAATTATAATTATAAAAACTATCAAACAATATTTAAAAATATTTATGTTACAATGATACATGATTAGTAAATAATACAAGTTTCTTTTTGGGATATGTACAATTATGTCTGCATATGAACAAAGACTGGAAGAAAATGCAGAAAAATGGAGATGACTCATGTAATAGAACAGTGGAATTGTGTCTAATTTTTAAATTTTTCTATGATTGTTTAAAGATGTTTTCATAATTTTAATGAAAATTCTGTGACTCTCTTCTTAGGAGTAAAAAACAGTTATAGAACAATTGTGTAATAAAATATGTCCAGGATCCTGCCAAGAGTTTTATGTCACTAATCAATACATTAGCAGGGAAAAAATGATTTTGTAAGGCAAAATTTTATTCAAAGATCAAATGCCCAGGCTGGTTTTATTTTAAAAAGCACACCAAGAGACATACTCTACTGCCCCTTCCACCTGGGGCTCCCATGCAGCCCTCCACCCTCACCCCCGACTCACACACCCAGGCCTGCAAACACATCTCTTCCTGGTCTACCCCAGCTTTGGAAATCTGCATCATCATAGAGCCATTTTGTCAGAGGAAAGCACTGTGTCTCTGTGGTTTATTAAATCAGGGTGGGTGCCATATCTCCAGAGTATTCATTCTCCTTTTCTCATGTGGATTCACTTGGTTAACAAAGCCCTCCTAGGTGGGAACAGGGTGCACAGCAGGAATGTAATATGGTCCTTCCCCTCTTGGGTCTTACAGCCTAGAAGGCTTGCTGAATAACAGGTTGTCTCTTGGGAAAGCCGGGACCATGCTCCAAAGGGATGCTGCAGTGGGAGCCAGGGGAGATTTATCTGGACCCCTGGGGCAACTTACTCAGCTTCTAATGTTTAAGGGTACAAAGACGAGTTGGGGGGTGTTGGAGGAAAAGTCTACTCGACAATTTTACCCCAAAGTTCTGAAACCCAAGGTTAGTTCAAGTATGCAGACATACTGTCACATCTAAAACTGAAAGATGATTTGTTCTCTTAAAAACCTCAGACTTAATCTTTTATACATACATATGTAAATATATAAAATGTATTTATATTCACTCCTCCACACTCTTCAACTATTTCAAATTTGAAAGGTTTTACTGCACTTTAAAATGCTTTCTCAGGCTTCTATGATGTCTCTGTAATGCAAGGATAGAAAAATTGGGGATGAGCATTTTTTTTACATGTGTAAAAAAATTAGTTTAAGGATTTTAGGTGTTTCTGAATCAATCTCATTTAAAACTTTACCGAGCACTTCTTATGTGCAAAAAATGAATCTTGGGGATGTGTGAAAGTTGGGTAGGGGGAATGAATGAATAGGATATAGGTTCTAATCCTCACAAATTTAGAATAGAATTTTAAAAAAAGGCAGATATGAGGCCTTAGGTGGGACTGAGCATGATATCATGAGGCCATGGAGAAGGCCTGGTTCCTGGGGCTAATCCTAACAGAGGGCATCAGGAAAAGTTCATTCAGGATGCCCACTTTAGCTGATGGAAAAGGTACAGAAAGCCATCCTGGAAAGAGGAAATGGCATGAACAGAGATATAAGGGTCTCAAAGTGCTTGGTTGGAGCCCACAGGGGCAAGCAGTGTTTTTCCCATCTCTGTGCCCAGTACCTTATATCACAGCTGGCATAGAGAAAGAGTTCACCATGACAAAGATCATGTATTATGGAGATCAAGAGCCAGTGGGGGCTTGGTGCCAGACTGCCACCTCTAATCCTTTGCTGCAGTTAGTATAGAGTCGGGGGTCTCAAGATCCATTGTCTATAGGACCAAAAAGGTAATGAAAGTGAATGAAACCAACCTAGCATCAGACATTAGAGAATGGTGGGGGCTGGAGCCAACCAGAGTGCTACCATTTTAAAATGTGGGCTCAGTGCTTCTGGGTCCCCCAATTTTTCAAAAGAAGGTAAAAATTGTATCTGAAATACTCAGATATTTGAAATGTCCAGGGACCAGAGAACATGCCCAAGATTTAGGTCATGGCCCAACAGTTTATGACCCAAGAGGAGAGTGTATGGTTGGAGTTGGAGAGGAATCGTCCTAGAATGGTCACTTTGGGACCATGTTCAGAGGAGTGGGAAATGTCTCCCTATGGAGTCTGGAATCTCCAGCTGGCGATTGGGAGCCTCTCAGAGTTTTCCAGCAGAAACAGATTTGTTGCTGAAATACAGGAAATATATGGGGGGAAGAGAGAGACCAGAGGGTGGATGACCTGGAGGCCACTGAAATACCCAGGTGAGAGGTGACAAGGGAGAGCCTCTGGGGAGTGACCATGGCATGGGGTAGACCACACGGGTGGGAGAGAAATTTAGGAGGCAGATAAGGAGGAATCCATGAGCCATGGAGAGAGGGAGGAAGAGGCAGTGAGTTTGACTTTAGCCTTGGACCCAGGTAACAGAGTGAACGGCCATACCACTTACAGGAGGAGAGAGTGGGTAGCCCATAACCTTTTCTTCACACCGCATCTCCCACGTGTCGTGCTCGCTTCTGCCTCCTTTCCAGACAGTTCACCCAGGAAAAGGGCTGCCTGCCTCCTGACCTCCGTCTTACTTCCTCTGACAGCATCACTATTTTTAAAGCCTCCTTCCCAACCCTTCCAAGACTCCTTTCCTTGCTTTTCCTCCCCTCTCTGCTCCTTTCACTGCCCCATTTCTTTTACAGAGTTGTCATTTTAACAAGCTTCTCTTTTCTGTGTGCCTTCCCTCCCACGGGCAGCCCACCCACCTACCTCCTCCCTCAAATGAGGCTTTTAGAGCTAATTATCTAGGTGTTTTGATCAAGCACAGAAGCCGTGTACTTAAAGAAGTGAGACCAGGTGACTTTGGCCTATTTTTAGTGGCTGCAATTTGTGGGCTGTGGCATCCTTTGTCACAGCAGCACCCTGAGACCAGAGCTCAACTCCAGAGCCATGGTGCCAAGGGATTTGTAAAATCTGCAGTGGGTTAGTTAATAGAGGGGTTAATCTAGTGGTAAAGTCAGATTCTTTGGTACCTTGGAAGCCCATCCTTCCAGCCCTTACTGGTGAGAAAGAAGAAATAGGACAGGAGTGCAAATGGGCTGGGAAGGAGAAAGGGAGAGGAGGAAGGCAAAGTGAAGCTCACCTGCAGGCACAATGTGCTGTGTCTCACTTCTGTGCCCATAGCCGAGCTGCCCCCCCCCCCCCCAGCACACCCAGTGCCCATCCTTTACCCTCCAGATGATCACTTGGGGTCCAAGTGTTACCTTGGCTCTCAGGAGGAGTCAGGACTGGAAGTAAGAGGGAAAGGAATTTCTCTATCCTAACGCAGATTCTCCTCTCAAACCAGCTTCCTGCTCAGATCTCAGGAGCCCAAATTCCTGAAACCAGGTGGCCTGTAGCTACTGGGAAATAGAGGGTTTCCATCACTCCTTAAGGAAAGCTAGAGGTCCGTGTGTGCCATGGAATACGCTTCGGCAACAAGAACAAACTTTTGATCCATGGAATAACACGGACCACTCTCAAACGCCTGTGTGAAGTGAAGGAAGCTGGGCTCAAAAGGTCTCGAACTCTGTGATTCCATTTACATGGCTCTGCAAAATGCAAACCCTCAGGGGAAAGAGTCAGTCAGGGTTGCAAGGGAATGCAGGTGAGAGGTCAATGTCCATGCAGCACAAAGGAAGTTTCTGGTGGTGATGTGAACAGTCTTGACTGCTGATGGCTCCACGGCTATATTCGTTTGTCAACACTCACAGAATTGTGCACATAAAAAGGGCACATTTTATTGTACGACTTTAAAAAATAGAGCAAAGAAAAAAACAGGGAAAAAAGAGAAAAAAGAAGAGCTAAGCGTGGCATTCTAAGTTCCATCCCCTAAGGTGAAATCACCAATATCCACATAAACAGGGCTTTGTAGCTCAGCTGAGGTTGACTAAGCTTTGGGATCCTTCAGGGTCTCCTCTTTCTATCTGTGTGACTCTGGGTACATTACACACCTATTTTAACTTACTCATCTGTAAAATTAGGATGATAATAGCACCTGCCATTGGTAGTTGTCGAGAGAATTAAATGAGATAATACATGAAGAGAGGTTAGCCCAGTGCCGGGAATATTTTAAGTTTTTAATAAATGTTCTGTGGTATTTTTATTATCGGCAAGCAGGCTCAGATCCACAGACTGATTTTATTCTTACATGAACCTTAAGAGGTTGAAATTAGGACTTTCCCCCAGTTATGATTCTTAGAAGAATCTTAATTGAGATTCAGGCAGATGAAGTGACTTGCCTGAGGGCAAACTTCTTAGAAGTGGCAGGTTTGGGTCTTGAACTTTGATTTTGATGCCACGTCTCACAGGTTTTCTGTTCCACTGTGACCTCATGCCCTGGAGAGGAACACAAATGTGGGGGGCAGACAGCATGCAAATGGAGGCAGCCTGTAGTCCTTACCTGGAAACTTCACGGGAAACCTCACCCAGCCTGGACAAGGACGGGATTGACAGATTGACAGCTCTTTCTCGATTCTGTGGGTGGTGGTGCATGGCCATTCTTAGTTGGTGGAGTGATTTGTCTGGTTAATTCTGATAAGGAACCAGACCCTGACATGGTGACTGGTTACACGATCCCTGAGCAGTCGGCATCCCCCAACTTCTTAGAAGGACAAGTGGTGTTCAGTGACCCAAGATTGGGCAATAACAGGTCTGTGACGCTCATAGATATCTGGGGCTGCACGTGCACTACACCAACTGGCTCAGTGTGTGCCTCCCCTACACCAGCAGGCGCTGGTAAACTCTTGAACCCTATTCGTGATGGGGATTGGGGATTGCAATTATTCCCCATGACCGAGGAATTCCTAGTAAGTGCAGGTCATAAGCTTGCATTGATTAAATCCCTGTTTGCCTTGATAAGTCCGGCTCAAACTGGACTTGAGGTCTGACTTTGGTGAGACTCACTCTGACATCCCAGGTAGGAGACTATACCTTCTAGTCTCTTTCCAGAAACAGGGCATCAAAAGTCTTACTTTACTCCTGAAGGTTTGCAGTAAAAATTAAATATTCAGCTATGATAAGTGGCTATAGAGATGCAGAGTGTGAATGGGACCCTACTAGGTATCCTAGGTATAGGGAAATAAGACACATAAGAAATTTGCTTCTGTTTATGACAGGAGTCATTCTGCTAGGCATTCACAAATCTGCTGCCATCTAGCCCAGTCTGAGGCTGAGGGTACACCCAAACTCATTGAAGAGGAAGGGGCTTTCATTCTGCTCAGTCTCTTGCTGGCTGACTCCCCAAGACCTAAGCCCTGCAAGTGTCCCCAGACCCATCTCTCACTATGCCTATCACCTCTCTCCTATGCTCTTCCAGAACAGAAATTTGTCATCTTCATGTTTGAACCTCTGGGGCTTGGTGCAGGCAATGACTGAGCTGAACAGAGAAGGCATTTGCTCTGTTTGAAAAGCAACACCTGCCCCTCCCTCCCTCCTTCCCTTCCTTCCTTCCGTCTTTCTTTCTGTCTCTCTCTTTCTTTTCTCTTTTCCCTTCCCTTCCCTTCCCTTCCCTTCCCTTCCCTTCCCTTCCCTTCCCTTCCCTTCCCTTCCCTCCCCTCCCCCCCCTCCCCTCCCCTCCCCTCCCCTCCCCTTCCCTTCCCTTCCCTTCTCTTTCACGGAGTTTCACTCTTGTTGCCCAGGCTGGAGTGCAATGGCACAATCTCAGCTCACCGCAACCTCCGCCTCCCGAGTTCAAGTGATTCTCCTGCCTCAGCCTCCCATAGTAGCTGGGATTACAGGCATGAACCACCACACCCGGTTAATTTTTTGTATTTTTAGTAGAGATGGGGTTTCTCCATGCTGGTCAGACTGATCTCCAACAGCCGACCTCAGCTGATCCGCCTGCCTCGGCCTCCCAAAGTGCTGGGATTACAGGCATGAGCCACCACACCTGGCAACACCTGCCTTTTCACTGATGATGCTGTGTTTTCCTGACATTTACTCCTGAAAGCTCCTACCCATTCTGCAGGATGCATCTGTTCAGATGCCACCACTGGATGCCTTCCTGTATTGTCTCCTCTGCTTCTATGCATACCCACCCCAACATAGCACTTCCTGTTTTGTGTCAGGTTTCTGTATGGGTCCGTCTTTCTTGGAGGACAGGAAGTGCCTCTGGATCAGGGAGCATGTCTCAATTTTTTGTTTTTTTTTTTTTGAGTCGGAGTCTTGCTCTGTCGCCCAGGCTGGAGTGCCGTGGCGCATCTCGGCTCACTGCAAGCTCCACCTCCAGGGTTCAGGCCATTCTCCTGCCTCAGCCTCTTGAGCAGCTGGGACTACAGGCGCCGGCCACCAGGCCCGGCTAATTTTTTTGTATCTTTAGTAGAGATGGGGTTCCATTGTGTTAGCCAGGAAGATCTCCATCTCCTGACGTCGTGATCCACCTGCTTCGGCTTCCCAAAGTGCTGGGACTAGAGGCGTGAGCCACTGCACCCAGCCTGCCTGTCTCAAATTTATCTCTGTTTTCCTAACACTCAAAGTTGCCTAGCATAGGGGACAGAAGGTCTTGCTGACTGGCTGGCTAAATGAATGAATTAAAATTAATTTTCTTTTCTAGATAATGGTCCTCAGCTTCCTTCCCAACACTGTTTCTTCCTTTTTAGTAAATCTTAGATGGTTTCTACCCATTCTTGTTCCATTTGTTGCTGGCAGTGATCTCATGATTCCAGCTGAGGAAGAAGAGAGTGGGTCTGGAGAAGGTGGTGGCTGCTGGCTATGTCGATGTGTTTTAGACATCATTTTAGAAGCTCCTGAGAGAACACTATCTTCAAAGTAGTGTGCATGGTAGGGCGGAGGTAGAGTACATAAGAGCACCAAAGACCCAACCTGTGGATACCTCTAGCCCCCTTGATGCAAATATTCCTTGAGATTTGTACTGAGAAATCCCACCACGTTCACTCTTTTCACCTTTCAATTCATACTCCATGCTACAGCATGAGAAATTTTTATTTTATTTTATTATTATTATACTTTAAGTTTTAGGGTACATGTGCACAATGTGCAGGTTAGTTACATATGTATACATGTGCCATACTGGTGTGCTGCACCCATTAAACTCATCATTTAGCATTAGGTATAACTCCTAATGCTATCCTTTGATCATTTTGTTAACTTCCCAAGATATCACTAGACAATCTGCTAATCAAGCAAAACTAAATCTATTTGAACTTACCACAGTGATGGAGAACACCACCCTGAGAAAGGTTTTGGAGAAAGAAATCGGTGTCTTAGAAGAGGGATGTCAGAATACATTTATGGAGCCTTGGGGTCTGAGTTTCGCTGGTTTAAGGCAGGCTTTTCAAGGTGGGAACTAATTGGCTGGGCAAAGTTTGTGTTGTGGCAGGTTAGGACTGGTGAACATCACGTGGCAAGGACTTGAAGTCTTAATAAGTCAGCTGTTTTGGGATCAGTAATCTGTTTGCTGAGGTTAGCAGACTGTTGTATCAGGTAGGTTGATCTGAAAGATTTCCTAAAGCAGACAATGGACTTACTTATTGATTTACGGTCTTTTATTTCCCAGGTAACGTTTTCCTAGGACGAATAGTGAAGTCATGTTGACACAGGTGGTCTCAATTCTTGGTCAAAATAGCTCTGGCATGTTTGATACAAGTGGTCATAGTCCTCAATATCCTCAAGCTTCCACCCCACTCCCTCCAAAGAACAAAACAAAACTTTCATAGCTTCCCATTGCCTTAATAATAAAGATTAAAATCCTTAAGTATCCTTGAATGCCTTACCTATTTGACCTCCAGGTTATTTCTGCTTGCCTCTTCTCTCTGAGCTCCCTTGGCCTTCTTTTCATTCCCTGAATGTGCCACATTCCCTCCAGTCACAGGGTATTTGCAGGCCTCCATGCCTGTAAATAAATAATGTTGCATTTGATCCTTACACACATACGCACAATGCTTTATGAACTAAAAACCATAATTATCCTCCCTTCAGTGATGACAAAACTGAGGCACATAGAGGTTAAATAACTTGCCCGAGGTCCTGTTTCTAACAAGAGGATGCACTAGAGTGCAAATCCAGACACTCTGGGTCCAGAACAAACACACTTCACTGTTATTCTATCCTAAGTCCTGCGTGTCCCCATCTGCTTGGCTTATTTGTTATTTTCTCTCTGTGTTTCCTAGACTCAAGGCTGCCATAATTGAGGTTGGGGATGGAGGGTGGAAAATGCTGGGTGGGAGAAGCAGCTTAACTGTGAAGCTAATGAACCTTAAGCAGTGACTTATTAAGGGTCGGGTGGTGGGAGCTCTGTGTTTCAGTTGCAGTCAATAATGGTTTGTCTTATCTGTAGAAAATTTAAAAACAATAATAAGACTAATTAAAAATTGGTCTGCTTTTTGTTATCACCATGCTCTGGCAAACCTAAATGAAGTCAGTGGTAGAATATTCCTTCCTGCTAGGGCAGGCTGCTTGCACCTTTTGTTATCACCATGCTCTGGCAAACCTAAATGAAGTCAGTGGTAGAATATTCCTTCCTGCTAGGGCAGGCTGCTTGCACTGACCCCACTCCTTGGTAGACCACTGAGTTCAAGCCTCAGGGCTCTCCATTTGCATAGGCTCCTTCCAAGGCCTGGGAGGGGCCGTAACAATGTGTTCGCAAGATCAAACTTTTAGATGCAATTTGAAAAGTGAAATATTTGTATTACCATTAGTTAAGACCACCATCAATTTTATTCCAACTTCCCCTCTGTCACAGTTGCCCCCATGTAGAGTAGTTGGAGAGCAGTCAAGGGCATGTCTAGGATCCAGTGAAGATAAAGTTGAGCTCAGGATACATTTAGGTGGTCTTGGTGGGGTGTATTTGTCTTTTGCAATGACTTCCACTCATTGTGATCAGTAGCTGCCTTGGTATAGCAATGGCTTCCATGCTATTCTAGAAGCCATTTTTATACTAAGTATTTTCTATTGTTACTTATCTACGTTATGGCAGGTTTTATGGCACTATAAATGTCCTATGGCAACCAGCACTGGAAATGTGTGGCTAATAAAGTTTGAAATATGCAAAGCCAGAATCCATTTCCTAGAAAATTCTTCCAAATTTTTTAAGCCACTTAAAAAATTCAAGTGGTTTTCCCTAATTTAATAACAACCTTTAAAAATTATATCATATTACTAATAAAGAGATAAGAAGCTGAGGCTGGGCATGGTGGCTCACGCCTGTAATCCCAGCACTTTGGGAGGCTGAGGCAGGTGGATCACAAGTTCAGGAGATCGAGACCATCCTGGCCAACATTATGAAACCCCATCTTTACTAAAAATATAAAAATTAGCTGGGTGTGGTGGCGCATGCCTGTAATCCCAGCTACTGGGGAGGCTGAGGCATGAGAATCGCTTGAACCCAGGAGGCAGAGTTTGCAGTGAGCTGAGATCATGCCACTGCACTCCAGCCTGAGTGACACAATGAGACTATATCTCAAAAAAAAAAAAAAAAAAAAAAAAGAAAAGAAAAAAGAAACTGAAAAAGATTTCTAAACAGCCAATAATTTAAAAAACTAACTTTGATGAACCATAATAGAGGAAAAACTAAATTAACTTCTGGTCTGTCTCTCTATAAAAAGCATTTCAAATGGTTGTAATAAAAATTGTAGCAATAAAAAGCTTATAAAAGTGTGTCAGGCTGTTAATTAATATAGATATTGTATTATTTCCTGGTTTTGTGCTGCTCGTTGTGTTTGTCAGTGTAGAATTATTAAAAAAAAGTCTGCTCTTTGTCCATATCTGTTACAGAGCCTCAAAAACCCTTGTAATTTTCTGATGATAGGAATGTCTTTGTTATGCTAAGGAAGTGATTTATAGTGAGCCATGAGGTAACATCAGGATCAAGGACTGATCACCAGAAAGACCAAGCATATGATTAGAGAATTGAAATTTTCAGCCGGTCAACCTCCAGGGAGAGGCAGAAGGCTGTAAAATTACATGGCAAGTGATTTAATCAGTCATGCCTGTAATGAGGCCCCAATAAAAACTTGGGACAATGAAGCTCAGTGGAGCTTCCTGGTTGGTGAACACATTAACGTGCTGGGAGGGTGACCTGTCCTGGCTCCATGGGGAGAAGATGCAGAAGCTCTGTTTCCTCTAAGACCTTGCTCTATTTGTACCCTTTATAAAATAAAACTGCACACAAGTATAGCATTTTCCAGAGTTCCTTTAGTTGTTCTAGTGAATTGGGCATGAACATGCTGGGGTTGTGGGAACCCCTGAGTTTATAGCCAGTTATTCGGAAGTATGGGTGGCCTGAGGGCCCTTCCTGCAGCTGGTGTCTGAAGTGGGGACAACCTTGTAGAAGAATGAACCCTTGGCCTGTGGGATCTGACACTAACTCTGGGTGGTCAATGTCAGAATTGTTTTGCAGTACAACCAGTTGGTGTGGGACCATTTGGGGTTTTGGGTAGTTAGTGTCAAAAACAACAGGAAATAGAATTTGCGAGAATAACCCTGACTCATTGAAACATGTGGTTTGGAAAGAAAAAGAATGAAAGTATGGGGAATAAGGACCCTTTTGTCCCTGAGTAGCCATGATATTACCCACAGTATGAGGCAGCAGCTGTGCTGTGATCATTTATTACAGATGAAAATTATCAATAAAAGTTTTTTCTATGTATCATTGGATGCATAAGAAATGCAAAATTCTAAGAAAAAAATCAAAATATACGATCCCTTGCTTATTTATTTATAAGAGCTAAAATGAAAGTAAGAAATAGGCCACATTTAGATTCTTCCAGCCTGAACTGCAGCTTCTAGTCTCAGGGTACATATCAAAGGAAGATGTTGGAAAGATCCTAATTCTGGCCAGCCCAAGATATAACCACTAGCCTCAGAGCTAATTCCAAAGGAAATGATCATACTGACAATAAATAATAAGAAAGGGTAGAGTGATCCCCAAGATAATGTGATCTCTGTCTAGAGGAGAGAGTCTGGTGAAAATCTTTAAGTGACTATTAAGAAAAGGGATGAATGTAGCAAACATTGATAGGTTAGAAACATATCTCTTAAGATTGGGTGGAGCAGTGAGACCCTCTGCCAATCCCCCAACGTTAAAGAGCCCCAGACAAGTCTGTTTACTCCAGTATGGAATAATATTAAAAGCTGGAAAGCAAAGACTACAATGAGAAACCCAACCTGGAATTGCCTGGAGCAAGGTCGCAGGCAGGCAATCAAGATGAGAACTGACAAAAGGGCTGGGTCCCTGGGCTCAGCCCCCAAGTGGGGACCCAAAACTTTATGCACTAAGGAGGATTAAATGGACAGAGGGTGGAGAAGAGAAGTTTCTGAGACTCCTTGACACAGGTGTCCCATGCACCCAAACCCAATGGAGAAACTCTGGGAAGGGCGGCAATTAAATTGAGAATATAGAAATGTAAGAGTTGATAGAACTAACGTGAAAGTTTAAATGAAGATCTGAATGTTTAAACAAGCTTTGTATGAAGAGGTAGTGTCTCCTTTACCTGAATGTTTTATGGGAATAGATATTACATCCGATTAGGGAACACTTCCCTTACCTAGCATTGCAAAACCGAAACCTGTTGGCAAAGTCCCAACCAGGGCTGCAGTTAGGAGTGCAAGGGTTGGTGGCATTAAGGCGAAAGTTTGGACAAAATTCATTGCATTCAAACAGGCTTTATGTGAAGTGGCTACATCTCTTTTACTTGAATGTATTATGGGGATGGATACTATGTCTGACTGGGAAATGTTTTTTTGTTGTTGTTTCTCCTACCTACTATTATAAAACAGAGGGTGTGCAAATCTGCCTTTCAAGCAATATTAATTGGATATGCTAAATGAAAACCAACAAGAATGAGCACATACAGGCTGTTGCTAGCAAACAGTGTAGAAGAGAGGCTGGAGTGCTGGTATGGATAAATTCCCTGTTCAATAATCCTGTGTGGAGTGTAGACTGAGGTTTATGTCAAAAGCCTGCCAGCATCTCCCAGGGATGAATACTGGAGATTGGGACCATTTGAGAGGCAGTTGCTAGCTTGCTGTCTGACATGGATTGAAGCTTTTCCTAAAATTGAACAACATAAATATCTTGAAACCTGAACACGCTACTGGGAAAATGCAGATACTCAGTATATTCACAAACAAGTAGCTTCTTTTCCCTCAGGGACCAACTTTGGAACCATCTGAAGAGCTGCTGCATTCTATTGTCACTCAGACAGAGCTCTATACACAGTTCTCAATTGACCAACAAAGAACTGATTTATGAATGACAGTTCCAAGTGATTTATGAATGACAGTTCCAAGTTAAATAGACAATATCCTGTCTGGAAGCCAACCACTCTGATTGAAGAAGGTAAAACAAATTCAGCTTAATCAGCTGAATTGCATTCTGTGTGCCCCATTGTTTGGATTTCTACCAACTCATGGGCAGTGGCCAATGGCCTGCCAACATGGTCAGCAGAATGGCAATGGAAAACTGACCTATTAGCACATGTCTCTATGGGGCATGGCCCTGTGGACATCACTATAGGAATTTGGGGGGTATATTAAAGTAGGACATGTTGATGCCTGTCAGAAGAACCCCATTTCAGATTTGGAAGGTAATTCCAGTTGACAAGTAGATTCCCTGTGTGCTCATTTGAGGTGGCCACTAGCGTCCATAAAGTGAGTGGACATGGTGGGTAGAGGGCAGCAGTGCAGAGATGGGCTGAGTGTAGACAAATTCCTCTTGCACTCTCTGAGGCACAACACATGAATGACAACTGTTCTGTCTGCCAACAAGAGAGACAGAGACTGCAGATGGCTATGGGACAGACTCCCTGGGGAAAGCCTGCACATACCTTGTAGGTGGATTACACTGGACCAATGCCAGTAGCCTCAGTGGGTGGGAGGAGGAACCAATGGGTCTGGACAGGAACAGACACTTACTCTGGATGGGGCTTTGTCTACCCAGTGGGAGATGTAAATGCTCAGAGCACTAAAAAAACACTGCAACAGAAGACATTGCACCAATTTAGAACCCTGAGTTACGTTTTTTTCAAAATAAGGGACATACTTTCATCCTCAGAGTGATGGTTTGATAGAGAATTGGAATAGGCAATTTAAATATTGAATGTCTAAAACAGGATTTGCTGGCAGGGAGATATAGGCGTGAAGGGCCGGCTTACAGACCTCCACAAGTGTAAGCTCACACTCAATGTGAGGGGCCAAGGAGATGTACTTTGTAGTGAGTTCTTTTAAATCGAAGTAAATATTTACTTTCACGCCTAATGTTGTATTTATATTTTATAGAAACCCTCCCGCTGATTTGGAAGAATACCCTGCAAACCAGGATCCACCCCACTGGGTAGGTTTACTTTATTTTTTTCTTCAGTTTTTGCTAGTGATCTCAGAGGGCATTGTCAGTAACTTTCTTCGTACAAAAACATCTTTGCATTATTATTATTATGAATTATTTTTATTATTTTAGAGATAAGGTCTAACTCTGTTGCCCAGGCTGCAGTGCAGTGCTGCAATTATAGCTCATTGCAGCCTTGAACTCCTGGGCTCAAGCAATCCTCCCACTTCAGCCTCCTGAGTAGCTAGGACTACAGGCATGCACCACTACGCCTGGTTAATTTTTTTTTAAAATTTATTGTAGACACAGAGTCTTTCTATTTTGCCCAGGCTAGTTTCAAACTCCTGGCCTCAAGTGATCCTCCCACTTCAGCCTCCTGAGTTGCTGGGAGAATAGGAGTGAGCCACTGTGCCCGGCCTGTGCATTATTAAACTAATCTCATAATAATTGACATTTATGGAAGAGTGAAAATGTGCCTGGTGCATGAAATACCTGCATTGTGTCATGTAATCCTAACAGCAGCTCCAAGAGGAAGGAATTGTCGTCATTCCCATTTTACAGCCGAGAAGACCGAGGCTTTGAGCAAATAAATAAATTGCCTATGGTCACCATGATAAGTGGTGGTCCACATGAATGCAGATAGTCTAGCTCTAGAGTTCCTGCTTCTTAACTGCATTCTCCTGCCCAAGGGAAGGGCAGATATATGGAGCACCTGCAACACACGTGGCATTATCTCATTTCATCCTAGCCCTCCTGGCAGGTGTTTATGTCTCCTTTTTACACAGGAGGCTGCTGAGGCACAGAGAGGGGAAGTGGCCTGGCCCAGGCCGACAGTGCAGGAGAGGAACCAGCATTCAGGCAGTGTGCTTGCTCTAAGCAGGGTCCTCTTCTGCAGCAGGGTGCTGTTGCTTCCAGGTGTCATCTTGCGTCCACACTCTCTTTCCCACCTTGTGCTAATGCCGTTCTGCTCCCGGCCTCCTCCCAAGCCTGCATCTCCTTCAGGAAAGCAAACCTCCCAGAACCCAGGTCCCTGCAGACTTCCCACTTGACCCATCTGTGAGTCGTGAGACACTACAACAAATCTGTCAGGAATCCTGGATACCTGTCTTTTTTACATTTGTCCTTTAAAGAAATGACAACGTATTGCTCTCTTATGGCAGGAGGTTGTTAAATTTTTTAATTTGCTTTAACAATTTTTTTTAAATAAAGCCTTTCTAATTTGGCTCAGTTGCCCTGGAGGCAATAAGGGGCTGTTTTGCTGGGCGATCCTTTCCCAGTTTGGCCAGAATCCTTGGAGTTGTATTTCACAATTTAAAGGTAGGAAAGCAAACACTGCCTCATTAAAACGTGGGTGCCTGTTTGATTCATTAATCATCTTGCCCTAATGCTTCCTAATAAGTCTGTTCGTTGCTATTCATCACTGTGCTCGTAGGAGGAAACTGCCAGCTGTCGCAACTTTCCTCTTAACCCCTTGTCTGCCCACATCCAGGTCCTGTAATAGAACATGGGCTATGAGAGTGAAGGTTTGCAAGAGAGGGTGGGTGGTTTCTCCTGTGAGCCTTGGGTGCTGAGAAGTTCTGTCCTGCGAAGCCTTCTCACCAATGAAACAATGTGACGGTGCCCCAGGACTGGGTACATGCCCAAAGTCAGGTGCCTTCTCTAGTTTGACAAGCATGACACTACTTCCTGATGAGTACAGTGCTCCCCATTTTGCGGATGAGGAAACGGAGGCTCCAAAGTCACATCACTGATAGGTGCTGAGCTAGGATTGGAGGCCACATGTGATGTAACCCAGCAACTCTGAGCAGCCAAGGAAGCCACTGGCCCTCTGCCTCCCCTCGAGATGTCTGCAGCATGCTACTGGGTAGACTGGGATGAGCAAGGGCTTTCATGTCAGACAGACCTGAATTAAAATTCCATGTCTGCCACTTTCTAGGTGAGCTGCAAGCCTTTATAGAATGATGATGATCATATATAGAAAGATGATGATCATATATAGAAAGATGATGTTATGAGGCTTGAATGAATGCTGTAGGAAATGCCTTGCATAGTGCCTGGCAAGTAGTAGATGTCCCAAAGATAGCAATTTTCTTCAGAAAACACCTCCTTCTACGGTGGAACAACCGTGCTTCTGCCTGAACACTCAACACTGACCTCATGTTCACCATCACCTGCTCCTACTCATCCTCCAGACCCATTTAAACTCCACACTGCTAGAAAGTCCTTTCTGATCCCACTAAATGAAATTAATATCCATCTTAGACTATGGAAAAAAAGAAGCTGACCAATACGAAGCCTGCTAGCACCAACAACGGGGCCAGCCCATCTCCCTCTCTTCCCCTCAGTGGCTTCTCTAATTAACTGCCCTGCAGGAATGTTTCTGCATTATCCTGGATCAATGGGAGCTAATGAGATGTCAGGGAACGAGTCTACACAAAGGACTTACTTGAAAGTTTGTTCTTTTTTTTTTTTCCTAAGATCAAACTTTCCCCAGACTTTGAAAACACCACACTATTTTGTTTTAATCGTTTACTAAGATTCATGGACTTTTCAACATAAATTGACTCTGGGATTTGAATTTGAAAATACCCAGATTTCAAAAGATTCAAAACTTCCATTTATTAATCAATGTACTTTACTGATCCATTTGTATATTTGACAGGTAAGTAATATTCACCCTCTTCATGCTGACCTTGTAAAGCCAGAGTATGTGCATATAGTTCCTGTCCTCAGAGCTGGGCCAGTGAGTGTACACAACCCAATTACCTGATTACCTGATACCATGCACGCTTCACAAGTGCCGACTGCCTCATTTGTCCAATGTATCCTCAGGATGAGATTCGTGATCTCATGACATGATAGCCAGTGGGAAGGAATACATCATTTTCTTTTTAAGTCAGTTGAAATGGTTTCTCTCTGTGTGGTTATGCCACCAACTGGATACACATTTTAGGTTCATCATTTCATTTAACTTTGGGTTTTAGAAATTTATTTTAAATGTAATTTTGTCATATCATTATGTAATATAGGTATGTGTTTCCTAAATCACACCTACAAAAATATGTAGTCAAAGAAATTGAGTTTGTATCCCTGTCCCTCCACCTGATTCACTTTCTTTCTAAAAGAAAGCATTTTAAAATCATGGCTTATCTTCCTGCTGTCTTTCTAAATATGAACACAAGGTAGAAAGATAGATAGATATACATGTGTATAGATGTAATATGTAATATAGGTGATCTCTATTTTGTTCATCCATCCATCCATCATCCATCTATCCATTCATCCATCCATTCATCATCCATCCATTCATCTATTCATCCATCATTCATCCATCCATCCAGCCATCCACCCACTCATGCATCCATCCATCCATCTATTCATCCATCATCCATCCTATCCACCCACTCATTCACTCATCCATCCACTCCATCCATGCATCATCTATCATTCATCTGTCCACCCATCCATCCATCCATCCATCCACATGTTCACATGCTTCCTTCCTGAGATGACTGATACCATATCATACTCTGTCTACCTTGCACTCTCTCTTCAGCAGTGCATCCTGCAGAGCCCTCCATGAGCACACACAGAGATCTCTCTTACTCCTTTTTACAGATGCTTCTGTAAAAAGGGCTTCACTGATGGTTGTGCCCCAGTTTTTCAACCAGTCCTCAGTTGATGAGCAATTGCGGTGTCTCCAGTCCTTTGCTATTATATATACATTATTTATTATTTATTTTGTTTAGAGGCATCTCTCATCGATAGTTTTAGATTTGACTTTATTAATCAATATGGAAAATATTTTTATTTTGGTAGATGAGTTAAGCCCATCTGTATTTATTGATGGGATTAATATATTTAGTTTCAGTTTTGTCATATTTTATATTTATGTAAAATCATACACATATATGTGTGTTGTTTATATATATTTCCTTTTAGTCTCTTCTGGTATACATTTTGATATTTAGGCAACATTGTTTTAGATTTTTTATTATTATAACAAAAATTATCTTTATAAGTGTATGTGATCTTGTTAGTTTCTTTCTTCCTTCTTTCCTTTTTTCTTTCTTTTCTGCTACTGTATTTTGGACCCTTACCATGAATAATCTCGAAATTTACTAGTGACTTCTCCTCTCCCTCCACTCCCTCTCCCCAACATACCCTTTTATTCCCAATTAATATAGTTGACCCTTGCACGACGTGGGTTGTGGCTGTGTGGTCCACTTATATAAGGATTTTTTTCAATAAATATATTGGAAATTTTTTGGAGATTTGAAAGAATTTGAAAAAACTTGCAGATGAGCCACATAGCCTAGAAATAGCAAAAAGAATAGGAAAAAGTTAAGTAGGTTGTGAAAGCATAAACTTTATGTAGATACTATTCTATCATTTACTATCGTAAAATATACACAAATCTATTATAAAAAGATAGAATTTATTAAAACATCTGCACACAAACACAGACAATACGTGGCACTATTCTCAGTTAAATGTAAACAAAGGTAAAGTTGCAATATTAAATCATAATTGCATAAATTTAACTGTAGTACCTATGGCACTACTGTAATAATTTCATAGTCACCCCTTGTTGCTATTGCCTTGAACTCAAGTGTTGCCAGTGTCTGCTCAAGATTCCATGTGATGCTAACCATCTCCAAGTAACCAGTTCATCTCTCCAGTAAACTGCATATTACAGTAATAACTAATCTCAAGGTTCTCGCGTAGTTTTCATTGTGTTTAGTACAATACCATAAACCTTAAATAACACCATGAGACTCATACAAAATGCCACTAGTGAAGCTGGAAGTACTCCCAAGAAGCAGAGAAACGTCATGGCATTACAAGAAAAAGTTGAATTGTTTGATATATACCAAAGGTTGAGGTCTGCAGTTGCAGGTGCCAATATTTCAGACATGATCTGTGTCATAAACAGGTGATGTAAACTTATGGCATTGATAGACACACTACTGTACTGTAAATGTATTTTATCTTTTTATGATTTTCTTAATAATACTTTCTTTTCTCTAGCTTACTTGATTGAAAGAATACAGTGTATAATATCTATAATGTACAAAATATGTATGAATTGACCATTTATGTTATTGATAAGCCCTCTGGGCAACAGTAGGCTGTTAGTAGTTAAGTTTGTAGGAAGTCAAAGTTATATGTGGATTTTCAACTGCATGGAGGGTTGGCACCCCTAATCCTTATGTTATTCAAGGGTCAACTCTGTGCCTGTAAGGTAATAAGTGAGCTTACTCTACTTTTCCTATATTGTCTCTATTGTTCCCCCATTACTTTGTAGTTTTCTGTCTTTCAACCTTAATTTATTCTTAGATTACAGGAAATGAGCAAGTTTCACCAAGAGTGAAAAAAAGCCAAGAAGTATGTTTGTATGTGTGTGGGGTGGGGGGCGGGTAGTGAGTGGTACATACAATCATCCCTTGGTGTCCATGGGGTATTTGTTCCAGGACCTCCTGCAGATACCAGAATCTGTGATGCTCAAGTTCCTGGTATAAAATGGCATAGTATTTGCATATAACATACACACATCCTCCCATATACTCTAAATCATCGTTAAGTTACTTATAATACCTAATACAATGTAAATGTTACATAAATAGTTGTTATGCTGTATTGTTTAGGGAATAATGACAAGAAAAAAGTCTGTACTTATTCAGTACAGACAAAAATATTTTTTCTGACTATTTTTGACCCATAGTTGGTTGAATCCACAGATGTAGAACCCATGGATACAAAGAGCCAATTGTATTTTTTTTTTTTTTGACTAGTAGACGCCTATTTAATGGTCATCACCAGCCCCATGGTTATGATTGTCTAGTTCTTTCAGTTGTCTGAAGCTCGTTTCTCAGTAAGAGTTCTTGGGAACAGTGTTCCCCGAGTTCTTGAGTGCTTGGGACAGTTTGTCTGCAGCCTTCGTATGGGAGATTAGTGTGGCTACATATGAAGTTCCTGGTTACCTTTCTTTTGTCTTGAGTATCTTGAATATGTTAATTTTGAACTTCTGGAATAAAGCAGTACTTCAGAAAGTCTAACAAATATTTGGTTTGTTGTTTTCTCGTATTGCTCCAAGAACTCTTCTTTTTCAGCTTGTCTAACCCCTAGGTAGGGCAATGACACTGGGAAATGGACTTCCTGTTCAGCCAGTGGTCCTCCCACCAGGGACTAGCAAAGCTGAGAGGGGGTCCCAAGAGGCTATCTCCTCGGGCCCTAGTGCACATAAGGAGCCCTAAAAAGCATGTAAAATGCAGGTCCCAGAGCCTCACTCCTAGAGTCTGATGTAGTGAGTGTGAGGCATGGCCTCAGAAATGTGAATTCTTAACGTCTGGTACTCATGGTCTGTAGACCACTTTGAGAACTACCCATATGGTACAATTGTCTTATTTTGTAGATAAAGAAAATTGCTTAAGACCACATAGTGAGCTTGTATGAGAGTTGGATTCCTGACTGGAGTTGACAGGTTTCTTGAATCTCAACCAGAGTTCTCACCAGGGTAGCACAGGGCTCTGAAGGACAGAAAATCCTGGGTTTCATGGCTTGGGGGAATTGATAAGTGCAAAGACTAAAATATAAAAACAGGGAAAGAAGCGGCCCGGGGCGGTGGCTTACGCCTGTAATCCCAGCACTTTGGGAGGCCGAGGCGGGTGGACCACAAGGTCAAGAGATCGAGACCATCCTGGCCAACATGGTGAAACCTCGTCTCTACTAAAAACACAAAAATTAGCTGGGCGTGGCGGCATGCGTCTGTAGTCCTAGCTACTCAGGAGGCTGAGGTAGGAGAATCGTTTGAACCCAGGAGGCGGAGGTTGCAGTGAGCCGAGATTGCACCGCTGCACTCCAGCCTGGTGACAGAGTGAGACTCTGTCTCAAAAAAAAACAAACAAAAACTAAAAAACAAACAAAACAGGTAAATAAGCAAACAAATCATGCATAAGAAATGTAAGCTGAGATATAAGAGGGACCTGATGAGGCCCAAATCTTACGGAGGACTCGCTCTGCCTCATTCATTCTTCTTGGTGGTCTTGAGAGGTAGCAGTTATTATCCAGTTTTATGAAAAGGAAAATGGGATATCCATAGAGAGAAAGTGACCAAGGATGCTGGGTAGTAAGTGGAAGAGCCAAGAAAGTTATGAGGATGATGATGGTAATGGAGATGATGATGATATGACAACAATGATAATGATGATGGAGATAACAGCCATAATGTCATGATAGTGATGATGATGATGATGTGACAGTGACAACAATATTAGCAAGTACAGGTAATAATTGTCATTTGTGGAGCTTGGCCCTGGGTCAGCCTTTATGTTAAGAACATTGCACACATTACCTCACTGACTCCACATCCAGCTCTAAGTTGTTAAGCACCAGGCCTATCTTCTCCAAATTCAAGATTTGTAATATTATTTTAATGTTTCACTATTAATAAAATATTAATAATACTGATATTTTAATATTAATATTATTTTAATATTTTAAGTAACATATGACATGGTCCTCTTGCCACAAAGCAAGAAATCAGAGGGTCATTATTCTCTTGTTCTTTGTTCAAACTTTGGGAAGAAGAAACTATTGGGGAGTTGAAAACTTGAATTTCTGATGATCTTAAAGGCACCCGAGTGAACGAAGGAGCTGATACTGATGGAATCCACTTGCCAGGACTATATAAATAGCAACTTGTACCTACACGGCACCTCATCTGCACACATCAAAGAACACATTAGAAGAATTAAAATGTCAAGTGGGTTAAATCTGAAATGCGACCTATCTTATTATCTCGTGATGGGGGAAAAGCTGTCAAGAACTCAAATCTTCCCAGTTGCTTTGAATATAGCTGGGGGCTGGCGGGCCTCTTCTGGGAGACTTGCCAACAGCCGCTCTTAATGGAGCTGAAGTCAGGTCAGACAGTGTCCACTTTTACAGTCAGGTATGGTCAGAAAGATTTGGGCAATTATTGTGAGGCTACTTCCCTGTGGTGTCTTTCCTAAAAATGCCCGTGTTGTTTTTAGTAGTTTATCTCCTAGTGCGGCAGTTGCAGCATGGAACCTAGGTCTTCTGGCTCTTTGAAAACAAGCTTGTAAGCTTTTTTTCTGATCAGTGTTTTACCACTGGTTCTTTTGGAGAATTCTCTCCAGGGCTTGTAAGTAACGAGCTTAAGCCTCTAACAAGTCCAAACATCTCAGACAACTCCACTAGCCATCCACCTTGCTATCTGGTGGTCACCCAGATTCCAAAACATTGAGGAGCATGTATGGATTCAGCAGAGTCAAAAACTTTGATAAGACCTGAAGGTGATTTGTAAATTGGAGAAATCATCTGAGATAAGATCACCACACACATCTGACAGAAATAGACCTCAGGAGCATGGTGAACTTTGTTAAGGGTCTGTCTGTTGGCCAACACTCTGAGGAACAAGGAGCAGGAGATGGGGCATTGGAAATTGCTGGGATGTGCATTGGCCTCTTTCCTCGTGCAGGTTGTGGAAATAAGATGAGCTTCCAGTGTACCTGATGGTTGGGAAGTGACATGAAAAGCCAGTGTCTGGCAAAGACCCACCCTGCCATGGTGGAAGGCCACCTCCCTGCTGCCCACCCCAGGGACAGCCCTCCTCCTCTGGCTCCCACAAACAGATGCCATCAAGGGGGCTCAGTTCTCCAGTCCTAGTCCAAGAAGAGCCCAGAATGCTGTACCTATTGCTATCCATATTCATCCAGCATCTGCTTCAGATGCTTTTGGCTAAGTAAATAACAATTTAAAACTCAACCTGACTTAAAAAACAAAGGTGATGTGTTGACTCACATGATTTAAAATATCCAGAAATAGGGATAGTGGGGCTTAACTCAAGGTTTGCCCCTAGGAGCCAACAGCAACAGGTATGATGAAGCGAGATAAAAATGTTCACCAAATGTTTTCCTCTTTGCCCAACATTTTTCTAAAACTGTTTATATTTAACTCATTTAATTATCATAAAAACACAATGACACAGGCATTATCACATTCCTTCTTTACAGATGAAAGAATAGAGGAACAGAGAGATTAAGGAACATGCCCAAGGTCGTGTAGCTTGTAGAGCAGAGGAACTGAGCTCCAATGCTTGGCTGTCTTGCACCAGAGTGCTGACTCTTAGCTACGGTACTGCGTCGCCTCTGCGTTAGGCTGAATTGGAATTGTTTGTTACCCTTGAAGAAGCCATGTTTTAGCAGGAGAGGCAGAGAGAGGAGATAATAACAAAGCAATGTGAGGCATGTGAAGCCATGTGAAGTAATACTGGGATGCACACAGCCTTGCAAATCTATCTGACAGCTCCATGCACACAGCAAACCGAATCCAAATTGCCTAAGACAAGCAGCCTTTCAACCCGTCTGGAGAAACCCTGGTGGTAATGGCTTCGGAAGTACCCTCCCCAGCTCTCTATTTAGGCTGTTTTTTAACGGGCTACATTGCTCATAATTACTTGTGTCTCCTTTAAGAGAGCAAAAATCCCTTGCCACTGGGAGTTTTTGAATTAACCCTCAGATGATTGATTTTGGCAGCCTCCTCTTGACATGTTAGGAAACTGGGGCATTAGTCAAGGCCCTGGGATGCCAAAAGCATCAGGACAAATGCAAGAGGAACGTCCCACGATGTGCAAGCGATAGCAGCAAGGGCAGAGCCCTGAGTCAGCCCAACATGGGGTGGAATCCCAGCTGGCCACTCACGAGCTCTGTGACCTTGAGCAAGTCATGCCTTCTCTCTAAGCCTCCATTCTCACCTGTAAAATGGAGATAATAATACCCACCTTTAACATCTCAGGATTAAATGTGGTAATACAATATATCCAGACTCCTTTAGTGTACTATGGGGTACATGTCAAAAATTCAATAAATGCTTGTTATTACTGAAATTTTCTTTTTTTTTTAAATTTTACTTTAAGTTCCAGGATACATGTGCAGAGCATGCAGGTTTGTTACATAGGTATACGTGTGCCATGTGGTTTGGTGCACCTATTGACCTGTCCTCTAAGTTCCCTCCCCTCTCCTGCCACCACCGCAGCAGGCCTGGTGTGTGTTGTTCCCCTCCCTATGTCCATGTGTTCTCATTGTTCAACTCCTACTTATGAGTGAGAACATGCAGTGTTTGGTTTTCTGTTCCTGTGTCAGTTTGCTGAGGATGATGGCTTCCAGCTTCATCCATGTCCCTAAGCATTCCTTTATACCAACAACAGACAAGCAGAAAGCCAAATCATGAATGAACTCCCATCCACAATAGCTACAAAGAGAATAAAATACCTAGGAATACAGTTAACAAGGGATGTGAAGGACCTCTTCAAGGAGAACTACAAACCACTGCTCGAGGAAATAAGAGAGGACACAAACAAATGGAAAAACATTTCATCTTCATGGATAGGAAGAATCAATATCATGAAAATGGCCATAATGCCCCAAGTAATTTTTAGATTCAATGCTATTCCCATCAAATTACCATTGACATTCTTCACAGAATTAGAAAAAAACTACTTTAAATTTCATGTGGAATCAAAGAAGACCCTGTACAGCCAAGACAATCCTAAGCAAAAAGAACAACGCTGGAGGCATCACACTACCTGACTTCAGACTATATTACAAGGCTACAGTAATCAAAACAGCATGGGACTGGTACCAAAACAGAATTATAGACCAATGGAACAGAACAGAGACCTCAGAAATAACACCACACATATACAATCATCTGATCTTTGACAAACCTGACAAAAACAATGGGGAAAGGATCTCCTATTCAATAAGTGGTGCTGGTAAAACTGGCTAGCCATATGCAGAAAACTGAAACTGGACCCCTTCCTTATGCCTTATACAAAAATTAACTCAAGATGCATTAAAGACATTAAAGGTTTTACATTTAAATGTAAAACCCAAAACCATAAAAACCCTAGAAGAAAACCTAGGCAATACCATTCAGGACATAGGCATGGGCAAAGACTTCATGATGAAAATGCCAAAAGCAATTGCAGCAAAAACCAGAATTGACAAATGAGATCTAATTAAACTAAAGAGCTTCTGCACAGCACAAGAAACTATCATCAGAGTGAACAGGCAACCTACGGAATGGGAGAAAATTTTTGCAATCTACTCATCTGACAAAGGGCTAATATCCAGAATCTACAAGGAACTTAAACAAATTTACAAGAAAAAACAAACAACCCCATCAAAAAGTGGGCAAAGGATATGAACAGACACTTCTCAAAAGAAGACATTTACGTGGCCAACAAACATATGAAACTTTCATTTATCACCTGAAGCATTTAGTGACTTCCAAACACAGAAAATCCTTATCTTTCTTGCACATAACTTTTGGGATCACTTAGCATGGAAGCTCAGTCCATTGCCCAGCAGTTGAAATCTTTTTCTATTTTTATTTTTTTAAATTACAGAATTAGAGGTACAATTGCAGCTTTGTTACATGGATATGTTATATAGTGGTGAAGTCTGGGCTTTGAAATTTTTACACGGTTTTATTGTTTGCCATGTACTGTTGCAAATTTGTGTCTCCTTCAAGAGAGGAAAAATCTCTTGTCAGTGGGAGTTTTTTCATTTACCATGAGAGTGATACAGTAAATTGCAATGCAGTAATTCCAGTTTAGAGACTGGAAGGTCAGTTAAAATTATGCATTTTGTTGGGAAGATTGTATCTTTCAGTTACATTCAAAAGTCTATAATGGTCTCATGATTCACCCTGCATGGATGCCAGCAGCCTAAATAACCAAGTAATTAAGCACAATATAGAAAGAGGCTTAGTTGAGGAAAAGTTTTAATTTGATAATATATTAATTCATACAGTGAACATTTACTGAGTATTTACTATATGCAAAGCACAGTTGTAACCGCAGGGAACAAAGCAGTAAATAGAACAGGCAGGGTCCCACAGCTGATATTCTCATGACCCGTTACCGTTTCTAGAGCATGGGGGAAGATGGACTGGAAGGGCAAAGGGTCCATGTAGGCAAGCCAAGAGTCTGTTACCCCAACACATACATTTCAAGTGAGACGTAGTGTGGTCCAAGGTAGGACAATGGAAATGGGCGGGGGTGGGGGGGTAGGGGTTGAGGGTTGGCAAGGAAAAACATAAAGATTTATTGAGAATGTGACCTCAATGTTGCATCAGCAAGGATGGGGTAGAGTGGGGAGTCTCCCACTGACTACAGTTGTGTCCAGCACTGGAATGTTAGGGGTGATTTGTGTGATTACTGTGCCCTGACAGCCCCCCCAGGAATCTAAAATTCTATCCCTTTCAAAACAGGAAAAATTTTAAAGCTCCATGCTTGGTTTTTGACACATAGCCACTGATATGAACTGAATGATTGTGTCACCCCCAAACTCATATGTTGAAAAGCTAATCCCCAACGTGACTGTGTTTGGAGCCTTTGGGACATGATAGGTCATGAGAGTGGAGCCCTGATGAATGGGATTGGTGCCCTTATAAGGAAAGACACTAGAGAGTTTGTCTGTTCTCTCTCTCTGTCCATCATGTGAGAACATAACCAGGAAGAGGAACCTCCCAGGTCTAAATTGGCCAGCACTTTGTTCTTGGACTTCCTGGCTTCCAAAAATGTGAGAAATAAATTTCTGTTACTTAAGCCACCCAGTCCTTGATATTTTTGTTATAGCAGCCTGAGCCAAGACAAAGACACCTTCAATGAGAACTCATAATGAAGTTCAGTTGCAGCTTGAATGATCTCCTTGCCTCCTGTCTCTCTCTCTCTCTCTCTCTCTCTCTCTTTCTCTCTCTCTCTGGTCTGTCTGCCTGCTCTGCAGCAGCTGGAGACATCTTCCTAAAACATACACTTAACTACAGTAGTCTCTTTGGTTTTCTTGTTTGTTTGTTTTTGTCTTTAGGAAAGCATCCGATTACCTTAACAAAGCCCACAGAGTTTGTTGCTCTCTGTCCCTGCCTGTCTGTAGCTCCGTCGCCCCACCTGCTCTGTACCCAGCCACCCACCCCAGGTCACTCACCACATCCTCAGCTGGCAAAGCCCTTCTCCACCATGACCCCTGGCAAACTCCCACTCACCCCTCAAGACCCAGTTCAAAGTGCTCTCCCCTGCAAAACATTCACAGACTCTTGAAGGTAGAGTAAAACCACTCCTCACTTTGTATTACCCTGGGAGTTTGTGCCTTCCTCAGCAGATGGCTTCTGTACTGTTCCATTGCCCCTGCTGCGGGAGCTGCAAATGGGTTATAGGAAACCTCAGCCCTCATGTATATGTGTGTTTGTGGAGATGGCTGCTGCCAGGACCAGGTCGCCTCTGGCAGTGAGCAGACAAATAGCAGGGGCAAGGTAAGGAGGGAAGAATAAGGGAGCACTATCAGTCAGCCTGAGCAGCAGAGTGAGGTCATGGGTTTGTCTTTCTCTAGTAGGCCTGCCCCCCTGCAGGGCTGGGGCATATCTCCCTCACCTGCAATCTACAGAGCTTGTGTGACAGTTTTATGTGTCAATTTGACTGGGCCAAGAGATACGCAGATATCTGGTTAAACATGATTTCTGGGTGTGTCTGTGACAGTGTTGTTGAAAGAGACTAGCATTTGAACTGGTGGACTGAGTCAAGCTGATGGCTTCCCCAGTGTGAGTGGACATCATGCCATCTGTTGAGGGCCTGAATAGAACAAAACCGTGAAGAAAAGCTGAATCCTCTCTCTGCCTTACTGAGCTGGATCATTGATCTTCTGCCCTCAGTACTTCTGTCTCAGGCTCTCAGATCTGGATTGGCTCTCGGGTCTTGGAATTATACCACTGGCTTTCCTGGGTCTCCAGCTTACAGACAGCAAGTCGTGGAACTGCGTAGCTTCTGTAATCAGGAGAGTCAATACCCTATAATGTAAGTATAATGTATACGTACACATATACATATGTACACATGTATACACACACACACACACACACACACAGTCTCACACATTTTATTGGTTCTGCTTCTCAGGAGAACCCTGGAGACTAGCACCTGTTTGCTGAGCAATGAATGCCCCCACTGCCTTCAGATGCTTCCTTCCACAAACAGCTTCTTGATTAATCTCTTCTGATGTTACCACCACCTCTCATCCAAAGGAATGAATAGGAGGATGCACTGAGAAATCAGGTAGATCGCCTGCCCAGTGTTAGATGTTGTGGGAGCTGCAGAGGTAGGAGACCCACAGTCCTTCCCCTCAAGGATGGCCCCATCTCCCTGGAGAAAGTGGAATGAACAGAAGACATCAAGTCTATGGCCAGGTGTGGTGGCTCACACCTGTAATCCCAGCATTTTGGGAGGCCTAGGTGGTTGGATCCCTTGAGGTCAGGAGCTTGAGACCAGCCTGGCCAACATGGTGAAACCCCGTCTCTACTAAAAATACAAAAATTAGCCAGGTGTGGTGGCGCACACCTGTAATCCCAGTTGCTCTGGAGGCTGAGGCAGGAGAAGCGCTTGAACCTGGGAGGCAGACCTTGCAGTGAGCCGAGATCATCCACTGCACACCGCACTCCAGCCTGGGCAACAGAGTGAGACTCCATCTCAAAAAAAAAAAAAGTACAACAGAAATTTGTTTTCTCACCAGTCTGGAGGCAGGATGTCTGAGATTTGTTGATTTCTCCTGAGGGCTATCTCCTTGGCTTATAGGTGGCTGTTTTCTCTCTATCTTCACATGGTCTCTTCTACATACATGTCTGTGTCTTAATCTTTTCGTCTTATAAGAATACTAGACATATTGGATTAGGGCCCACCCTAATGACCCCACTATAAGCTAATTACCTCTTTGAAGATTCTGTTTCCAACTACAGTCACATTCTGAGGTACTGGGAGCTAGGACTCAGCATGTGAACTTGCGGGAAGGCATAATATAGTGCATAACAGTAACTTCCTTAGCGAGGGGCTGTATGGATTGCTCCAGTCCTCAGAGCAGAAACTGAGTAAGGGAGCTGAGCTGGGGGAAGGTGAGCAAAAGATTCTTGGGCAGTTCCTGAGTCCGCTGCCTCTGCCAGGGTAGCAGGCCAGCAGTGGACAGACAGCCAACCCTCCTGTCACACTCGGCTACCTTGCAATCATTTCCCTTAGAGATCTGAGTGACTGTAAAATCTGCTGAATTCAAGGAGATGCCTTTCTGTCATGCCCTCAAAGAACTCACCAAGCAGATGTCTCTTGCTGCAATGAATGATAAATCAGAGCCCATAATGGAAGAGGCTGGCATCCTTGGCTCTCTCTATACGTGAAGGCTTTCAGTCCTCAGAAGGGCTGAAAGAAGCCAAATTATAGAGTTCACTTGGAGGCTTCAAAAGCTGGAGTTGAAACTATTTGAGGTTTTTTGTCTTTTGCTTCCTCCTACCACACACTCTATTACTGCTACAGGCAAAACTTATAAAGAGCAATTTTCTTTTCAATAGAATTCCTTTTCTTTTAGAATATAAAATACAAAGTCCAATTTGCATCACATTTTTAGGGAACCTATTTCATGCCAGATACTATGCTAGTGCTTTCGTTCCTATTATATCAGCTAACCCCCAAAATAGCCTTGAAAGATACATGCGATGATTCCGATTTTACAGCTGAAGGGAACTGAGGCTCCATGGGGGTAAGGAAGTTTCCAGAGACCCTCTTCTATGGGTTGACCAAGCCAGGACTTGAGCTCAGGTTTTCAGAGCTCGGAAACCTAAGCATAATGCACGTGGCTTGCTAACTTTCTTAGTACCAGAAGTACCTGGGCAAGAACCTGTGATGTGAGGTCAGCACAACTGTGGCACAGACTAAGAACAGAGCCTTAACCTCATGCGCCAGCCTCCACTCGTGCCCTTTGGTGCCATTCCTAACCATCTGCTCTGAGCACCTTCCCACAATTTTTTTAATTTCTTTCTTTGACCTCCTTATGTTCTCTCTGAACTGCAACAGCTTGGCAGTGTGGGCTCAAATGCATCTGCTTCTCTATAGCTCTACTCTAGGAAACAGATTTATTCCTCAAAAGTCTCCTACAATCTGAGTGCCAGAATTTCTAGTTCAGGTGTGCCACCAGCCCTCATCATAAAATCAGAGGTGTGTTCTGGGGAGGTGATATAAACAAACCAGAAGATAAGCACCCTATTCCAGGATGCAGAAAACTCTGTGAAATCATCTTGGGCAGGAGATGGAAGGAAGATTTAATAAAGCAAGATTATTACTAGCAAAAATAAATTTGAAAATAAGGTAACAGTGCAATTAGGTTTGCTCCATGGAATCATCATCATGACAGCCGGCACCTACGGGTCACTTCCTTTGTGCCAGGCTCTGTTCTAAGACCACCATGTGAATTAACTCATTTACTCTCCATCATGACTCCATAAGGGGGCATTACCACTAACCACATTTTACAGAGAAAGCTGAAACCCATAAAGATTGAATAATTACTCTACTTCATGTATTTGGAAAATAGCAGAGGCAGATTTTGAACCCGAGCAATCTGGCCTCAGAACCCAGGCTCTCAATCATGCTGCCTCAGTGTAAAGCAAAGTGATTGCTGCATTCCCTTACCGAGAAAGCTTTGGCTCTGAAGCTCCTTTGAAGGTGAGAATAGGTGGGGCCACCACTTCTCCAAGCATGTTCTTTCTAGAGGGGTTCATGAGAAAAATTCAAGAGGTCTAGTAAGATCCTGGAATAAGGTCAATGAAAGCAATTGCTCCTTTCCTAAGAGTTTAACCACATAAATCACATAAACATCAGGGTGTACAGTGGCTTAAAAATAGAGAGTGTTTCAAAGTCCAGGAAAGAGGAATAAAAATATTGACAAAATCAAAAGAAGGCTTGTCAGCTTTCAACCCTGGAAAACACAGGAATCAGGATGCCTTGAACAGTTAGGAGTAGTGGGCCCAAAGCAGCTGACCCCCTGTCAGGTTGTTGTGGGATGAATACATAACTTGAAGCTGAAAACTATTCAATCACCCAATTAATTCCACTTCTTCTGGTCTAACCTTACCATTAGGGCAGATTCTGCAGACTGGTTCATTCAGTCCTCTCTGACATGCCTTCCTGTATCACCAAGGCAGGGAAGCTATGAAGTGTGTTTCCCAGACTTCCTCGTAGCTAAAGTTCTGTCTGCAACCTGGGTCCACCATGCAAGAGTTGGCAGGTGGAAGCGAACACCTGGCGGCAGTCAGGCAGGGTAGAGCTCGTGCCAAGCTTGTTGGCAGGGGAGTTTGGATCTTCCAGAGCAAGGATGGTGGAGCTTCTTGGTCAGCTCTCATTGTGCCGAAAGAGCATGAGATAGGGCAATAAGATTTCCTTTAGAATTATCCCATGGTATGACTGGGTCTGTTTTTGGCTGCATTCGTGTCTGACTCTGTAGTATCTAAACATGCTTCCCCAAATCTTCTAGAAATTCTAAGTTTCCATTAGGGTAATGCTGGCTGCTGTAACATATAAACTCCCAAATATCTCAATGGCTTAATGCAAGAGAAGCATATTTTTCTCTTACGTAAAGTCCAAAATGAGGGTTCCTGGTCAGTGGGTAGTTTTCCTTTCAAGCATCTGTTTAGGAATCCAGGCTTCTTGCAACCTCAGCACATGGCTTCCAAGGTTATCATGGCTGTCTACATTGAACTGATAAAAGTAAAGACCATGAGGGTCTGCACATGGGTGGCTGTTATGGGCCAGGCCTGGGAGTGGAGCACATTGTGACTGTTCACATCCCATTGGCTAGAATTCAGTCACATGGCCACATCTAACCACATAAGCGTTTTTAAAATGTATCCTAGATGTGTGTCCAAAAAAAAAAAAGATGAAACAGATCTGGTGAGTAGCTGACTGAGCTTTGTAATATCCTCTGCAAACCACTCCTCTGTTATAAACTCTGCTCTGCTTAAATAGGCTTGAGTAGAGTTTGTGGTCTGCAATAAGAACCCTAATACATCAGAGCACTTTATATGTTTCACTTGCCTCCTTTTACAACGTGACTTTCAGGGGGAAATAAGGATGCAGTTCCTAGTGCCCGTGCCAACTCCATTTCTTATTGTAAATTTATATCCTGCCATTCGTGTCTATATATTAGTCTCTTGTGAAATTGACTCACATGTTTACACGCACACACACTCACACTCACACATATTCCATACATACACTAATTAGACATCTTTTCTATAGCCTTATCAGTACTCACAAGCTTAAGACAGATGACTTTCTCCCTAGTAAATTTCTCCATGGGTCCTGGGTGGTCAAATAGTGAAAGATGCTGGGCAGGATAACTTTCCAACTATAGCTCCTTAACTGACTCCAGTACCCAAAGCCTGAAGAGATGCTTAGTGTCCACCCTTGTTCTCCAGGAGGCCAACGAGCCTGGCAAGACATCCAGGACCAACTATGTAATTTGCAGAGCCCAGTGCAACATGAAAAGGTAGGGTCCTTGTTCAAAAAGCAGGAAAGTGCTATTAAAAATATCAAAACATAAGCTTTTTCCTTCTTCATGGTCTCTTTCTTGACTTGTCATGGTGGTTTTTATTTGCTATTTAATGTCTAAATAAATGAAGAAAGGTTAAAATTATCAATGATTAGCATGTATGTGATCATTCATTTTATATTGTGCAATGCCAATTTTATAATTCAAACCTAAGAGCATTTGACCATATGCAGAACTGCCAAAATTATACAATTCATACCTCAAGGCTTGCGTGTGCATATGTATTTCATTTTTATGGGAATGGTGGAAAAGCTGCAGAAAACTAGCTCAACTGTTTTCATTTTGCTCTTTCAGATGTTCCTCCAGCACTCTCTGTTTTGGGTTTAATGGTGAGTAAGGAAGGACTGAAAGAAAAAGAACTATGGATTGCCCTATCTTTTCCATTTCAGTACAAATGATTGGCTAATTCAGGAAAGTAAGACCAGTAAGAATATATATAATAAGCTTCCGGCCGGGCGCGGTGGCTCACACCTGTAATCCCAGCACTTTGGGAGGCTGAGACGGGTGGATCACGAGGTCAGGAGATCGAGACCATCCTGGCTAACACAGTGAAACCCTGTCTCTACTAAAAATACAAAATTAGCTGCGATTGGTGGTGGGTGCCTGTAGTCCCAGCTACTCAGGAGGCTGAGGAAGGAGAATGGCGTGAACCTGGTAGGCGGAGCTTGCAGTGAGCCAAGATCGTGCCAGTGCACTCCAGCCTGGGCGACAGAGTAAGACTCCATGTCAAAAAAAAAAAAAAAAAAAAATATATATATATATATATATATATATATATATATATATATATATATACATATATATATATATATATACACACATATATATATATATATTTATATAAGCTTTCTTGGCCATTCTGGTTTCTTAGACCAGCACTGCCTTCTTTTTGCACTCAAGACAAATTCTGGTTTGACAGGAAAGCACAGCCTCTCTGGGCTCTTAGCACCTCACTTACCCAATCTTAGATGTAGTGATGCCTTGGACAGCATGGCTGAGCATTTAGCAAGACTCAAGGCAAGTGCAAGGTAAGAGTGTATGGAAAGCTGTGTAACCAACTTCACAAAGCTGTATGCAAATGGCCTAGTGGGGCACTGTGGGCAGATGTACTGCATCTCTCTCCTCTGCTCAGTGTCCTGTTGGACTTCACTTACAAAACATAAGTTCAAAGACAAAATTATTAAGATGAAATGATGAAGAATGTCAAGATAGTGAAAGCAGAGCATTAAATCAAGCACAAGGTCCTTCTGAGAATGGCTGTACAGATCACTCAGCCATGAAGCTGGCCCAGAAGTTGTGCTCTAAGGAGTCTCAGGCATGAGTCTGAAAGAAGGAGGGGAGAACCTTGGCAAGCATGGCTTCTGCTCAGTTCTGAGTCAGCGATACTCCGTAGGTGCCTCTGTCTTCTCAGTTTGCATTCTGAGTTCTCATTCTACTGTGAGAGAGATACTGGATTGGAAAGCTTGCCTTGCTCACCTTATAAGAAGTAGCCCAGATTTATAATCCTTTGGGTATATACCCAGTAGTGGGATTGCTGGGTCAAATGGTATTTCTAGTTCCGGATCCCTGAGGAATTGCCACACTGACTTCCACAATGGTTGAACTAGTTTACAGTCCCATCAACAGTGTAAAAGTGTTCCTATTTCTCCACATCCTCTCCAGCACCTGTTGTTTCCTAACTTTTTAATGATTGCCATTCTAACTGGTGTGAGATGGTACTCATTTTGGTTTTGATTTGCATTTCTCTGATAGCCAGTGATTTGCATTTCTCTGATGGCCAGTGATGATGAGCATTTTTTCATGTGTCTTTTAGCTGCATAAATGTCTTCTTTTGAGAAGTGTCTGTTCATATCCTTTGCCCACTTTTTGATGGGGTTGTTTTTCTCTTGTAAATTTGTTTGAGTTCATTGTAGATTCTGGATATTAGCCCTTTGTCAGATGAATAGACTGCAAAAATTGTCTCCCATTCTGTAGGTTGCCTGTTCACTCTGATGGTAGTTTCTTTTGCTGTGCAGAAGCCCTTTAGTCTATTTAGATCCCATTTGTCAATTTTGGCTTTTGTTGCCATTGCTTATAAATCATGCTGCTATGACGACACATACACACATATGTTTATTGTGGCACTATTCACAATAACAAAGACTTGGAACCAACCCAAAAGTCCAACAATGATAGACTGGATTAAGAAAATGTGGCACATATACACCAGGGAATACTATGCAGCCATAAAAAATGATGAGTTCATGTCCTTTGTAGGGACATGGATGAAGCTGGAAACCATCATTCTCAGCAAACTATTGCAAGGGCAAAAAGCAAACACTGCATGTTCTCACTCATAGATGGGAATTGAACAATGAGAACACATGGACACAGGAAGGGGAACATCACACACCTGGGCCTGTTGAGGGGTAGAGGGAGGGGGGAGGGATAGCATTAGGAGATATACCTAATGTTAAATGATGAGTTAATGGGTGCAGCACACCAACATGGCACATGTATACATATGTAATTAACCTGCACATTGTGCACATGTACCCTAAAACTTAAAGTATAATTAAAAAAAAAAAAAAAAAAAGAAGTAGCCCACAGTACTGGCAGATTCTCTTGAAACAATGTGCCTCATATAAAACCCAGTAAAGAAGACTATTCTCCCCTTCCTCCTTTTGGGAGCCTATTAAAGAAGCCAAATAGCCAAAGGGAAAAAAGCAGGGGTGGAGGAAGGTCGAAGCCCCCCTGCACCCCCTCCCGCCCCTGGCAATAAAGGGCATACATAGCAAATATACTATGAACATGGAACAACCTGTCACTGTTCCTGTTGACAGCAATTAACTCCACATGGGCTTCTTTGTGCCGGTCTGGTTTAGGCTATGATTTTAAGAAATTGGGCTGTTCAAAGATACTCATCAAAAATTCCTAGGGCCTATGTATGAATTTAAAATTACTCCACAGCTCAGAGATAACTAAACATTTATGAAGATTCAGAGCAGAACTTGGCATCTTCGATTAACAGCAGCAGGCTCTTAGTTAACAACCAGTTCTCTAGGTCATTTCTTTGGGTGGACATATTGCTTATATATGCATATATATAAATAAGTACATATATATGTGTACTTATTTAAAATTAAATAATGCAATGTGTCTCCTTTTCAAGCACTCTGCTTTTTCTTATAATTAACTTTCTATCTACTTATCTCCTATTTCAGGCATGATCAGAACTTTTCATTTCCACTAAGTATTATATGACATGGCACTAACCAGAAGTCTCTGTTATAAAAGACCTAATATTTGCACTTACTGATGACCTACAGTGTGTTGTACCCTAAGCCAGAGGCTTCTCTGCACACCATTTCTTTTCATCTGGAACTTAGCTCTGTGATCCAAGAGTTGTTATTCCCATTTTTAAATTTAAACTTTTCATTTTGCAATAATTGTAGATTCATGTGCAATTTGTAAGGAATAATACAAAGACCCCATGCACTCTTTACTCAGTTTCCCCCATTAATAGCATCTTGCAAAACTATAGTACAATAGCACATCAGGATATTGATATTAATACAATCCACCAACCTTTTGCAGATTTCTCCAGTTTCAGTTGTTCTCATTTGTGTGTGTGTGTTTGTGTGTCTGTTTGTGTGTATTTAGTTCTATGCAATTTTGTCACAAGTCTAGGTTCATATATCCATCTTCACAGCCAAAATGCAGAATAGTTCCATCACTACAAGGAGACTTCTGTTGCTCTTTTATAATTATACCTACTTCTTTCCTGCCTCTCAACTCCTTAACTCTTGGCAACTGCTAATCTGTCCTCTCTTTCTAGAATTTTGCCATTTCAAGAATGTTATTGTATTAGTCAGGGTTCTCCACAGAAATAGAACCAACAGGAGATATGTATGTATAAAAAGGTTTATTGTAAGAAATTGGCTCATACAATTATGGAGGCTGACAAGCCCCAAGATCTGCAGTTGGCAAGCTGGAGACAAAGGAAACCTCGTGGTAAAGCTACAGCTTGAGTCCTAAGGTTGGAGAACCAGGAGAGCTGATGATGTAGTTTTCATCTGAATGTCAGCAGACTCAAGACCCAGAAAAAGCCAACGTTTTAGCTCAAGTCTGAAGGCAGGAAAGAAGCAATGTCCCAGCTCCAGGCGGTCAGGCAAGAGGAACTCCCTCCTACGACATGGAGGGTCAGCCTTTTTGCTCTATTTATGCCCTCAACTGACTGGATGAGGCCCCCCCCAACCACAACAATTGGGAAGGCAATCTGCTTGACTCAGGCTACCAATTCAAATGTGAATCTTACCCAGGGACACCCTCACAGACATACTCAGGACAATGCTTGACCCAAATTCTGGGCAGCCTATGGTCCAGTCAAGTTGAGACACAAAATTAACCATTGCAGTTTTATAATCATATGGCATGTAACCCTTGGGGACTGGCGTTTTCCACTGACTGAGCATAATTTTTGGGTGATTCACCCAAGCTGTTGCTTCATGATGAACTATTTACATTAATAGTTCATTCCTTCTTATTGCTAAGCAGTAATCTATGGTATGAATTCAACTTCATTAGCCATTAGGGAAATGCAAATTAAAACCACAATGTGTGTGCCAGATTCTTACAATAAATCTTTACACATACATATATCTTCTATTGGTTCCATTTCTGTGGAGAACCCAGACTAATACTATCATGACAGCTAAAACGAAAAATAGTGATAACACCAAATGATGGCAAAAAATGTGAGAAAACTGGATCACTCACATGTTGCTGACAGGAATATAAAATGATGCCACCACTCTGAACAAAACTTAGCAGTTTCTTATAAAATTAAACATGCCATTATTGCGTCACCCAGCAACTGCGTACTTGGGCATTTTCCCCAAAGAAATAGAAATTTATGTTCACATAAAAGCCTGTGCACAAATGTTCATAGCAGCTTTATTCTTAATAGGCAAAAACTAAGAACAAACTACATGTCTTTCAGCAGGTGAAAGATTGTGCCCATTTTGTTGACAAGCAGGGTCAGGCTTAGGTCAAATACGATGTCTAACATCCCACAGCTGGAAGGGAGCAGAAGTGGATGAAATGCTGCTCTGTTTTATTCCAAAGGCCATGCCCTTTCTACAGGGCAAAACATCTCCAATCGTGATATTGGTATTGGTTCTTTGTAAGAACATGCTGTGTCTTCTGAATCAAAGAAATGGAAATGCTATTAAGCATTTAAGCAGATAGCTTAGGCTATTAAGCAAAATTTTCTTACCCTGAGATCTTTGTTAACTATTAACCAGAGTATGAGATTAGTTAAAACACATATTCTTAACTGGGCAAAGGAAATTTTCCATGTTTTCCTTTCTCCTGGAGTTATCTCTTTTATATCACCCTTCTGTGTGTTTAGAATTTTCCTATTTTCTTATGTCTGTCTTTGCTATTAGTCTATGAACTACTTGGGGCATGGGTTATTTCTTCCTCCTCACTGTATGGCTTAGGCATAGCACAGCATCTGGAGTCCATAAATGTGGATTGAAAGGATCAAAAGAAAGCACAGTGTTTTGTATCATATATTCTGAAATGATAAAGTTATCCACAGGTTACCTGTCACTCATGTATAGGCTACACTGCAGTGGAAGGCAATGTAGTCTAGTCAAGAAGGCTGGCTCTAGGGCTAGCCTGACCGTGGTTAAATTCTACGAGTTATCTGACCTTGCCAAGCTACTTTGCTCTCTGTGATCAGCTTCACCACAGCAAAGTGACATAATGAAAGAAGCTACTTTATAAGGTTATTATAAAGATGTAAAGCATTTAGGCCAGTGCCTGGAAAAGAGTAATGTTAGCTATTGCTGTTATTATACCAGAGGAGAGAAAGAAAATTTGGCAATGAGGTCAAGACAGGCAGGGAGAAAGACGAGTTGCAGAGAAGTAGCTTAGGGGATGCAATAAAGTGTGTTAATGAGGCAAGACTCATAAGATAATTTAGAAACTGCAGAGACACATAGGACTGATCTCAGAATTCCCTTGGGAGAGCATGCTTGTGGCTCCCTCTCCAGTTCATAGCCAATGTCTCCAGTAGGCATTTTGGGGCATTCATTGGTCTGGATGCTAAATAGAAAATGATATGGGCTAGGAGATATCCATTATTAATCCAGTTAGCCAGAACAAATGGGGGAAACAAGAAGGGAAGGAGCTGTTTGGTAAAGTAGCAAAGATTCAGAGCATGACTAATTATTGTAGAAGGCTGATGAAGTGTCTTCTGCCAGTGTAGTAAGAGCTGCTCTGAAAAGTTCAAATCCAGTGCTGAAATTATGCCATAATAATAGCAATGGAAATAGCAATAGTTGTCATTAATGGAGTGCTCATTATGTACCAAATACTTTAAGAAAAGCTATCTAGTGACAATTACCATTTCACAGATGAGGCACCTGAGGCATTTACCTGAAGCTAAGTGAGGTTAGTAATTCAACACATGACACCTAGTACACTTCAAACCCCAGATTGCACGGATTCAAGCCTGTGCTGTCATCTTCTTCACTATACTGAAGTCATCCTGGAAGGGCAGAGAAGTGGGTGGGGGTTCTGGAGGAGCCACTCCATCTTCCAGCATCTCCAGAAGGATGCTTAATGTTTCATCTCCAAATTTGTCCCTGCAATTGCTTGGCAGAAGGCACCTGGAGCACTGTCAGTGGGGATATGATAATGGTGTGAGGCCTGGGCTGTATACCTGGGCCTCAGGATGTCCCCCAAACCTAAAGCTGCTGGAGTTCATGAGAACTGTAGAAGAGCAAACAGTAGCTGGCTACAAGCATCAGGGAAAAGAATCAAAGGCAGGTGGGCCATTGCTGAAATTATCCAGAGATTTGAAACACACGTGCTAGAAACATCACTGTCCCAGTTAAGGATGCAGGACAAATGTTTTCAGATATGCTGCATTTGGGAATAGAATGCTATTTTCTAAACGAATTCATACTGGTCATTTTAGATTTTTTTTTTTAAAGTATGTGAGTTGGGCTTGGCAGGTCTTGCCCTGTTTTCTCTGAACCCCTTCTTTTAATACCAGTAGGATCACCATGATGCATCCCAGGTTGCTTGGCTCAGTCTGGTTTATGTCTTTTGTCCTGATTCAATTATCAACACACCTGTGTTCATTCCCTAAAGGATTTCAGTTTGGGGGATGACATATCCTCATCCTAGGTCATAGGGAGAATGGTAGACCCATGTCCCAGGCAAGGCCTGAGTCACTTGGACACTAGCACTGGTCCAGGGCTGAGAGTTTGTCCCAAGCAGGGTCAATCCATATTCTTCCCCAGGATGCATTTGTGAACTTTGGGAAAGAGATGTGCTTCACGCTTGCTTTGCTATATTGTAAAACGTATTCTTGGAGCCACTGAAGGCCTAGTCCATCTGCCCCATAGAGTAGGCCTGTTCAGAAAGTGGTAGGAGTGGGCTGATACACAGAATAAAAGAGAGCTGATGAAAAGAGAGACAAAAAAGAGAGAGACAGAGACAGAGAAAGACAGAGATACAGAGACAGACAGAGAGAAACAGAGAATGAGTCAGAGACAGAAACCCACAGAGGGACAAAGACAAAAAGAGACAGATATAGAGGCAGAAACACACATAGAGAGGCAGACCGGGAGAGAGACAGAGATTCAGAAACAGTCAGAGACACACATGGAGAGACAGAGATACTAAGACAGCGAGAGCAAGACACAGAGATACACACAGAGAAAGAGAGACAAAGAGATATACACAGAGAGACAAAGAAAGACCCACAGAGACAGAGACAGATTGTCAATCTAAATAACAAGTAGGGAGGGGCTCTCTAAAAGAAAAGATACTTATTTTGGAATAAAACATTGCAATGGGAATACATATACCATAGTAAACTATGTGTGTATTCAAAAAGGCAAAGGAAGAATAAGATTTTCAGAGAGAAAAGTAAGAAGTATTACATAACTATTTTGAAATAATTACCCTTGGCTACATAGATCAATGACAAGGGTGACATCAGTCCAAGGTTAGACACGCAGTTGCTGAGCAGATGTCCTTTCAGAAGTATTTTTTGTGTCAGGTTGCAATGGCCTTTGTGTAAGGTTGTGATTTTTGAAGTCTTTTGTGAGAGTTTTTGTTATTAGGCATACAAACGTGGGAATCCTCTCCTCATTGCTTTCCGTGGCTCTATTTGTCAGGTTTTTCTTAACATTAGTGACTTCATTTTGATTCTGAACAACTTTCACATTTCTCCCTTTTGATCAAGATCTTTCTCTGGAAGCATCACTAATCAATCATCCTGTAGTTAGGTATTGATGCCTCCTGATGATGGGAGGGACCAGTCTTGGTTGTTCTTCTTGTCCCATGTTTCAGGGAGTGATTGGTAACTAGAAATCAGTGTCAAAATCCAGGCCAAGCACAGTGGCTCATGCCTGTAATCCCAGCACTTTGAGAAGCCGAGGTGGGCAGATCACCTGAGGTCAGGAGTTTGAAACCAGCCTGGCCAACATGGAGAAACCCCGTCTCTACGAAATATACAAAAACTAGCTGGGCGTGGTGGCGGGTGCCTGTAATCCCAGCTACTTGGGAGGCTGAGGCAGGAGAACTGCTGGGACCTGGGAGACAGAGGTTGCAGTGAGCTGAGATCATGCCACTGTACTCCAGCCTGGGTGACAGAGTGAGACTCCGTCTCAAAAAAAAAAAAAAGAAAAAAATCCATTTAGCCACATTCAAGCAACAAGGATTTGAAAAGAGTGGCTCTTAGGCTAAGTCTACCCAGAGTCCATTATTTAGTTCGATTTTGTCTGTTTCATAGTCTTTTGTTATTATCTTAAAGTGCTGGGCCGGTATTATTTTGTTAAGAATAGTACTTCTGCAAAAATTTAACAAGTAATGAGTACAACTTTGAAAAGTGGAAATGCAAAGTATAATTAATAGTAATATAATAATTTCCACTTGTATAATGGTTTTGAGCCGTGAAACTTAACTTAATCAATTGAATAAATCAAATGACCATAGGACATTAGATGAGAACTGTTGTAACCATGTGGCCTGTTTTCTAATTTTGTGTATATGGGTCTCAACTTTCTCAGATAAAATTTATCCAAGTATGGCATGCACTATTAGCATCAACACAGACATTTTCTTATTTAGCCAATTAGCACTACAGAATTTCTTCGGCTGGGTTCTGTTAAGTTGCTAGCAGAAACTATTGATTGTGAAATTTCGACTTGGCCTTTATCATGCCAAGTGGAAAAAAGTCTCATTATGATATGAAGTCTTATTCTGACGTCTTGGGAAAAGCTGTCTACGGTGTGAAAACCTCAACTTCTCCTGATTGGCAGTTTCAATGTTTTTGGTCGATACATTGGGTGGTTTAATAAACTTTCTGCTTAAAATTCATCTCATTTCAGCTTACAGGGCTTTAGGAATAGAGCAGCTTTTGTTTTAGCTGGAGACTTGTAGCCCAGTATTGAAGGAAATTAGGAGAATTTAGGAACGAATCCAGCCTGCAGGTAGATAACCAGAACTTGAAACCAATGCACAAGGCTACAAACTAATAATAGATGTATTCTAGTTTTTCTTCAGAAACATAACTTTTTTCCCCTGCATTAATCATATAGGAATCTCGAATTTAAAAGCCTCTTGAGGCTAGGAAGCCAAACCAAGGCAGACTTTAGATTTTACTTTCTGTGTTAAGGTTCTTAGGCATGTCAGGAAGTGACAATATTTATCACTCACTGTAAGGCAGGGAAGGAACTCTTGAAACCAAGCATTTTATGGACATTTTAAAATATGACATGTCAGTTAAAGCCTTGGTAATATAGCCAATGTTGCCAATTGTACCCTGCTTATAAAGAGAAAGCAGATTTTTACTGAATTTACATAAATAAAAATAAAAATACTCATAAATAGTTTCCAAGTTTTGGATGAAGCAAGTGGGAAGAAAAAACAAATGTTTTTTCCATCTTGACTCATAAAAGTACACCTTTGGGAGGCCAAGGCGGGTGGATCACAAGGTCAGGAGATCGAGACTAGCCTGGCCAACATGGTGGAAACCCATCTCTACTAAAAATAGAAAAATTAGTTGGGCGTGGTGGCACGCTCCTGTAGTCCCAGCTACTCAGGGAGGCTGAGGCAGGAGAATCACTTGAACCCGGGAGGAAGAGGTTGCAGTGAGCCGAGATTACACCACTGTACTCCAGCCTGAGTGACAGAGCAAGAGTCCATCTCAAAAGAAAAAAAACAAAAGTATACTTTTCCAAATTGTTGTAAACTATAAATGGCTTATGAGAGAAGCATTTCTTAAATCTGGAAAACAAAACATTTAAGTAAAGAACCAATAATATTTTAAATATGTCATAAAATGTTACCTTTATTAATTTTATGCAATTAATTTTTTGTTTTGATTGATCTTGATTAGCAGTTTCATGACCCCATTAGCTTTATTCAAGTTCTAACAATTTGTATTTAGTTTATTGACCTTACAGTTGTCAGATCTCTATGTTCAAGAGTACTTGTTGGAGTCTTTTCTATGAAAAGCAATTTTGGACTATAGCTGCTACAAATGTTTTTAGAGAAGAATTCAAAACAATAATTGTGGATGACAAAAACTTAGAATAGCCATTGGTTAACAATATGATTAAAGTTCTCAATGAACATGGAAATTTAGTTATTACACGCTATCACATGCAGCATTTTAAGATAACAACCAGAATCCTGACTGATAGAGTCACATCAGGACCATCAGACTTTTATACATTTCATATAATCTTTAGAATACTCACATTAATAACATATCCATTCAAACATAACTTTAGAAAATACTTAACAATACAAATTATGACTGATAACATGCTATGTTTTATGACACATAATTTTTGGAACATTTATGTCATACTCATAAATGTAACTGAAAGAAGATCTAGTATCACTTATTACTTGACAAGGTCTCTCATGCATTTCACCAAGTAAGTTGCATCATTCAGTATCTCTACAAGATGAGAGATATATTCTTTGAGGGTCTCCATAGGAACAACTGGAGAATCTGAAAGTTAATTTTAGGTCAAAATGACTTCATTTGGGATTTTGATCCTGGAAAACCTGCCAAAGATGTCAAAAGTTTCAAAACACTTAATCAAAACAAAATTACAAATCACTGTTAAATAGTAGTTATTCATTTAACCTTAGTGATAATCAAAAGACTTCAAAAACAATACAGAAAATTACATGAATGTAAAAACCTTAACCCTTGTAATGTTCAGTTTTCTTAAATAATCAAAAACCTAATAAGACCGTGCAGGAATTATTTTGATAAAATGTAAAATATCTATTTTGTTTTTATCCCAGCTACTAAAAAGGTAAAAACAAACAAATGAACAAATAGGCAAAAAAAAAAAAAAAAAACCCTTGCAGTGTGATTGTGTCTCCTTGTGAGAAGTCTATTTAGATAACCTGGAAGCCAAACCTGACGAAAAGGGTGCTGGAATTTAGTCAGACATAGAAAGAGTGTGTCTAGGGTCATGAGTATACAGTATATTATAAGGGAATGTAAACAAGAAAACTAATACTTTGAGCAGGGGAATACATGGCTTAAGTAACAGTATGTGAGGTTTCCTGGTTACATGGAACAATTCAAACATATTAAGAAAAGCCAAGAGTACAAAATTAAGTCATATTGGAAGAAAACATTGCTTTTCTAGACCTTCAAGATAACAGCATAACAGCTGAGTTAGAATCGGAGAAAAATGTTACAGGAGTTGATGAAAAGGTTGACGAAAAGTTATCAGCCCAGTGAAGCTCGGTTATCCTTAAAAAGATTTTAACGTATCCTTAAAAAGATACGTTTTTAAGGAGAGAAAAAACAGATGGCAATCATGTATGACCTGGAAATCACATGCAATGAGGTACAGCAAAAGCTGAACTTCTGAGATATAAATCTGAGAAGTTTCAGAAAGAAAAATGAAACTGCAATTTCAAATGAAAAAGACAGCATTTCCAACCTGAAACAAGAGAAATTAAGTGGATCTCAGGAAGAAATAGAAATTATCTATAGTCTAGGAGATGACTGTTAAAGAAACAGATTTCAGAATTAAAAATCAGGCTGGATGCAGTGGCCCATGCCTGTACTTTGGGAGGCCAAAGCAGGTGGATTGCTTGAGGTCAGGAGTTTTAGACTAGCCTGGCCCACATGGCAAAACCTTGTCTCTTTTAAAAATACAAAACTTAGTCAGGTGTGGTGGTGCACATCTGTAATTCCAGCTACTCGGGTGGCTGAGGCAGGAGAATAACTTGAACCCAGGAGGTGGAGGTTGCAGTGAGCCAAGATCACACCACTACATTCCAGCCTGGGTGATTGAGCAAGAATCTGTCTCAAAATAAAATAAAACCTCTTGCAGTTTTACTAAGAACAAATGAATATTTTAAGAAAACCAGCTGGGCATGGTGGCTCACACCTGTAATCCCAGCACTTTGGGAGGCTGAGGCAGGTGGATCACAAGGTCAAGAGATTGAGACCATCCTGGCCAACATGGCAAAACCCCATCTGTACCAAAAATACAAAAATTAGCTGGGCGTGGTGGTGCACACCTGTGGTCCCAGCTAATCAAGAGGCTGAGGCAGGAAAATCACTTGAACTTGGGAGGTGGAGGTTGCAGTGAGCTGAGATTGTGCCACTGCACTCCAGCCTGGCAACAGAGCAAGACTCTGTCAAAAAAGAAAGAGAGAGAGGGAGAGACAGAAAGAAAGGAAGGAAGGAAGGAGGAAGAGAGGGAAGGAAGGAAAGAACGAAGGAACGAAGGAGAGAAGGAAAGAAAGAGAAGACCTTGTTCTAATTTAGGAAACTTTTTTTTTTAGTTTTATATTAGTGTATATTTAACTATCAGAGCTCAATGTTTAGAAAGACTTATAAATAACTTTCCTACTAATTATAGCCAACCTATTAACACACAAAATTCCTTTTATAAATTCCCTTTTCACAAATGTTATTATGGCTTTCTCAGACCATTGATGACATGCTTGGATTTTCCGCTTTGCTTTATACTTCCTGTTTCTTAAATAACTCATCATTTTGCTTTAGGACAAAAAATAACATATAATATTATTTCCCACACAAAATTCTTTTCTTTTCTTTTTAATCTTTGTCACCAAAATACATTTTCATATTTATAACTTTCTTCTCATACCTCTCTCTTACTTACTGGTTTTTTTCTATCCTGTTCCATATTTTGAAACAACCTTTAAATAACATCTGTATTAGATAAAATTATTATTTTTCTCCACAGAGAACACACTTTAAGCCTTTCTTATAATTTTTCTTATTAAAAACACCCTCTATATACATTATTGTATGTTAATTAGAATTTTTAACCCTTAATAACCTTACATTTTAGTGAAAACCTAGGAAGCAAGAAATGTTGAATTATCTGTCATGTATCAGTAGTTTATAAATGAGAACCATTTTAAAATTTTTATAAATGTGTTTTCCTATAACATATTTTTTAAATCTTATTTGGAAATGACCTAGACATTTAGAGAGTATCTACTCTTTAAGTTAACAACTTTGAGATTTCAAATTAAATAAAAAGTTTATTTGTAAGCATTTATCCCATTTATTTTTACCTATTTTATTTGTAACAGTTTACCTTGCTTATGAGAAATGAGATGTTAAAAAAAAGCTAGATATCATTTTAATTTATTTTCATGTTAACAATTTTTTATTTTTTTTTTGAGATGGAGCCTCTCTGTTGCCAGACTAGAGTGCAGTGGCACGATCTTGGCTCACTGCAACCTCCTCCCGCCAGGTTCAAGTGATTCTCCTGCCTCAGCCTCCCAAGTAGCTGGGACTACAGGCGTGTGCCACTAAGCCCAGCTAATTTTTTGTATTTTTAGTAGAGATGGGATTTCACCATGTTGGCCAGGCTGGTCTTGAACTCCTGACCTCATCATCTGCCCCCCTCAGCCTCCCAAAGTGCTGGGATTACAGGTGTGAGCCACTGCTCCCTGTCCTGTTAATGATTTTTATAGCCTGTGAATATCAGGTGTTCATCTAACTAAGAACTTTTAATACATGGGTGTTTTTTGATAATTTGGAAAATACAGCTGTTTTCATTAAACCAACAATATTAAATTAGTCTTATTTATCAAAATCATTACACAAGCAAATATTGTTTTATTTTAGGCTGAGCTTATAGTTTAATAAATCTTGTGTCAGACCCTGACACCTCAAATTATCCAGCAGAGAAATATAAAACTGTATGACCAGTAAACACAGGCAAAAAATGTATGCTTACAATTATGAAGGCATTTTTATTTCTATTTTACCAATATTTTTAAAACCTGCTTATTTATTAAAAGTTTCTTTAAGGCTAGGCAGTGGCTCATGCCTGTAATCCCAGCACTTTGGGAGGCCGAGGCAGGCGGATCACCTGAGGTCGGGAGTTTGAGACCAGCCTGACCAACACGTAGAAATCCCATCTCTACTGAAAATACAAAATTAGCCAGGCATGGTGGCACATGCCTGTAATCCCAGCTACTTGGGAGGCTGAGGCAGGAGAATTGCTTCAACCTGGAAGGCAGAGATTGCGGTGAGTTGAGATCGCGCCATTGCACTCTAGCCTGGGCAACAAGAGCGAAACTCTGTATCAAAAGGAAAAAAAAAAAAAAAAGAAAGAAAAGTTTACTTAAGTCATGTGAGCAAAAAGCATTTGGGTTAATTACTATATATTTTGTAGAAGCACTCATTTACCTAAGTATAATCTCTTAATGGATTTCTGGCCAATTACACTGGATATTACCATATAGATAAAACATACAGCATAATACATGTAGATATGTGTAAACACATCTGAACATGTGTATATGTATATACACACGCAAATAAAGATCTTATACTTTTCATCTTATAATTTTAGTCATGAAATAGTAATACAAGCTCACCAGTTTATAAAAAACACTTGGATACAAATTCTGTTTTTGAAAACATTGGAACCTATTAACATAACTACACTTTACTTGGCTAATATGTCATCTAATGAAGGCCTATGGATAACAATTTTGGGTAAAGTAGTTTTATGGCAGTTTAATGTTTTAAAAAATCTTTTAACCCTTTTTTTCAGTTTCAAAAGAGTTTAGGGTCCCATTTTACATTTTAGCTAGAACTGGCTGAATTGTATAAGAAAAACAAAACCTCCGAGTAGCTTTGAATTAGGAACAAATCTATCTTTTGTTTGCCAGTCTAGTTTGCTTGATTGGAAAATATGGGTGGAGAAGAATTTTAGACGTTTCTTATTTTTCTTTGACTTTTCCTTCTTGGTCTTGGCATGGCAGAGAAAACAAAATTTTTATGCTGGACAGAGATCTCTTATATTATTGCTGTGAGCTCAAGATTTTAACCTGTTTGATCAAAAAGCCTAAATTTTATAAATTTATCTAGTTCTTTTTTGGATTATTAATTTTTAATTGTTTCTAATGATATGCAATTGTTAGGCAAACCCAAATTTGTATTTCTAAAAGGCATCTAGGTTGTTGGTTACCATGAAGCTGTTTTAATTTTTAAAATTAGAAAGCCCTTGAATTTTTTTTTAATCTGGGCTTGAATGTCATAACCAGTGAGTTTTGTCTCAATACCAGTAAAAAAAAGTCAACAGATTCAAAGTAGGAAGAAAAAATAGAGAGACAGAGAGCATAGAAGACGCTACATGTTACCTCTATAGTTTGACGTTTTTCAAATAATGACCATTTGGGCTCTAAGGTTTTCTTGATATAATTTGTTTAAAAATGTGCACAAGAGTGGGCCATAATATGTAGCTGGCTGGACTTCCAGAAAACCTGGCATGCCTTAATGTTTGAGAATTCCATTTCATTTCTCATTAATCTCTCAAGGGAAAAGAAAATCCTATAAATCCTGTCAGGGGATGTCAGGAGTTTAGACCAGTGTTAGATAGTAGCAACTTCCCTAATAGGTTTTGATTAGTCATTCTGCACCCATCATCCAGAATGGCTATTTTTGCTCTTGTAAGATTTTCAATAACAAGCAAGGGAAAAGAGTCAAACCAAATCAAGAGAAGCTAAGATAAGAGTGTTCACAAAAAACTGTAACCTAGGCATGTGAATCAAACAAAATATTAAACTAGGCATGCAAATCATAAAAGACAAGACTCATAGACAAAATGTAAACTCTATAGAAACCTAGAGTGTTCAATCCAGAAAGACACTTGTCTTTATACCAGAAAGGACTCATCAGAAAAGACAAAAAGTCTTATATTATCCCAAGAGGAATGTACAGTTCTTTATTAAGGTGGCCTTATTGAAATCAGATCCCAAGTTATATCAAAAAGTCTCTACCAAAAACAGGGAGGCTCAACCTGAGAGAAGATTCGTTAGGTCAGAAAAGACAAGCCATGGAAATAGAGAGCTCAAAAGGCTCAAGTGAGGCCAGGCGTGGTGGCTCATGCCTGTAATCCCAGCACTTTGGGAGGCTGAGGTGGGCGGATTGCCTGAGGTCAGGAGTTTGAGACCAGCCTGGCCAACATGGTGAAACCCCATCTCTACTAAAAATACAAAAATCAGCTAGGCGTGGTGGTGGGCACCTGTAATCCCAGCTACTCAGGAGGCTAAGGCAGGGAGAATTGCTTGAACCTGGGAGGCAGAGGTTGCAGTGAGCTGAGATCACGCCACTGCACTCCAGAGCGAGACTCCTTCTGAAGAAAAAAAAAAATCAAAAGGGCTCAAGTGAGTGCTGTGCACTGGCTCCAGGCATCACTGATTCCTTTTGATAGTCATGTTTTTAAGATCCCCTTCTGATACCATATATGTCAACCCAAATAACAGAGAGAGGCTCTCTAAAAGAAAATATATTTATTTGGGAATAAGGCATTGTGATAGAAATATGCTTGCCATAGTTGATTGTGACATATTCAAGGAGGTAAAGGAAAACTACATTTTATTAGAGAAGAACGTGGAAAGGATTACATAATTGTTTTGAAATAATTATCCTTGGCTACCAAGATCAATAACAAGGGTGATACCAGTCTGATGTTAAGCAGGTAGTGTCTAGGCAAATGCCCTGGAAGAAGTGTTTTTTGTCTACGGTTGTAATGGTCTTTGTGCAAGGTTGTGATTTTTGCAATCTTTTGGGAGTTTTTGTTATTAGGCATACAAGCATGAAAACCCTCTCTTTATGACCTTCCCTGGCTCTACTTGTCAGGGTTTTCTGAACATTAGTGACTTCTTTTTCATTTCTGGCAACTTTTGAAAGATAGAGAGAGACACACACACAAAGAGACAGAGACAGAAAGAGAGACAGACAAAGAGACACAGAGACAAAGACAGAGGCAGAGAGTAAGACAGACAGATGGAGAAACAGATAGAGAGTATGTAAGAGCTAACCCTGAAGACATAAACACACCCTTTCTCCATGCAGCTGTGCTGAACCCTGAAGTACCCAGTTATGAGCCAATGAATTCCTTTTCATTGTTTATTTAATTTAAATTGGATTTCTTCTGCTTACAACAGAGAAAAAAAAATATGAAAGGGAACCAGTATCTCTCTGGTTCCTATCAAAAGCAAACCCTGGTACTGAGTACTTTATATGATTTATGCTACTTTATCTTGGCGAAATTCATGGGGATCCTTAACCCCCTTGCATAACTGAAAAATCCAAAGTTTAGACATAATGACTTACTCAAGGTCACGCATAGCTAGGAAGGGTCTTGGTGGGACGTGTTGGTGTGTGAATGTGGAGCCCATGCCTTCTTATCATACCTCATGGATCAGTTGGTCCAGGAGAGGACACACTGCTGCCCCCCTTGTCTCCCTCCTGCTCCTGGAGTTGGGAGGCCATCCCACTGCCCCAAACACGCACGCCTGCTGCCATCTTTTTATTTAATGATTTTCTTTTTCTTCCTAGGTAAAGCAAACATGGCATTTATTCACAATTTTGATCCTCAGTTATCACAAGACACTACAAAAGTCTAACACTAGGATTGTGGCGAACTTTAAAAATGAGTTGATGGAAAAGAAAAGGCTTCGTAAACTGCAAAGTACGCCTGTTAGTTGTGTTTTTATTATTTTCTTACATTCGAGTCAATCTTTTCTGAACAAATTCTGATTTTACTCTGTGTGGCAGGTAGGTAAACCCATGCTGGTTTGCCCAAGAGTTTTCCGGGATGTGGGAGTTTCAGTGCTAATATTGGGACTGTCCCAGGAAAACCAGGATGGTTGGTCACTCTACTGTGCACTGAGCTGTCATGGAATTTATCACTGTTTTCTTGCCTGTTGATACGTCTGTCTTCCCAGAGGATGGGGTTCATTCAAAAACAGACACTGTATATTATTTAACTCTGGGTCCCTCGCCTTTGCTTAGCACAGACCTAGTATTGCTGAATTAATGACTAAGTTACCAATAAATTAATTAACAAACAATACTGACAGTTTTGTATATAAGCTACAATACCTCCTTTAGGAAGGCATTGGCCTAGGGAGGTGCTAAGGTTGAGGAGATGGATTCACAGGTGTATTAGTCTGTTCTCACACTGCTATAAAGAACGATCTGAGACTGAGTAATTTATGAAAAGAGGTTTAATTGACTCACAGTTCTGCAGGCTGTACAGGAAGCATGGCTGGGAGGCCTCAGGCAACTTGCAATCATGGCAGAAGTGGAAGTAAACACATCTTACTGTGATGGAGCAGGAGAGAAAGAGCGAAGCAGGAAGTGCTACACACTTTTAAATAACCAGATTTCATGAGAACACACCCACTATCACGAGAATAGCAAGGAGGGAAACTGCCTCCATGATCCAATCAGCTCCCACCAGGTCCCTGACCCAATATTAAGGATTACAATTCAACATGAGATTTGGGCGGGGACACAGAGCCAAACCATGTAAATGGGAAACACTGACATTCAAGAAATGCTGCAGATGCATGGAAGGCACATATGGAAGAGATCCGTTACTAAAGAAAAAGTCTATCTGCTGCAACTTTTCCCACTCTGTCTTACTTGCTGTATGATCTTTGGCAAGCTACTTTCTTCATTTATTCATTCTTTCACTCAGTAACTCTTTATTGGAAACCTATGTGGCTAAGCAACTGCTTCTTCAGTTTTCTCATTTATAAAATTGGATAATACCACCACCTTACAGGATGACTATATAAATTGAATGAGGCCGTGCTTGTGTGGAACCCATAGTAGCTATTAAGATGATGGTGGTAATGATATATGTTACCTATAATTTCCACTCCCAAAAAGGTATCCAGTTACCACAACCAAGCTCCTAATTGCAAACAAGGGCTCAATGCATATCCTTTTGACATTGCCAACTGATCCTCTTAGAGCTCCTATCAGGTAGTGCTTGGCCATATAGAAACTGTGGTGAGAGAAGGGGAAGAGTATGGCCTCAAAAGCTCTAGTTTTCAAAATTGCATGGCTCACACACTGTCACCCTGAGAGGGAGAAGGGAGCCTGCACTTCTCTCAGCCCATCCTAACCAACTGTGAAAGATCCAGTCCAGGCTTCTGCTTAGATCACATCACATTATCTGCCCACTAAAATGGAATGGGACAGACCTAGAGAAGCACTGGCCTCCAACCACCAACAAGCCATCACTTCATATGGACATCACTGAAGCATTTGGATTCTGAACCAAAGTACACTTAAAACAGAGACAGAGAATGTGACTATTCAGTAGAAAACTAATATGTGAGACAACAATGATAACATGAAAGCTGCCCTCCATGGGTGAACACCCAGAGCCTAAATGTAATAGATTATATAATTTTAAAGTAGGTATGGGGAGTTGGTGCCATAAGTCAGTAAGTGTCTGGTTTACGTATTTATGAAGCCCACCTGATAAACACTGGGAATGAAAAGATGAGAGTCACTTTCCACTGACCAAGAAGGCAACCTTAAAGATCCGTGAATTGAGTTCTCCACTCCTTCCAAGTTCCCACCAAAATTAACAAAGGAATACAATAATAGGGGGAAGTATGTAATCATTTTAAAGTTTATTATTCTTAGTTAAAGAGCATACTTTGACTCCTACTCAAATTGTATAGAGTTTGAGACAGTGGATACCTTGATGAGCAGCTCAGCGGGGGTGCATGGAATGAGGCCTGACTAAAACAATGGGAGGTGACTTCTGGACTACATTCTAGGGTGTAGGATTGGAACTAATGCCAACCTGCTTGATATGCTACAGGGTATTTAGGGACAGGTGGTGTGGAGAAATATTTCAAACCCACTGCACTGTGAGGAGGTTGGCAGTGGGCAACGTCCATCCCTCTGCTCCTCCAGGAAAGTGCCAAAGGCTAAAGATGCCTGGTAACAGGGATGCTGCTCCCAATCCCAGTTCCCCCTTCACACCTGCAGCAGGCAAAGACATTGCAGTTAGAGAAGGGGGGTGGTAAGGAAGTAGATGCCCCAACTAACACTGAGCCACAAGAACAAAAGTGAAGACACTCTTGCCCACGAATATGCCCCTTTCTTCCTCCTCACCAAAGGCTAATTCCTCTGCCTCACCCCAGGCTCATCCCTCAGCTTGAATAGCATTCATGAAAGGAAAGGAAAAGAGATTCTCAGCAAAGCAAAAATTCAGAAAATATATTACCAACATACTCTTCCAGAAAAAAAACCAAAAAACACTTGTTAGAATCTTGCTAATCCAGAAATAAATCAAGATATAAAACTCAATTATGAAAACAAGAAAGTAAATGGCAGTGAGAAATGATACCAGCAAATAACATATCTTCCCATATTTGCTTTTGTTACATATGCAACACTAATCAAATGGCACGAACAAAGTGCCATGGGGAGCCCAGAAAAGCACACAGCAACTCTGCGAGCTGAGATGCCATTTGAAATGGGTCTTGATACATGCATAGGGTCAGCTTGCTGGGTAACCAACAGAGGTTGGTATATTCCAGATCGGTGAGCAGCAAAGAGACCTTTGAACACATAGTGTGGCCGGGCGCGGTGGCTCACGCCTGTAATCCCAGCACTTTGGGAGGCCGAGGCCGGCGGATGACGAGGTCAGGAGATCAAGACCATCCTGGCTAACACGGTGAAACCCTGTCTCTACTCAAAATACAAAAAATTAGCCAGGCATGGCGGCGGGCGCCTGTAGTCCCAGCTACTCGGGAAGCTGATGCAGGAGAATGGCGTGAATCCGGGAGGCGGAGCTTACAGTGAGCTGAGATCGTGCCACTGCACTCCAGCCTGGGCGACAGAGCGAGACTCCGTCTCAAAAAATAAATAAATAAATAAATAAAATAAAATTAATAAATAAATACATAGAATGTTCAGGGTATATAGAAAACGTCACTACAAGGACTTCTGATTAAACTGGAATTTAAACTTATTTTTATTTCCACTTTCTCCTATAGTGCCACATGAATGCGAATGAAGGGATTTAAAAACACAAAAATATGCAAGGACTAAGAGATTATGAGAGGAGACAAGTGCAATAAATTTTGGAAATTTGAAGGCAAAAATTTAAGAGATTACTGACCTGGTAGAAGAGAAATTTAAACTCTAAAGTAATAGTGGAGAAGGCCTAAAAGCAGTCTGAGTCACACCAAAGACCACAGAAGGACTTTGTCTGAAAGTAGGGGGTGCAGATGAGGCTTAAAGGAAAAGATTCGGCTAAAAGCTTGAGAAGTTAAGCTTGACTTCTGAGTTGGACTTGGAAACCTCATCGTTACCAAAGTTGTAACACTTTCTCATCCTTGCAGAAGACTGGGGTTTTATTCCCTGGCGATGGTGAACCAGATGATGACTGGATTCTGGGATTCCAGACACAGCTGAGGCCAGGATTGTCACAGTTTGACCTCTTTTTACAATAAGAGTTGTAATTTTTGATGCTTTCCAAGAGCCCTACTGGAAATTTCTAAAGTCAATTTCAGGTCAAAAAGACTTCAATTAAAATTTGATTTGGAGGAAGTTAGTCAAATATATTTAAAGGCTTAAAACATTTAATTAAAATAGAATCACATGAAATTGAGAAATAATAGTCATTTAATCAGACTGATAATTAAAATACTTTGAAGACAAATACAAATAGTTACATACTTGAGAAAAAAATTGACCTTTATTGGAGATGACTATTTTCCCAAGCAACAAAACACCGAAGATGACACACAACATAAGAAAGTATCTTGATGAGACTCAGATTATTTGTGTGTACTTTTTGTTTTAGGACATTTTTAAAACATAAAGAAAAACCTTCCAGAGTGTAATTGTTTCTCTTTGTGGGAAAACTTGCTTAGATAACTCCAAAATCAAATGTGATGAAAGGGTACTTGAATTCAATCAGACACTGGGAGAGTGTGTGTCCAAAATCATGAGTAACCCCCTTTTCCAGAAAAATAATGTAAATTTTAAAACCAGTACTTTCAGGAGGGGAATGCATGGCTTTAAAAACACGTTTTTTCATAGAATAATTTTTATATGAAATAGGGTATTTTTATTAAAAATCTAAATAATTTTTGTCTCCCTATAAAATTTAAGAAGCCAAAAGTAAATAAATTTGAATCTATGTTTAGCAATTAATTTCAGTAGTCAACTTATTTAGAAATGACTCACATGTTTTATAAATACCTATTGTTTAATTTAACATAACTTTAATATTTTAAATTAAAGGACATTTTTCTAAATGTTATCACAGTTACATTCACATGATTTATTTATAAAAATCATACCAACATTACTTTTGAAAACAATGTTTTGTTGTTGTTCTTTTTAGAGACAGGATCTTGCTCTGTCACCCAGGCTGGAGTGGAGTAATATGATTATAGCTCACAATAACATCGAACTCCTGGGCTCAAGCAATCGCCCCGAGTAGCTAGGACTGCAGGTGTGGATTACTATGCACAGCTAATTTTTAAGTCTCTTATAGAGATGGGAGCTTGCTATGTTTCTCAGGCTGGTCTCTAAGTCCAGGCCTTAAGTGATCCTCCCACCTTGGCTTCCCAAAGTGCTGGGATTGCAGCCCTATTAATCATTTTAAGTTATTTTCCCATCAAAGAAACCCTGTAAGTTAAGTACATGTGTTTTTGTTTATTGATGTAGTTGATATACAGAAAGCAATGGACATGAGATTGCATTCTAATTTGTACACAATAAGTCCTAACTTTACATCATCCATAGGTTCTTGGAAACATCTACTTTAAGTGAAAGGATGTATAGCAGCTCCTTAAATAACATTGCTTTGTTCAACATCATTTTGCTATAATGTTGGTGAGAAAATAAAATTGGTTTTATTATATGTCATTTTGCTTAAAATTACAGTTTCCAAGAACTTATTGACAACATTAAGTGAGGACTTATTGTACTTGTTTCTAGGTCACACTCACAGTTTCATGATCTTAAACATCTAATAGAAATAAAGTTGTGTCTCTGTTTACTTTTAATGGTGACATCTTGAAGATATGCTTGCTTTTAATTAAATGAAAAATATTACATTATTAAATTTTTATTGAAGTCACATAAACTTTAAAAGTTTTTTGGTTAATTACTTTTTTGATAAATTACTTGATTTAAACACTTATTTTTCCCTTTAAGCCAACAGATCTCCTTTATTTTTATAGAAAAAAATCATATACATCAAACATATAGATGTAGGAAAACTCATAAAAGCATACAGATGAACAAAAACAAAGTCCTTATGGCAAGACTTTACAGTTTTTACTTAAAAAATGTATTCATAAGTAAAACACAGTGATATAAGCTCATTAATTTGTAAGAAGACAGTTGGATCCATATAACATTTCTCAAAAAATGGAACAAGGTTAAACTTAAGTTTTTTTTGTTTGTCTTGAGAGGAAATCTTATGAAGGTAATAGACCAAATGCTGTGTAAGCAGCCTTCCAATTTATTTGTAAGAAAAACAAGCTTGTAATTTGCCTTTTGGTGTAAAAAAAAAAGTATACAAATTATAGGCCAAAATACATACATACATACGTACATGCATACATAGATAGCTGGCTCTTTTAAGAACTTTTAGAATCTCATTTGTAAGCCCTGGAGTAAGTGAGGTAGTCGCAGCCTTTTAGGGTCCTGTCTAGGTCTGACAATTAAATTAACATAGGATAGATTAAGCAAGAGAAAAAATAAACAAAATACAAGTTTTATGTGCCATGAAAGCCCTCATAAGGAAATGAAGACCCCAAAGAAGCACTTAGAGTGACTCAGGTCATTTACCAATATACTGGATTGGACATAGAATAGTTAACTGTGAAAATGTGACTAAATTATGAGAGAAGGCTTAAAAGATAAGAATTATTCTAAAAGGGTCTGTACTGTATTCTCTCGGTGTCAGCTCCTCATCCTTGAAGATAAGAGTGTTGCCTTTCCTTCCAGTATAGGGAGGGTGTCTTTTACCCAGAAATGTCATCTTCTGCTTTTAAGAAATAGCACCAAGTCAAAATGATTTTATTTTTGTACCTGCTGTTTTTCAATTGTCTTTACTTACATAGTCAATATGCCAGAGTATCTGGGGAGTTTTGGGAAAGGAGGCACAGGAAGGGAGGCCCTGGAGAGGAGTCTCAGCTGGCTTTGAGGTGGTGTTTTGCAGTAAGGCAATATTTGAGTCCTGAAAGCATTTTGATGCCTTGAGATATCAATGAAGGTGTATGTTTCACTGAAATTGCTTGATCTCGTAACTGTGGTCTTCTAATCTAGCACTAAGATAAATAAGCTTGGGGAGTTCAAGTGATCTTCAGAAAGCTTGAATGTATTGTCAGCTGGAGCCCCAGAAGGGGGACCATGTTGGCATGCCTTTGAACTCTGAGAGCCCGTATTGTAAATAAATTGATCTAGGTGAGTTGGCACAAGTCTGAACATGCGAAAGCCGAAATAACCAAGTGTGCAAAATGAACCAGAGAGTAAAGGACATGCTCACCAGAAAGGACAACAAGACCTTTAACAGGAGGGAAAAATCCCTCATAAACAGGAGGCCTCATAAACACGAGGGAGAAAGTCCCTCCTAAACCAAATCCCAGTTGAAACCCAAGAACTAAAACAAAACAAAAAAGAAAAAAAAAAAGGAGAGGGGGAGACTCAATCTGAAAGAGACTTACCGAGACAAAAATAATTAAAACAAGGCAACATGGAGGACTCAAGGGGTCCAAGTACGGGTGTCACACGCCATAGCTCTGGGGGCCTCTGATCTCTCCAACGGTGAGTCTGCTTTGGGCACCACTTTTGACACCAGATTACATCAGCACAATAGTATAGAGAGACGAACCTCTAAGTAAAAAGGCTTTAATTGGGGATTATATACAAGAGGTGAGATTGCAATTTGGAACTTACATACAGAACAGACTGGCCTCTAGTATGTCTAGAGAAGAGAGGAAAACTTTAGAGCTTCTTTGGGGAAAGAGGAGGTTGGGTAAGTTGATTTGAAAGAAAGTTCATTGGGGTTGGCAGTGTCTTACAAGGGCTGGTGAGTTCTGATTGGTGAGTACCAGCACTTGCTAGGCAGGTTTTATAATCTTGGAGTTACAGTTAGGCCTTAGAAGTTTTGGACTGGGTTTGTGAGAGAGAGTGTCAGGCAAGAATTCTTGTATAAGCAGCTAGCTGTCCTTGTCCTGCTATCAGTCCTTGTGTAACTCACGTAGTAAACTGCGATTTGGAAAAGTTGCTTGTGATGTTTCCAATTTTTAGGCCAACGGTGTGTGAGAGCCCTCTCTTCATGGCCTTTCCCAGCTCCATTTTTCCAGAGTTTGACACAAGTGACTTTGTTTTGAATCTGACAGCTTTCCTGCAACCATGCAGCAGGACAGCAATCTGTCCAGGTAGGAGCAGGAGGAGGCACCTCTTCGATAGATGGAACCAATAAGATCCTTGATGCACCTGAATGTATTAAAAGGAGATGTTGGCCGGGCGCAGTGGCTCCCGCCTGTAATCCCAACACTTTGGGAGGCCAAGGCGGGCGAATCACCAGAGGTCAGGAATTCGAGTCCAGCCTGGCCAATGCAGTTGAAACCCAGTCTCTGCTAAAAATACAAAAATTAGCCGGGCGTGGTGGTGGGCGACTGTAATCCCAGCTACTCAGGAGGCTGAGGCAGGAGAATCGCTTGAACCTGGGAGGCAGAGGTTGCAGTGAGCTGAGATCACACCATTGCACTCCAGCCTGGGCAACAGAGCGAGACTCCATCTCAAAACAAAAAAAAGGAGATGTATACTTCTGTCAGATAGTTTATAAACAAATTGATGGTAGGCTTTGTAATGAATTAAACGTATAAAAAAGTGAGACAATTTCAGAGAAAGCAAGTAGGCAAAGAAAAGGAAATACAATCATTCAGGGCCCAGCTGTGGATATTTATTTATGTGATCATAATCATGTGCATAGAATATTTACTGTAACTAAGAATTATGATATAATCTATTGGGAAGGTGGGTGGAGAGGAAGCATATGTTGAAGTGGAAGGTGTATAGGAGAGCTGAATCTTCATCATCTTTCACTGGAGCAAGTCCGTGAACAGTATCTAAAACTTGAACTTTAAGAAATAGCAATAGAAATTTGGCCCGGAACGGTTGCTCATACCTGTAATCTCAGCACTTTGGGAGGCCGAGGCGGGTGAATCATTTGAGATCAGGAGTTCAAGACCAGCCTGGCCAACATGGTGAAACCCCTTCTCTACTAAAAATACAAAAATTAGCTGGACGGTGGTGGCTCGAGCCTGTAATCCCATGTAATCCCAGCTACTCAGAAGGCTGAGGTGGGAGAATCGTTTGAGCCTGGGAGGCGGAGGTTGCAGTGAGTGAAATCGTGCCACTGCACTCCAGTCTGGGGGACAGAGTGAGACCCTGTCTCAAAAACAAAACAAAACAAAAACAAAAATGAAAAAGCAAAAAAAGAAATAGTAATAGAAATGTATTTCTTAAAAGCATGGAGTTAAGTGCCAGGACAAAAAGCTAACATCATTGCAAAAATCTCTCCCCTGGGAAGCAGAGATTTGGAGTAAAGAGGGTAGAGCAATGAAATTAAATTTTTTTTTTTCATTTTATGTTATTCTATTTTTTATACCATAACCCTTGTGGTGTGTTGGACCTTTTTAAACAATGCACAATTACGCTTTAATGAAAAGAAAATTTAATTTTTAAAAAAAGTGTGGTATGACTAGACTTGAGGTTGTGGCAAATGGAGGAGTGAGGCTCTGGAAACAAATGTTTTTGTTGTTGGTTTTGAAACTTTGATTTGATTCTGCCCATGGGCTACCACGATTTCTTCAAGATTCCAGATAATTGAGTTGAAATGAATGGATCATCAACACAGGGTGGGTTCATTACAAATAAATCCTTTTTGCTTTACTAAATTATAGAATCAGAGGCTCACTGTTGAAAAAACTTCAAATAATACAGAAACAAAAGTGAAAGTCTCCTGGCTCTTGCCCTGGACCCGTCATCCTGCCTAGAGGTGGCCACTGTTAATTTTGTGTCTATCTTTCCCTCCCCTGGACTTGCCATCCTCCCTAGAGGAGGCCACAGTTAATTTTGTGTCTCTTCCTTCCCTCCCCCGCCCCACTGGATAGCTTTATTTGAAATTCAGTTTCTCTGCTTCTAATTATCCCAACTTTACAAAGCACAGTAATTAAGGATGTGGAGCTAGAAGACAAAGGTGCCAAAACTGAGAGAGTGGGGTGAGATGTTTATGAAGCTGGCTCAGCCCTGACATATCCCAAGTCACACCGTCATACTGGCCTCTCTCTCCACGATTGGAACCAGCGAACGAGCGGGTGGGCCTGTTTGACGCAGCAAAATTCAGATTCTGTGTCAGCTGCAGAGAGGAAGCGGCCCTAGCGCTGCTCCTTACTCCTGCGGCTGGCGCGCAAAGCGGGAGAGCCGTTTCCATGGAGACCGGGACCCGGGCGATGCGCTTTGGACTTGCTCCTTGGGGCTCAGTAACACATAGAAACATTAGCATGCAGAGGCCTAAATATAGCTGCATTCAGGGCGATTCATCCAGCCTGAAACTTGGCCGAGGCTTTAGAATGAGTGCACTGAGCACGACTCAAGAAGGTTTTCAATATGTTATGGTGTTTACACTATAGTCAGAGGAAGTAACTCACGGAAAATGGCATTTCTGCAGAAGTGCGGTGGCCACTTGGGGGACTTGTCCTCCTGGATCAGTCACTGTCAGATTCCTGCCTGCAGATGTCAGGACTCAACTGAAAGATACTTTTTTTTTTTTTTTTTTTTTGGTCAGAAAATCCCTTTACCGCATAAATATCCTGTAAGAGAACCCAATGGGCAAATTTCTCTCTGGTCATAGAGGGAAACTATTGCCTGTAAATAGAAGAAAAATATGAGTATGCCCCCTTCTCTTCCCTTACCCAAGATTCTTGGGGACTGTAAATTCTTGTCTGCATTATTATGCAGAAGAAATCTGCTGTGTCCCAGCTCCTATTTCCAAGTTGCAGCTGCAAACTTCACTCCAACATGTTGCTATCAACATGCACCACAGCTAGGTGCCCTCTGGCTAGCAGGATGCATCTGCCTAAATTCATTCACTCAATAACTATTCACTGTGCCACTACTGCCTTCCAAACAGAATGCAGATAGATGCAAAAGAAAATGAGACAGCAAAGGTCTCAGGGAGCTTCTGTTCTAGTGAAGGAGACAGACATCAATCAATCAATCCATAGGTAATTTCAGATTTTAATAAATGTTGCAAAGAAAATAAGGCAAAGCTGGAGTGAGAAGATGTAGGGGAGATGCCATGTAGGAGGTCAGCAAAAGCCTCCTGGAAGATTTGACCTTGGAGGTGAGACTTGAAGGACAAGATCTAGGGGAAGAGCTTGTCAGATAGAGAGAAGTGAGGGTACAAAGCCTCCAAGGCTGAGCCACGCTTGGTGGCTGAAATCCTGAGTGAGGGAGCACATAGTGGAAGACAAGTTCAGACAGACAGGCAGGGACCAGGTCACTAGGACCTTGAATGCTGTGCTAAGAAGTTTGATGGTCCTCCTCAGAAGGGAGGCAAGCACGTTACCTTCTGCTACTGGGCAGCAACAACCGCCCACAGGCAACAACCCCCCACAGCCAACAACCCCACCCAATAACTCCATAAGTGGTTCTCCCCTAAGCTCTCAGCCTTTACTATCACACACTGTGCCTCTTGAAAAAATAGAATTATCTCTTCTTCTTGGCTGCCAGGAAGCTCTGAGCAGGATGTAGGATATTTGGGTACATTTTTTAACCATAATTCCATCTGTGGCTTGATTTTACCTTGTCTCTGATTTTTCTATCATCTTAGATCCTTAGCTTTCTCTGTTCTGCTGTACTCTTAGCAATTTTTGAAGCCCATTACAGGCATTTAGGAATGAAGTAGGCAAGTGCAAGTCTGACATCCTTCCCATGTGACTGTGTCTTCCTCTAGCCTGTGCTAATATTTCTACAAGGCATTTATTTTCAGAGTTCACAGAGGCAGGCTGCATTATGACTTTTATGGGTCCCAGCAGTTTATGGCCCCAAGGCAGCAAGAACATCTTATTCAATTATCTGTTTCATTCATGCCAATCTGAGGGGGTAGGGACTGCAGTTATTTCCATTTTACAGCTGTGAAAACTGAGGCTTGGCTCAGCCCAGTAAGCATCAGAGTAGGGGTAGATGTCAGTCAGTCAGAGCCTAGCACCCATGCTCCTCCTCCCAATGCAATACTGCTCCTTATCTGATGCTGACTCGGCCTGGACATGTGGGAATAAATGGGGCCCTTTCCTGTTAATTCAGTCTTCCTATAGGAGCAATGTTCATACCTGTGCAGTGGGCCACGAGCCCCATGAATGTCCCCGAACCCAAAGCTCTGCCTGCTCTTCTGGCTTGCCCAACAACTAGGAACTGAACTTAAGTTCATAGGAGAAAGGCTTGATCAGCCACTGGCCCAGATGTCCAAGCCTATGCCAATACCAAGCTTGTCTGTTTTTTCCCGTGGTTCAGGTCATCTGAGAAAAAGCAAATTCAGGTGCACACTTCCAAAAGGAGAAAGTACATGCTTCTATTTGGTCTTAGGTGGTCTCTTCCTCCCAAGAATCAACCAAATTGCTCATTTGCAGGGAAAAAAACCCAAATAAACAACAAAAACAAAAATCCCCAAATTATCACTAACTTCATTTTCAGAATGAGGACAATCAGGTTTATGGAGATGTGGCTTGCTCAAGGCAAAGTTAACCATGGAGACAGAACTTGAACACAGATCTCCAAAAGCCAAGGCCATGGGCTCAGCCTGCTTTGGGCAGGTGGCACTTGGAAGCAAGAAGAGAATCACCAGGTTTCTAATTCTTTGGGGATTCTCTGTACTGTTGTGCACATTCAAGACTTCTGTGAATATTCACACGTTGGATATTTACAAGGCAGTCCTTGAAGGAGTTGTTATTGATGAAAACACAGTTTGGGACCTGTAAAGAGGTGGTTCCCAGCCTGAGGGTGCCAGGAGGACCACAGATTAATAGGTCACAGGCATCCCTAGATGCTCTCAGCACCATGCCCGGACTGCAGCCTGAATGCAAGGGTTTCACGTCTGTGTTCTGTGTGAATGTATCCTACGCTTAGAAATCACTCATTCACTGGAAGTGCATGAAGTATCAGGTTCAGCCCACAAAGCATAATTTTACATTTTCTATGTCTGACCCTGATTCCTTTTTTGAGTATTTATTTCAAAAGAATATGGAAATGTAATGTCAGTCAATGTAGGGTGATCTCCTCTCTTTTCTCTCGAGTTACGCAGGTGTCTCACACTTCCAGGATCCTGCCCCTCACTTGGCAGGAGGGATGGGGTGGGGCCATGTGGTCCTCAGCATTGTCAAGCTCCCATGCCCACCTCCACTGAGAAGATTTGGTTCCCATATGGTCATGGATCTTCGGTGATAGGCCCTTGCCAGTCACACCTGTGACTTTCTTTGTGACTTCAAGGTCTTGTCATGTCCACTGGATCTGTCTGGGCCGCTTCTGTGACCCTCTAAGGGGACCCAGGGCCCATTCTGTTGTGGCCCACACCACCCTAGTCACTATGGAAGCCTGAGAGGAACCTCCTGCTGCCATGCAGTGGCTTCTGCTCCAAAGATGTTGCCATTTCCGTGAATTTTACTGAGGAAGTGGGAGACGACAGGAGAGCAACAGGGGCATGCTGCAGGTTATTTTGGGATTTTTATCATCTTCCTTCCCTAGAATTCACTTTGGGGCTGGATAAAGCACTGGGCACAGGCTTGCTTCTCAAAGACCACCACATCTATATTCTCTTTGCTTTCCACCAATTTTTACATGGTTGCATTTTATTTCCCCTCTTAGCATATCAACTATTCCTCTTTTTAAAATTTTTAGTGGTTGGCCTAAAATTTGCAATATAAATTTTAAACGAATCTAGTTCAACCCTCAAGTAATACTATACCACATGAAGATGTGTAGCATGGGTCCATGATATCAGGGAACTCCCAAGTTCTCCTTCCCATCCCTTATGGCATTGCTGTTACTCGTTTCACTTACCTATTTGCTGTAACCACCCAATTACATATAATTTTATATCAAGTAAAAATAAGAAAAATGAAATATTTTACTTTGCCTCAATTTATTCCTTTTTTAAACACTCTTTCTTTATGTAGATCTGAGTTTCTGGACTACATAATTTTTTCTTCTCCCTGAAGAACTTCTTTTAACATTTCTTAGAGGGCAGGTCTGCTGGTAAATAATTCCCTCAGTTTTTGTTTGAGAAAGTCTTTTTTTCTCCTTCTCTTTTGAGGAATAATTTCACTGACTATATAATCTCAGGTTGGTGAGCTTTTTCTTCGAATACTTTATTTCATTTCATTCTTTTCTTGCTTGCATGGTTTCTGATAAGATATCCACTGTAATTCATATCCCTGGTTCTCTATAGGTAAGGTGTCTTTTTGCTCTGCTTCTTTCAATATTTTCTCTTGTCTTCGGGTTTTTTGAAGTTTGAATGTCATATGTCCAGGTGTAGATCTGTTGGTATTTATCCTGCTTGCTGTTCCCCAAGCTTCCTGGATATGTGCACTGGTGTCTGTCACTCATTTCGAAAACTTCTCAGCCATAGTACTTCCATTATTTCTTTTGCTCCATTCTTTCTTCTTCTTATGGTATTCCAATTGTGTGCGTGTTGCACCTGTTGAAATGGTCCCACGGTTCTTGGATATTCCAGTGGGTCGTTGTCATTTATTTTTCTCTTTGCATTTCAGTATTTCTGTTGAAATTTCTGTTGACCTATCATTAAGCTCCTTGATGCTTTCCTCAGCCATGTCAAGTCTACTGTGAGACATTAAAGACATTCTTTATTTTCGTTACAGTGTTTCTGGTTTCTAACATGTTCTTCTGATTCTTTCTCAGAGTTCCAATTTCTCTGCTTACACCACCCTTCTGATAATTCCAAAATCTTTGTTATATCTGAGCCTATTTTGCTGTTTGTTTTGTTTCTTCACACTATTGTAGTGGCTTATTACTTACTGCCATTTTAAGACAAACCTATCATGAAAGGTTTTCCTGAATACACACAAAAAAATTTTCTCATTACGTTTATTCTCCACTAAAACAGCTACCATGTAAGAGTCTATAGAATTTACATATAATAAAGGAGTCCTTATATTTGGAATGCTTGAAAACCTCTGTTTAAAGTGCTTCATACATTCTTAATTATAATTCCTGAAAACATAACAACAAGGTCGGCTGGGCTCGGTGGCTCGTGCCTGTAATCCCAACACTTTGGGAGGCCAAGGCAGGTGGATCACCTGAGGTCGGGAGTTCAAGACCAACCTAACCAACATGGAGAAACCCGAGTCTTAACTAAAAATACAAAATTCGCCTGGTGTGGTGGTTTATGCCTGTAATCCCAGCTACTCGAGAGGCTGAGGTAGGAAAATTGCTTGAACCCCCAGGAGGCAGAGATTGCAGTGAGCTGAGATGGTGCCATTGCACTCCAGCCTGGGCAACAAGAGTGAAACTCTGTCTCAAAAATAATAATAATAATAATGATAATAATAAATAACAACAAGGTCACCTGTAAAGGTGCTTTGGGAAGGGACAACCTTTTCAACAGAGTAGAATTCCAAAACCATTAGCCATATTTACCCAGTAAAAATACAGGCTCTATAGTTAAACTTAAATTTTTGATATAAAACAATGTTTAGTATAAGTATTCTCCATGCAATATTTGCAATATCTGGCAACTGTAGTTGGGCCTAAAGAGGGATTTATGAGGGAGGGCGAAAAGGCCCTGGTCGTAGATATAGATGGGATAAGTCTTAGGGGAGTTACACAAAAGTTTAAAGAGATAAAATAAAGAGCTGAATGAGATGACATTTGTGAAGTCCATTTCTGAAAAATGTTGACCTATGATTAAGTCAGTGATTCCCAAACTTATTACACCCCAGGAACCTTTATTACAGTGTTCTCTATTCATAGCCTATGACCATCTAAACGTTAGCTCTTTAATCAGTACCTGGTTCTATGACTTCATCAACATCCAGTTAGAGCTTCTGATTGGTATGAGTCAACCGCTGATGATAAAGCCATTTATCATCAGACAGATTCATATTAAATTGAAATGATTTCAGCCACAAACAAATTAATGCAGCCTGTAGGTCTTCAGATCGTCCCCCCAGGCAGATACACTCTAACACTAAAGAAGTTCTAGGATCTTGAGTGACACTGTTGATCACCCTGGATTTTATACTAGGTCATTAATCAGATAGAGTGATTACTGTACTATAGATTATATTAACAAAGTATTGAAATTATTTCCTCCCTACCTTCCAACAACAAATTAATCAGGCCAAGCTTTGCTTCCAACTAGCTCAACAGAAATTGACCAATTCTTCTTTCTCTTTCTCTCCTCTGGGAAATTCCATCAAAGCAGATGTGGTGGGCCCAGATGTGTGAGCACAGGGATAAACTGGTACTTAAAAAACATGTAGGTAGAATTAGAAAGTCTGTTAATTAAATAACAATTAGAACAAAGAAATAGAATTAATTAGAGGAAAATCTAATGTCAGCATAAATAGCTTCAAACTGCAAAATAATCTTACTCCCAATTTAATTGCTTGTGTAATTAGAGTTAATTGCAGAGTAGAGGTTTGGTTAACATAATAAAATGTTCTTTTAAAAAAATAGCGATTAGATAGTTAGCCAGAGCATTTAAAAGTGAATATTTCCAGGAATATTGCAGTGGTTTGACACATGGACTTTGGTGGCAGACAGACATCACTTGTTGTATAACCCTGAGCAAATCTTTAGCATCCCTAAGTCCCACTCTTTTTAGGAGCAAAATGGTAGTGAAAACACTTTCATTTGCAAAGGAGTTTTTCTGGGAGTTAAATGAGGCTTGGTGGGTAAAGTGCCTGCTTGACGTCTGCCACATAGGCAGGAGTCTGTCGATGGCAGCTGTGACGAAGTTCCCTTCTACAAAGCACTCGCATTACAGTTCAAGTTTCCCTATTTGACTTCCACATCATTGTGGAGACCAGCAATGCAGATGGCTGAAATCATCAGCATTGTGAATGGTCCTCTATCTTCTCCTGTCCCTCACTCACTTCTTCCTCTGGGTGAATAAGTCATCCTGGTGGTGGTTGTTTTCGTCATTGCTATGTTTGGTCAGTGCCTTCATTTATTAGAAGCTTTTCTGTAGTAGCGTTTAATTTGATTCTCCCAGGAGATGGGATACACTGCAGTACCAGGACTGTGTAGGGACCTCAAGCAGGCAAGTTTGCCTGAAGAGCTAAGGAACTCAAAGAGGAAGCTGGGAATTGCCCATCACCTGAGGTTCAAGCAGAGGGGGACCAGCTGGCAGGAAGGATGGAAGGACTTCAGCATTATTTGGGTCTTCCAGGTAACTGTTGATGGCAGTGATACATATTCCTCTCTCCTCAAGTCTCCATAGATGGGAAGAAAAAGTATGGGAGAAACACACCCATATCTCTTCTTCCTTCCTCTCACTCCACCCCTGATTGGTGAGTTTTGGATGTCAGAGTCATGAAGTCAGAGGCCACCAAGAATACACCTGTCGTTAAACACCTTGTGTTTATTACTCATTGAGCAAGGGAGAATGTATACCATGGGGTGTCTCAGTAGGAGAGAGTTAAGGAAGACTTATTAAAGGATCAGGGCTAGTGTAAGGTCGTCATTTTGAGGAGCCTTTAAGGAAACTGGGCTTTGCTCCAGGTTGGATGCTGTCAGGAAGTGGAGGTAAGTCTATGACTGGGCATCTCAATAAATCTTATCTCTAAGGAAGGCAGGCTAGAGTGAGCACCTGTCAGTGGTCATGCCAGCAGGAAGAGGGAGATAATTGGGATTTTGTGGTTTTGACAATGTTCTTACTATTGTCTGTGTTCAGACATGACTTCAAAGTCGTCTTGCGTTTGTCTTGCTCAATCATGGTCACAGAGTGCCCTTGTCTGATGGCAATGTTGGAAGAAACTGTCTTTACATTGAATAGAAGACCAAGCTCCAGCTGTGAGTGCCAAGCCAGCTCCTGGATGTCAGTGGCTGTCTTTCTCAGGGAGGAGAGAATGGGTAAGCTCTGAGTTCTGTGTTTTGAATCTACCTGCTCCCCAGAAATGTCCCATTCTTGTCTGCTCTCCGCTGTGTGGCGAGCTTACCAGTTCAGAGCTCTGCCCCAGCAAGACTAAAGACCAAAAATTTGGGTGATTAAGTTTCAATTCAGAGACAACTTTTTTTAGAAAACCTACAGAGACCATTTATCTAAAGCCTTACTTTTTAATCAGTTTTTTGAGTAACAAAGTGGGTAAATGTTTATCTCTGCCTCCTGTGCTTTATTTCTCAATTGGTTCCAAACTTGAGAAGGAAAAGTATTCTATATGGACTCCCTCTAAAACCTTGACTGCGACCTCTATGGCTATCCCTGATGGTAGTGTGTCCCCTACATGGCAAGGACAGTCACCTGGCAGTGTCCCTTGTCTAGAAGACGAGGCAGCTTTGATGTAGCCTGGTAGTGCTCAATATGTGGCCCCTGGACCCAGCAGGTATTCCTGGGAGCTTGATAGAAAAGCGTATTTCCTGGCTCCACCCCAGACCTACTGAATCGGAGATTCTGGGATGGGGCTCACCAATTCTTGCCTAACAAGCCCTCCAGATGATGCTAAGACATGCTCCAGTTTGAGAATTGCTGATAAAGAGGAAAGAACATTGGATTAGGAGCCAGAAAAAGGGTTCCAGCCCTGCTTCTGCCTTTATTAGCTGTGTGATCTGGGGATAGTCCTTTCTCTCAGAGAAGCTGTATTAATATGTTCTCACACTGCTAATAAAGACATAGCCGAGACTGGGTAATTTATAGAGGAAAGAAATTTAATTGACTCACAGTTTCACATGGCTGGGGATGCCTCACAATCATGGTGGAAGGTGAATGAGGAGCAAAGTCACGTCTTACATGGTGGCAGGCAACAGAGCTTGTGTAGGGGAACTCCCCTTTATAAAACCATCAGATCTCATGAGACTTACTCACTATCACGAGAACAGCACAGGAAAGACCCACCCCCATGATTCAATTGCCTCCCACCAGCTCCCTACCATGACACGTGGGAATTATGGGAGCTACAATTCAAGATGGGACTTGGGTGGGGACACAGCCAAACCATATCAGAAGCCTTAGTATTTCATCTATAAAATAGAGATAATTTCTAATTCTCAGGCTTCTAGTGGAGGTAAGATGGGAAAAGTCAGAGAAACATGCTAGAAAGCTACATAAATTTTGATTATATCAATGTTTTGGTTTGAGTCCCTACGTGGCTGAAACAGTCTCTGTTTCTAAGAATATTCTAAGAATATAGAATATATATATTCTTATATATATCTAAGAATATATATATTCTTAGATATATATAAGAATATATATATTCTTATATTTCTAAGAATATATATATTCTTATATATATTTGAATATATATATTCTTATATATATTTCTAATATTTATATTCTTATATATATTTCTAAGTATATATATTCTTATATATATTCGAAGAATATACTTATATATATTCTAAGAATATATATTCTTATATATATTCTAAGAAATATACATTCTTATATATATTCTAAGAAATATACATTCTTATATATATTTCTAAGAAAGAAAGAGAAAATATATATATATACTTCTAAGAATGTAGCACAGATGCTTTCTCACTGTTACACAAAAATTAGATAACTAATAGAAAGATATCTGTCTTTCCCTACGACTTAGCCCTCATGTTCTTCTGTAAGATCTCAACCCATCTCCAATACACACAAAATTTCATTTATTCAGCAAGCCAGTGTAGCTGGTTTTTCCACTGTGGTCAGTGTGGCTGGACAGTATGGGAGGGGAGGCAATAGAGGCCATCAGGGGATGTTAGGTCAGATTGCAAAGAGCCTTACCCTCTGCACCTAAAGGTTTGGTTGGACCTGCTGAAAGTTAGGCAGAGCAGTGGCATGGCAATATCTGGGTGTGAGCACTGTTCAGTGTGCAGTAACAGCATATCTGGTATGTAGGTTTGTGTTTTTTTTTTAATTATGACACAATATATATAATGTAAAATTTGCCTTCTTCACCATTTTCAAGTGCATAGCTCAGTGGTGTTAAGTATCTTCACATCGTTGTGCACCCACTCTCCAGAACTCTTTTCATCTTGCAAAACTAAAACTGTACCCAGTAAACAACACCTCCCCATTCCCCACCCCTAAGTCCCTGGCAATCACCATTCTACTTTCTGTCTCTATGAATTGACTAGTCAAGTTACCCCATATAAGTGAAATCACATTATTTTGGACACAGGCTGGAGTGCAGTGGCCTGATCTCAGCTCACTGTAGCATCAACCTCCTGAGCTCAAGTGATTCTCCTGCCTCAGCCCCCTCAAGTAGCTAGGACTGTAGGCGCATGCCACAACACCGGGCTAATTTTTTAAAAACGCTTTTTGTAGAGACAGAGTTTTGCCATGTTGCCCAGGTTGGGCTTGAACTCCTTGACTCAAGCAGTCCACCTGGGGGCCTCCCAAAGTGCTGGGATTACAAGTGGCCGCTGCACATGGCCAGAATTTCCTTCCATTTTAAGGCTGACTCGCATTCCATTATATGGATATGCCACATTTCACTTATTCATTCATCCATTAGTGGCCGCTTCAGTTGTTTCCACCTTTTGGCTATTGTGAATAATGCTGCTATGAGTATGGATATGTTCATGTGTCTTCAAGACTCTGCTTTCAATTCTTTTGGGTCTACACCCAGAAGTAGAATTTCTGGATCATATGGTACTTCTATTTTTATTTTTACTTTATTTTTTTTTTAATAATGTACTTTTATTTAAAAAAAAAAAACCTTTGACATACTTCAGATTTTATGCAAGTGGACAGAAGGGAATGATAATATCTGTAAAGTACAATCAAGTTAATGCCCTGATGCCTTAAAACAGATCGGCTGATCACCACGGGCACCACACTCGCCAAGTCTTAAAGAAAACATGATTGGGTTCAGCCTAAGTTCTTACACACCAAATGATGGGTGTAACTGCCTTTGCCTCTGCTTTGGTTTGCAAGGGCTTTGGCTGGCTGCCTGGTCCCGGAGGCCCCCATTTCACTGCACAAGCACACTGGTACTCTCTGCCACTTGTTTTGGCAGAAGGGAATTAGCAGTTCTTTAATTTCTGTTTTCCATACACGAAATTCCAAATAACTACTTGCTCTCAGCAGCATGATTTATAATCCTTTGGGTACATACCCAGTAATGGGATGGTTGGGTCAAATGGTATTTCTAGTTCTAGATCCTTGAGGAATCGCCACACTGTCTTCCACAATGGTTGAACTAGTTTACAGTCCCACCAACAGTGTCAAAGCGTTCCTATTTCTCCACATCCTCTCCAGCACCTGTTGTTTCCTGACTTTTTAATGGTCGCCATTCTAACTGGTGTGAGATGGTATCTCATTGTGGTTTTGATTTGCATTTCTCTGATGGCCAGTGATGATGAGCATTTTTTCATGTGTTTTTTGGCTGCATAAATGTCTTCTTTTGAGAAGTGTCTGTTCATATCCTTTGCCCAGTTTTTGATGGGATTGTTTGATTTTTTTCTTGTAAATTTGTTTAAGTTCTTTGTAGATTCTGGATATTAGCCCTTTGTCAGATGGGTTGATTGTAAAAATTTTCTCCTATTCTGTAGGTTGCCTGTTCACTCTGATGGTAGTTTCTTTTGCTGTGCAGAAGCTTTTTAGTTTAATTAGATCCTGGTACTTCTATTTTTAATTACTTGCGGAACTGCCATCCTGTTTGCCACAGTGGCTGCACCATTTCACATTCTCACCTGCCGTGCACGAGGGTTCCCATTTCTCTGCGTTCTGGCGTTGAGATTTTTGGGTGCTCCACACACCTACAAGATGAGAGAGGAGACTGAAAGCCCGTTCCAGTCATTAATTTCTCAACAAAGTCAAATCTCTAAAGTCCTGCTTACATGCAGCAAGCAGACCAAGTGGAATGGGTATCTTTGAAGGAAGGGGTCATATTTTATTTACATCTGTATTTTCAGGACAGGGCCCAGTGCCCGGCTCTTGATGAACGTTGAATGATGGGATGAAATGAGGAAAACTGTGCATTAGGGAAAAATGGGGGAAAAAGTGTGGTTCATTTTCTTGGCTTACTTTGGAAGGGACACAGTTCTACAGGGCAGTTAGTCTTCAAGATGGGATCCTACCACTAAGTTCTATGGGGCTCATCTCAGTAACTGCCAGGGGGCCAAGCAAATTGTAACTGGTCCACAGATGAGTTACAGATACATCCACGCAGCGACACCTTTTAAATACAGGGTTTCCGTAACTCTCACTGCAAAAACAGATGTATCATTCCCTGGGACCCAGCCTGCCTTTCACATGTGACCAGGTGAAGTGGGGAGGGGATTCCACTTGGCCACATGTGGTAGATGCTTCCTGAAAACACACACCCTCTCCATGCTGCCCTTCTGTGCCCCTGACTTCTTCCCAGATGTCTGGATATTTGTGGTCCCGGCAGCCAGTGGTAGGGCAGATGAGATCCACCTTTGATAAGTAGACATATCTGTCTGTCCCTGTCCGGGCTGCAGCCAGAGAAAAGCCCGGGAATGCCTTCTCCCCTGCATCCGTCCTGCCACCCTCCTGCCCCAGAGGTCTCTCCCTAGATTTGCACCAAGGCTCTGAGACTTCACAGAAGGTCTAACCTCAATTCTTCCCAGTCTGCCCGTATGGTGTCTCATGTAGAGCGCTCATGAGCATCAGTGGCTTACAAACGACAGAAAACCTGTGTATTGGGTGGAAGACAGAAAGGAATGCATTGCAATGGCTGGAAGGGTACAGGCCCTGTCCTGTGACAGCCACATCCTGTGCACACTCCACTGTGCTTTGCTATGTGCTCTTCCTATTGCCAGAAATGCCTTCCCCATTACTTTTATGCTTGGTAAAAAACTGCACACGTGCAATTCTTCTCCCTAACCCCTCCCCAACCTTGTGGAATTATTCTCTGTCTCTGTCTCTGTCTCTCTCTCTCTCCTCTATACTCTTATATTGTTTCTAATACTTTGTGATATCAAAGATTACTACTGGCATCACTGGTTGAACCCAGTCCTCCTTTGTGTTACATTTTGCCTGCACACACTGATTTTTTTTAATGGGCCTGGCAGCCTGGTATGGTGACTCACACCTATAATCTCAGCACTTTGGGAGGCCAAGGCAGGAGGGTGGCTTGAGGCCAGAAATTCGAGACCAGCCTGAGCAACAAAGCAAGACCTTGTCTCTGCAAAAAATTAAAAAATTAGCTGGGCATGGTGGGGTGCTCATGTAGTCTGAGCTACTCAGGGGGCTGAGGCCTGGAGAATTGCTTGAGCCCAGGAGTTCAAGGCTGTAGTGAGCTATGATTGAACCACTGCATTCCAGCATGGGCAACAGAACAAGATCCCAATTCTAAAAATAACTTTTTAAATTAATTGGCAAAATAGCAGTATTCTGAAATTTTATACAGGCACCAAACCACATTTGGGTTGTTCTTTACAAATTGGAAGATCCAGGCACCCTGGACTATTTTATTGCATGGCAACAGTCGGGCAGCGCTGAGCTTCTGGCTGCCTTTCCAGAGAGGCTCATGGACTCTGATGTGCAGGTGGCCCCACTGGGTACCTTTTGGCCACTCACACCAACCTGCCCAGTCCCTGTGGGAGGTGGGTTAGCAACTCCTGAAATACAGTAGCCTGTTGATGTGCCTGTCTTCTATTCCAGTAGGTGTTATCTTCTTGATGGTGGAATTGTGTTTCATTCATACTTCTAACCTTCTGACTCTATTCCAGTAAGTGTCACTTAGTTGGTGCACGCACACCCCTCAGAAGAAGCAAAGATAGCCATTGTCTGCCTAGAGCGCGTTCTACAAAAGTGGGCCTTTTTCAGCCATTTTGGATCCGTCAACATAAAAGCCTGTGATGAAAGCATATTAGAGGGAGCCATGCAAAAGCCAAGCCAGGAAGCATTTACACCTTCCAAGGGTATTCAGGCTCTGAAGCTTATCTTAATGCTAGAATGTAGCTTTATTTCTTGGTGTGTCGATCTCTCATTTTTCAGTCTTTCTCTCTGTTTATCTGTCATCACATGTAGCTACCCGTCTACCTACATGTGTGTGTGTCCATATGCACACCTATGGGACCCTCTCTGAAGTTCCCCAAATCCGCTTTGCCTGACTTTGTGTGTCATCTGTGGCTATTTGCACAGTAGAGAAGGAAGGTGAAAGACAGTTTCTGAGTCCAGCTGGTTTTTAATCTTTTTGGCAAAAAAAAGAAAAGAAACACACAGAGAAAACTGAAAACAACCTTCACACGCCTAAACACAAAGTCTAGACTGTGTGGGGAAGTCATTTGGGATAGTAGGCAATTGGGTGACAGAGTCCAACACGCTGACGTGCATGCCATGCTATTAATGTTCGAACTGCTTGGTCGTTATCCAAATTCACTTTAAATAACACCAGAATTTTTTTTTTAATTACTCACTTTTGCCTGTCTGGATTTGAAGTAATGGAGAAAAAGGAAGCAGCAGCAGAGGTTTTTTTTTTTTTTTTTTTTTTTTTTAATCTCAGAAGTATTTTTATCTTTTTCCTGGAGACATTTCCTCCCGGGTGTTGCATGAAGTGTTATATAATGAAATGATCATAGGATGGCATTTTTTCCTTCCTCAGGCTTCAGGGGATGCAAGACTTTGCATACAAGATAGATTAAATGTAACCTTTAATTGTCGAAATTGTGTGCTAAATAAGCTAAAGCTCTGAAAAGAGAACAAATAGTAAAGGCTTGTAGGTCCCAAAGACATACTATTCCCCCATTGTTTTTTTTAGCGTGGTAAAATACACGTAAAAGGCCAGGCGCGGTGGCTCATGCCTGTAATCCCAGCACTTGGGAGGCTAAGGCAGGTGGATCATGAGGTTGGGAGTTCGAGACCAGCATGACCAATATGGTGAAACTCTGTCTCTATTTAAAAAAAACAAAAAAATTAGCCAGGTGTGGTGGCGCACGCCTGTAATCCCAGCTACTCAGGAGGCTGAGGCAGGAGAATCGCTTGAACCCGGGAGGCGGAGGTTGCAGTGAGCCGAGATCACGCCGTTGCACTCCAGCCTGGGCAACAGAGCAAGACGCCATCTCAAAAAAAAAAATACATGTACCATAAAATTCACTATTGTAACCATTTGAAGTGCATAGTTCACATTGTTGTGCAACCATCACCACCATCCATCTCCAGAACTCTTTCAATCTTGCAAAACGGACACCATGTACTTATTAAACACTAACTCCCCATCCCCTCCTCCCCTGGTAACCTCCCTTCTAGCTTTCTGTCTGTATGGTTTTTAACGACTTTAGGTACTGCCCATAAGTGGAAACATAGTATTTGTCCTTTTGCGACTGGCTTATTTCACTTAGCAAATGTCCTCAAGGCTCATTCATGTTGTCTCCTGTGTCATAATTCCCTTCCTTTTCAAGGCTGAATAATATTCATATGTATGCCACCTTCATACGTATTATTCATGTGAATAGTATTCATAGACATTCCATATGTATGTGTCAAATTTTGCTTATCTGTTCATCTGTTGATGGACACTTGTGTTGCTTTCATCTTTTAGCTACTGTGAATAATGTTTCAATGAACATGGATACACAAATATCTCTTCAAGACCTTGTTTTCACTCCCTTTTGACTTGTATCCAGAAGTGGATTTCTGGATCTTATGTTCATTCTATTTTTTAGTTGTTTGAGGAACTACCGAATTGTTTTCCACCACAGTTGCACCAGTCTACATTCCCAGCAGCAATGCATGAAGGTTCCCATTTCTCCACATCCCAGCCAACACCTGTTATTGTCTGCTTCTTTGATAGTAGCTATATTAATGGGTGTGAGGTGGTATCTCACTGAGGTTTTGATTTGCATTTCTCTAATGATTAGTGATGGTGGGCATATTTTCTCATGCTTTTTGGTCATTTGTATATCTTCTTTGGAGAGATGTCTGTTTGAGTCCTTTGCTAAAGGCATACCTTTTGAGATAAGAATGAAGAACATTCCCCCATGTTAAGGTAGCAGGGTCGGAGGAAAAGAAGACTTGGGTGTACTGGGCACTGATTAGATATAAGGCTCTGTGCCAGGCATTGGGAGCCCCATGATAAGCTCATCTGCAGGGAGAGAGAGAAGCAAACTCCAGACAGGAAACACCCTGAAGATGGGGGGTGGATAGCAATTCAGATGGGTCCTGGAGGCCCAGTAAGAGACTGGGATCATAGTGACAGATGCATGACAATCTAGTGAGGCTGGGGGCCTGTTAGGGAGAAGAGAGATGGGACAGGGTTGGTGGGACAGTGGGGCAGGAGTTCAGGAAAGGGCTAAACTCCCTGAAGGGCCAGGCTTCAAGAGGGAGCTGTAGCAGTGGTTTAGAGCAAAGGGCATTGGATCTTGAGCAAGTTATATAACCTTTGCTAGCCTAAGTTTCTTCATGTGTAAAACAGGAATAATAATGCCAATTGCATGAGTGTTTAAATTAGATGATGTCTATTAAGTGCTTTGCAAAATCTCATGCTGATAGCAAGATGCCTGGGAAAACGTAGCTTTTCTTATTATCCAGAACCTGGGCTCTTAAGAATGACAGATTCAGATCAGTCAGGTTCTAAATACTTTGTTATTTCCACAGTACTGCAACGAAAATTTATGAGGTCCATGCCAGACAAGCAAATACAGCTGTTGAGTAGAGGTTTAATGTTTCTCATGTAGTGTGGTTTTCCTACATTTTGCTGTTATCACATTTTGCTGTGCCAGGCCCTGTGCATGTGATCTCATTACGACTCAACAATTTATAGGGTAAGGAATTTTACATCCATGTTACAGGTGAGAAAACTTACACTCATAGACAGGGAGCAACTTGCAGAAAAGGTGGATGGTGAGTAGACAGTGGCACCAGGATTTGAAGTTGAGTCTGCTTTGACCCTACATACAGATCTTCCCATTATTTTATCTTATATATTAGATAAATAATGTTTATGATTCACATTAGGCATCTTCAGGGATCTTGGCCTGTTTGGGCACTTGGTGTCATGATTAGATAAGGCTTACACTGCATTCATATTTCTTCCTGCCCTCCTCTTTTAATTTCTCTTTATTTCATTTAAAATTTCTTCCCTTCTTATAAGCCTATGTCTTCTACATCTCCACATTTAGCTAGGGGAACATCCAGGAGGGATTTCCTCTTTTGTCTTTGTACACATGGTCCCTGGAGGGCTGTACCTTTGATCAGGGCTCAGCAGCCCTAACTGCTGTGCTGGCCATAGGCAACAGAAAGGAGATGGCTTTGCCCATTCTGAGCATCAGAAGCAGCACAAAGCTGGAGTGAGGGATAACAGGGGGCTTTCAGCCTCCTGGAGTTGATGGGGGACACTAGGAATGAGAGGAGGAGTGGAAAGGAGGCAAGCGAAGGAAGGATGTGGGAAGAAGGCAGGAATAATACCTCATGGGGCAATATCATTATAGTCCTCAACTCTTCGCCCTGTTCTCTGAATGTATTCCATTTCCCTAGAGCTTCCGAAGGTCTACTGTGCTTGCTAATGGCCAATGGCCACAAACTCAAAAGTCTAAGAGGACTGTGTACTTTACCGAAATGAGTGATGCCGATCAAATATATCTGTTTACTTTCACTGTATTATTGCCTATTTTATTAGCACTCTAAAGCAAACCTTGCAGTGATTTTACTTTTCAGTTCATTAAGCGCTTCATCACACACCTTCGCCATAGACTGGTTATAGTTTTAACTATTTCTTGTTTTCATGGTGTTTTCAGTTGTTTTCTTTCAATACAGATTCTCTGTATTTACATATTAAACCCATAAGAATATTTTTAACTTCTGCCAAAAAAAGTTCTCTCTAATTTTTCTTGAAACACATGGCCCTTTTGCTTAACAGTTTGTTTTTCTCTTTTGATAGCGGCATAGGAACAGAGAAATAGTCCTCTTCCCAAAGCAAAGCATCAGTGTAAGTGATGCGTGCTTACTGTCACTTAGCCACTTGGCCTCAGGGTCAGGAAGACAGACAATAAGGAGTGGTGGGGACTGTGGAGAAATGCTCTGTCTGGAGGAGACTTCACTACTAAGCTCCAGCTGAAGCCTGCTGGGTGTATGTGCGGGGTGTAGACGCTGCAGGAAATGCTGGTCCAGTGTTGGCTAGATATTTTGATTTTTCAAGAGAAACTAGGAATTCTGAGCTTAATGTAAAATCTCCAGATTAGTGAATAATTGCTCATTAAAAAAAAATCATTGTGCAGGCACAAAGAAACACTTTTGGGGATCACATCTTCCCCATGGATTATTGAAATATGACTTTGGTAAGCCGTGGGATCACATTGCTTCATCCTAAGATTAATTTTGCCCATTATGCTGTAACAGCCCCCTGATCTAGCACCATTGGCATTTTCCCTACAGAACCCCAAAAAACACTTGAAGGCATTGCACACATTGATTACTCTTTCCCTCTTGAAATTCTCTAGTCTAGAATTCTCTTCCATTTCTTCAAAGGTGACATGAGGACATCTATGCTTGCTACAGGCCAGTGCTTCCCAAATTGGGTCATTTGAGAAAAATTTTTTTTCTTATTTGTGTACACTTGTACTATTGTTGATTTAACATTGTTCTCTAAATGTACTCATTTTCTTATTTAAATAAACTTATTTTGAAGAAAACTTATACAATTACCAAAATGGAAAAGCGGCATCACTTCTTATATTTGTCAGGGTAAGCAATATTAGCTGTTATAACAAATAATCCCCAAACCTGGTGGCTACACTCAATAAAGGTTCTTATTTATTTTATTTTTAAAAACTTTTTAAAATTCAAGTCCAAAACAGATAGTTCTGGTTAGGTATTTCCCCTCTAAGTATTTTCCTCTTCTTCTTGTGAAACTACCATCTCAGCACTTGGAATCTAAGGTTTTCACCAATGGGAAAGAGAGTTTGTGATGAAAGCACATTAGAAACTTTGCCTCTTTGGCTGAACAATGACATACTTCATGTCTACTCATATACCACTGTGATCAGAACTAGCAATATGCTCCTCTCCAGATTCAAGAGAGCAGGAACGTGTAGTCAATGGCTGGGCAGTCACTTCCCAGCAATAACCCTACACCGTGAAGGGGAAGCACAGATTTCAAGTGGTCAGTTAGCCGTTTCTGCCACAACTGCCATCAAAGGTAATTGGAAAAGAAAATACTATAAAATATTAGGTCCTGGATGCCCCATCTCTATTCCTGAAGCCTGTCTTCACACTGTTGGATCAGAGACATGCTAAAAAGAATCTTCCCCTTATCTCCGGTTCTCTAGAGGCTGTATTTGAAATGAGACCTCAGGTCATGACATAAACCTAGCCAGGCTACACTGACTCTCATCAGCCCTCCGAGCATACCGCCTAAAATCAACTCCTCAGCACCAGGGACCCCACAGCACTTGCAAGAAAACACTCCCAGAGACTCAAGAGCCACAAGGCTTGGTCCTCAGCTCATCTCACTCAGTGGTGCCCTGACATCCACCTTCCATCCTAAGCCAGGTCTGTCTCCCAACAAGACCCCAAGGAGAGCTTGGGAGCATTTTACTCTGTGGGCCCCATCTCCCTCTGAAAATTGTTGCTTCTCTTGACTTCCTTGGCACTGTACTCCCTAGTCATCCTTTTATGTCTGTGATTGCATCATCTGTCTCCTATAAAAGAGGTCTATGTTAAAAAGTTGGAAATCAATGATCTTCGTCCACTTCCTTCTTTATAGGCAAACTGAGGGCAGAGACAAAATTAAGGATGTAGTCTCTCCACCTGTTATGAACTTAGTTGCGTCCCCAAAAATTTACATATAGAAGCCCTAACTCCCATGATGACTGTATAGGAAGATAAGGTTATTTAAAGAGGTAATTAAGATTAATTAAGGTCATAAGCTATGACCCTAATCCAGTAGGACTGGTGTCCTCAGAAGAAGAGAAAGGGATGCGAGGGCCCTGCACACACAGAAGAAAGGCCATGTGAGGACAAACCACATGGAGTAGGTGGCCATCAACAAGCCAAGGAGAGAAACCTCAGAAGAAACTCATCTTGTGAACACCTTGATCTTAGAGATCCAGGCTCTAGAACTGTTTGAAAATACATTATTTTTCCTGGTCATTCAAGTCACCCAGTGTGTTATGGCAGTCTTAGCTGACTAATACACTACCCAAGCTTGAAGACCTCAGTAGCTGCTATTAAGTTGAAAGAGGGAAGAAGGAAGGTGAAGAAACAATGAAATAAATTAGAATAGAGAATTACACCTAGAAAAATATTGTGGGTATAGCTACTGGAAGATGGAACCGATTGAAAGTAAATGGATTAGAAGTCTACTATGTTGTTGAGGGAATTCTACTACCGAAGATACTATGAGACTAGACCAAAAAATACATAAATAAACAAATAAAAAGCAAACTTTGAGTATTTGATCCCTAAAACCCTTGCTTGGACCCTCCTGAGTGCACCTACAGGAAGTAGATTGAAAAGGTGCATGGTCTCCAAGAAATGCTTTCTTACCAACACCTGTTTCAGATGTCTCCAAGGAGGACAATGGGCAAGGAAGAACCTCCTAGAAGGCAAAGGAAGGTACCACAGAGAACAATGGACAATGGAATTTTCTGCAGCCAGCAGATTCTGACTTTAAACATGGAACTGCCACCACTGATGGAGCAGAGTGACCTCAAAATGTCTGATCAGCAGGATTTAATCATCACTATGGACCAGTGACAGCTGTGTCTGACCCATACCTCCTCTGCTGATATTCATTGAGTGTAGAAGGAGAAGGAAGATACATTAACTTGTGAACCATGAGCCAATAGATCAAAAAGAGCCATGCCTAGGCCTGATGGCAAAGACTCCACTACATACCACATTGAAATCTGGTATTCTTGTAAAAGAGGACAGCGTACTCTGTGCAGGAAGAAGGGTGAATATGAATATTTGGTCATCAGAAAGGAAGCTTTCAGCAGAGATAGTTAACTGTCCACCAAAGTTAGTTACAGCTGGGAAGTTGACTATCATGGTGTCTAGAAAGCAAGAAGTTGGAGATAACAGAGGTTCCATCAGCCTGGGCCCTAAATAACTGCACAGAGAAGACCTCCCATCACCATTTTTGTTTTAAGTCACTGAAATTTTGGAGTTCCTTTAATGAAATACACTTGGATTACTAGAACAGTGTCTGAGCTGGTCTCCTTGAATTACATTCAAGCCACCTTTCAATTCATTTTTTAACCCAATAGTCATTGCCTTTTAAGATATAAATCGGGTCATGATGCAACTTAAGGCCTTCTAGAAGGCACCTCAGTGTGCCTAGAAGAATATCCAGGCTCCTTGCCATGGTTCATAAAAGCCTGCATGATCCGACCCCACTGGTGCCTCAGATCCATTTCCCCCTCACTGGTTCTTTTGCCTGGGATGCTCTTCCCCAGGCTCTGCTCACAGCAGGCTCTTTTTCCTTCCTTCAGACTTCAGTTCATACATCTCCTTGCAGAGCCTGGCCCTGACCCTCATCCAAAGCAGCCTCACGTTGTCAACGCCTATGGATGCATACTCTATCATCATTCTCTGCTATTTTTTTTATTCATAGCACATATAAGAATCTAAGACCATTGTGTATTTATTTTTGTTTATTTTATGTCTTCCTCAATGAGAATGTGTATTGCATGAGAGCAGGAATTGCGTCTTGTTCTCTGTCATATCTTTCAGCCTCTAGAGCAGTGCCTATAACAGAGAAGGTGCTCTGAAAATGGTTGCAGAACAAAGGGGTGAGTGAATGAACACACACATGAATGAATGGCACACTTGGGAGGACCTGGTGAGGGCAGCACTCACTGGAGGCAGCATGAGGGGCAGAGGTGAAGATGAAGGCTTTTCTGATCTCTACACCTTTCAGCTAAAGGGCCCGGTGCTGACTTTCTTCATCCTTAGTGGACTCCAATGTAGCACAGATATGTTATAAATGACACTGACATTTGAAAAAAAGCAGAAAAGTAAACTTTAGGGGAGGCTCATTGTCAAATTACAAGGAAACAGGCATTTTCATTAAGGATTGGTGAAATGACCAAGGTAGATCAGTACAAAGACAAACAAAAAAGCCAACAATGGATATCAGTTGCCCTTTTATCAGAAGTCTATCTGGTATCTAGACCTGCAGGACCTACCTGAGACCACTGTGGTGAATTGGCTCTGGTTCATGATCACTCCCTTATTCATACCCTCTCTGCCATGTGACTCTGCAGTCTTTCACCCAAGGGGAAGGCCCTTTAACATTGAGCTTGGCCATGCGGTACTGACTATGGCCAATAGATTGTTAGTAGAAATGACGCAATCAGGGCCATGAAGTCTGTTTGTGCACTGGGGCATGTCCTCATGCATCTCTGCCATTGCCATGAGAAGGACATGCCCAGGTTAATCTGCTAGTCCCAGGAGGCCAAAAGACATTTGGAACAGAGTCACCCCAGCCAAGCCCAGCCTAGATTAGCTCATCTCTAGCCCACCTACAGGAATGTAAGACAAAATAAATACTGTCATATTAAGCCATGGCATTTGGGAGTGCTTTTTCACACAGCGGTACTTGGCTGCTATAGCCACCTACCCCGTGCCCTTTAAAATGGGCCTCTGGAGCTCTCACTAGCCCACCATACCCATCCTGATCCTCTGAGAAAGCCCATTTCACTCGGTGCTTCATTAGCTCTGCCCAACCTTTCTGGCAGGTGGTTGATGCCTGTTGGTGACAAGTCTCCCTGCTTGTATCTGTTGCTTGTTCCCTCATGTCTTAATCTCTCCTCTAGCTGCCCTCTTCAACCATGATGCTGATTCCTTCTTGCTTCTATGGTGTTGCCAAGTGCAGGGAAGCACACCACCCAGATCAGCAAAGGCCGCCTATTTGAACTATCTGGGAATAAGACAGCGGCTCATTCCTCTGTTCTTACAGACACAGAGTGCTGGCCATGATGGGAGCCCACAGGCAACTGGGCTGTCCCCATGAGGAGCCCCACTCCTGATATGCAGCTACCGTAACTAGCTCATTAACAGTGTCTGTCAAAACCTTTCTCTGGGACTGGATCAATCTAATGCTCACAAGAGGCAAAGTTTTGTAGGAATATTTATAAAGATAAAGAGAGCCAATGGCCTGGCTTTTAATTCTTTCTTCCCCCAAAGGACTTTAGATCATAAAATAAAAATTTTTATTAGAAATTAAATTCCCATGTGTCCCTCCCATTTCCCTTTTCTTCTTTGCTGCTTCAAAGGGTTTCTGGCTTCCCCTTTGAGGTGCCCTATCAAATACGCACATGGCGGACAGAGGGTGCAGTGTTCAAGGGAAGAGCAAGACGAAGACTGCACCACACCCCCCTGAAATCTGCTTTAATCTCAGCTCTGGCCCCCACTCTCAGTATTAACAAGATGTTTTCAACCCTCGATCCCCAATTACCCATTGATTTTCAGGCCCATGTTCCTTGCTCCAAATCTAAACAGACTGTCCATCAGCTAACTACTCTTTTCTTTGAAGTTCCCCATATACTATTCTTCCAGTTCTGCCCTATTTAGAAACCCTCAGGGTCTCCCTTTGCCTTCAGATGAAAGTACAAACTTCCAGCAAGACGTTCAATGTCCTTCACAGCCCTTCACCAATTTTCTTCCTGCCCCTCTGATCATCACCTGTCATGTATACTACACTATAGATCTTTTTCCATCTTTATAAAGTTTCTTGGCCTCACAGGGGTCCCTGAGCCCCCACAGATATCTGGGAGCATGACTGATGCATTTGGTTGTGTTCTTGTATGCCTGACACAGGTCATAACCCGAAGGAGAGCAGCTTAACAGAGTGGCCTGAACACAGGCTTTGGGGCCAAGCTGCTTGAGATTCAAGGCCTGCCTGCACTTCCCATTGTGTATATGACCTGGGACAATGATTCAAAGTTTCTTCATGTGCAAAATCTCAGTCTGATGCAGATCCAGCCATTCTCTTCCATGTGGTGACACAGGACCCCAGGTTGCATCTATCCCATGTCTCCTGCCACCTTGTGGCTTCAAGGCCTCCCTGATAACATCCAGCCAGCAGATGGGGTTTGGAAGATGGAGTTCAGGAACAAGAAAGTGTACACATGAGGCACCCATAAAAGAGAAATGTGGGGCCTGATGGCCCTGTACTTACCTTGTGTGGCACAAGAGAATAGGTTGATTACAGTCCTCCTTCCAAGTACAAGGAGAGGGAGCTTATGCAAACTTTCAGCAAAGCAACTTTTTAAAACCTAAAGAATCACTGAACTTGGCCTAAAGCCAGAATTTTGCAAGGGTGCCTTTTTGTCACCCTCAGTGATGAATCTGCTGCTTACTACTTTGCCATGTATTAGTTGTGTGCCTTTGAGTAGGTCCTACACCTCTCTGAGCTTCTGTTATCCCATTTGTAATATGAGGAAAACAGCCCCTCCTAACGGGATTTTTGTGAGGCTCATAAAAGATAACAAATGTGGAAGTGCTCAGGAGGCTGCAAAGCAGGCCATGTATACATGTAGAAGTTACCCTCCCAGTTCAGCACGGCCGCAATTTACATTATCTTAGCAGCAAACCTTTGCCAGCCAAATAGTCTGTGTGACTTCCCTTTCCTCATTGCAACCCATTCTCTTTACAAATCTGTTTTTCCTTTTCAGGAGATAGAGGCAGGTGGCACGCTGTGTAAACCGTGAAAGAGATTATGAAAATATCTGCAAATCTTGTGCAGTCTCCAGATATTCCAACATAAATATTTTCTGGAGGCTAGTCCAATTTCCTGGTCCAAGGTGAGCTTCAAGCTATGTGGGAGCAAATCTCCCGAAATCTGTCCCTTTGCAAGGGACTCAGTGAGTGAGATTCAGCCAGAAAGGGCTCAGTTTAAAGTTCATTCCTCCCTTTCTGCAGTAAAAGTAAGCCATGGGTGTGTTAGGTATCTTCTCCAGCTAGTCATTACAACCATGTCGTGTTTCCACACCTTTGCACATGCTGTTCTCTTTGCTGGTACTGCCCTTTCTCACTCTATCCAGTTGGTGTTTCTTTATTAATCCTCTATGAAGGATGAGACTAGAATGCCTTCCCTAACAGCTTTATCCTGAGAGTTTTCTACTTTGTCTTCCTTTGTCCATCATCATCATCATCACTATCACCACTACCGTGATTATCATCATCACCATCATCATTGCCATCACCATCACCATCACCACCACCATCACTACCACCATCATTACCATCGTCCTCATCACCATCATCATTACCAACACCATCACCACCACCATCATTATCATCACCATCATCACCACCATCATTATCAATCATTATCATCACCACGACCATCACCATCATCACCATCACCACCACCACCATTATCATCACCATCATTACCACCATCATTATCAATCATTATCATCACCACCACCATCATTATCATCACCATCATTACCACCATAATTATCAATCATTATCATCACCATCACCATCACCACCACCATCATTATACTTATCATCACTATCATCACTACAATCACCATCACCACCAGCAGCAGCAGCAGCATCATCGTCACCACCACCATACTATCATCACCATCACCATCATCATCACCATTTCTTTCTTTTTTTTTTTTTTTTTTTTTTGAGACTGAGTCTCGCTCTTTCACCCAGGCCGGAGTGCAGTGGCGCTATCTCGGCTCACTGCAAGCTCCGCCTCCTGGGTTCACGCCATTCTCCTGCCTCAGCCTCCTGAGTAGCTGGGACTACAGGCGCCCACCACTGCGCCTGGCTAATTTTTTTTGTATTTTTAGTAGAGACGGAGTTTCACCGTGTTAGCCAGGATGGTCTCGATTTCCTGACCTCATGATCCGCCCACCTCGGCCTCCCAAAGTGCTGGGATTACAGGCGTGAGCCACCGCCTAGCCCATCATCACCATTTCTTACATTTACTGAGAGCTTAATATTGCTTAGGCACTGCTTAAACACATTGCACTCAATTCTCACACCAACCCCATGAAGAAACGGGGTAGTGAGATGAGATGACAGCCCAGGTCATAAGACACATGACTACACATGGCAGAAGTGGCTAGGCAAGCCCAGGACAGCGTATCCAAAGAGTGTGCTCTTGGCCATCACCCTACAGCTTCCCTCCCACACCCATCTGCTCCCCCACCAGACCATGAGCTCCCCAAGAGCTGAGGTTGTGCCTTATTCACCCTTGTGTTTCCAGCCTTCACTAGGGGCCCACTACAGAGTAGACATATAGAAAATTTCTCTACATAAACACACAAATGAAAGGATAAATGAGAGTAAGCTCCTCTAAAGCAGCTCTGGATAAAGAGCTCAGCATATAGAAGCAAAATTTCTTGAAAGAATAAACAATATAAAGATAAACGGGACCCTCCAAGTTTGGGGCCCCTATCACTCTTCACAGCTCATCCTGGCCCCCACTTCGGACCCAGGCCAATGTCAGCATCTTTCCTGGCCACCCTGCCACCAATACCATATATTATATACATTTATAATCCAGAGAAGAGAACGGTCCAGGGACTCAGCTCCATACCAAGGGTATTCAAGGTGCCCTCCCTCCCTCCCAGCCAAGGTGCATTCAAGGTGATCCCAGGAAAACCCATCACCTCTGATATTTCTGAAGTCCTTGCTCTGATCATCACCAGTTTTCCTGCGTTTCAGTCCACAACCCTGCTATCTAAGTAACCGCCAATGACTGAGAGCCTTCTAACTGCCAGACTCTACTCTGGGGGCTTGCTTTTTATGCACAGTCTCCAGTCATTATTATATGCTCTGTAGTCAGGGACATGTCCCATTTCATAGCTGAGAAAACCAAGGCTCAGAGAGATGACATGGCTTGTCTCATCTCATACATCTGGTAAGGGGAGGAATCAAGACCCTGGCCTGGGCCTTTCTGATTCCAAAACTCAAGATCTTTATAATATCTCAGAGTCTCTTCTTCCCACTCCTAGACTGTTGTCTGGGACTGTGGTGCCAGTTTAACTCTCACCAGTCTCCTGGGGTTGTCCAATGCCCCAGGACCACCAGTTATGTATGGCCACATCTCCAGGCAGTGGACATCCCATCTGGCCAACACTGACCACAACTCACAGTCAGCCCTGTTGGGTCTCTACTGCTAGGTCATAAGCTGCATGGATGCTGGGTCTGCATTCGGACTCTGTGTGCTCTGCCCTGGAGTCCAGGCTCTATTCCGCCCATCCATTCTTGCCATCCCCAGGGCCAGGCCTGGCAGCTGCCCCGGCTCCCCTATTCTGCCATCCCCAGCCAGCCAAAGCAATGCCAAACTGTGCAGCCAAAGCAACCCCTTTGGAGCTCACCCTCTGTCTCCTGCAGGGGCAGCCAGAGAAATCCCTGGCCCGGAACATGCCCTTCCCCAGCAATTTGCAAGAAGGCCTTTTGCAATGTATATCTTCAGCGCCTCTGAAGCAAATGGGAATGGATGGGCTCACTGAGCAGAAAATGCCAGAAGGCATTCCAGATCTCAGAACCCCAAACACAGGCCTTCTGTGAGGGGACTGAACAGACAGGCAATGCTGGGGGGAAACTCTAGCCCCGTGGCAGGGTACACAAGCTCAAAGAGCTATTTATAAATGCTACTGTGTTTCTTTTCAAGGCAGCTACCCAGTGTGAATCAGAATAGGGCAATGGTTCAAGAAGTCATGTAGACACATCCTAATCATCCTCCTCTGGCTGGCTCTGTGGCCTTCATTCAACATGCAGTAACTGCTGTTGAGAACCTACTATGTGCTAGGCACAACGCAAGGTATTGGGGATACAACGATGAATGGCACTGACAAAAACAAACTCTGTTATCATGGTCTGGCAGTAGGGGAGGTTCCTAATAACTAAGTTGGCAAAGAAACAAATGTACAATTATGGGTTAGAAAGATGTAATGGTGCCAGTGAAGAAAAGAATGAGAGTATAAGGTAAGTTAACAGGAAGGGATTTTTCCCTGGAGAGGGTGGCAAAGAAATGTTTCTCAGAAGAGGTTTGAAGCAAGACCTGAAGGATGGGGAGCCTGCTATAGGGAGTGGACAAGGCACAGGCCTAGAGGCAAGAAGAGCTTGGTATGGCCAAGAAATGAAAACAGGTGCCTGGAGGAGAGTGCCAGGGAGGGGGATGGTCAGCTGGCACAAGATGAAGGTGGCAAGGCCAGTAGGACAAGGCAGGACATGGGTTGGGTGGGCCGTGAAAGGACTTTGGACTTTTGTCTTAACAATGAATTGGAGGGTATTTTTAGGCAGAGGAATGACGTGATCCATTTTACTTTGTTTTCTTAAAGATCTCTCTGGCTGCTGGTGGATTGGAGGGAAACAAGAGTGAAATCTGGGAGGCCACTGAGAAGGCTCCTGTGGTCCCCCAGGAGACAGGAATGGCAGTTTAGATGAAGTAGGGGTGGCAGTAAAGATGGAGAGATGGGAGTGTGTTCAAGAGAGTTTTAGGAGGCAGAAGAAATGAGTATCAGTGATGGATGAGTTCTGGGGGCTAAAAAGAGGAAGATATCTAAAATGACACAACTGGGTGAATTTAGTGCTATTTCCCATGAGGGAGAAGGCTAGAGGGAAAAACAGGTTGGAAAGAAAGGAGCTGGGGGAGGGGCTCTGGAGTCCCGTTTGGGACATATATGTGGGAGACCTCCTGGTAGAGACAGCAAGTGAGCAGTCAGAAATGGTCGATAGCTCAGGGGAGAGGTTCGGATTGAAGATCTAACTTTGGGAGTTATTAGCTTAACGTGTTATTTCAAGCCTTGGAACTGAGTGAGATTTTCTAGGGCAATTACGTAGCAAATTCGAAGAACTCAGGACCAAGCCCCAAGAAAATCCAACATTTAGAAGTGAGGCAGTTTGCTTTGCCTCTTTGGACCTCATAGTTCCCATCTGTAAAATGGGCTGATAATCATATCTGCCTTGCAGAAGGATCACAAGTAGTAAAGCACCCAGTAATGCTGGACCTCCGGCCCTCCTCTAGTTGGGCACATTGGCTTAAGGACTTGGGTTTGAGGTTTTGGCCTAATCTCTCACTTTTGTGTGACTTGAAGCTATAGTATCTGTGTGTTACAAAGCACTTTTCCAGCTGTTTTCTCTTTCCCACTTCCTAACACTCTATGAGCACACTTATGAATGCTTTCTTCTCACATGGCCAGGGTGTTTAACATTGTGCAGTGTGTGGGACAGTTTCTCATACCAATCACATGTCCTCCTACCTCCCTGGCTGCTCCTTCTCGGTCTCTTTGCTGGCTACTTCTCCCCTTCCCGTCCCTCAAAGATTATGTGGAGTGCCTCGGGGATCTCATCTGGACCCGACCGCTGAGCACATGCTGTTTCTAGTTATTTCATTCCTCTCCATATCTTTAAATACTACCTGGTACCAAGGACTCAGAGTTCTCTAGTTCCAGCTCTGGCCTCTCTGTACAACTCCAGCCCACCTGTTGGTCATCATCATAATAATGTCCAATGGAAAATTAAAATTTAACACAATCTCAAACTACCTTTCCCCCAGCCTTCCACCATCTACCTTTTAGGTCTCAACATGTACCAAACTGCTCATGTCAAAAATCAAAGTGTTAGGCCAGGCACGGTGCCTCAAGCCTGTAATCCCAGCACTTTGGGAGGCTGTGGCGGGCGGATCACGAGGTCGGGAGATCGAGACCATCCTGGCTAACACAATGAAACCTGCTCTCTACTAAAAATACAAAAAAATTAGCCAGGTGCGGTGGCAAGCGCCTGTAGTCCCAGCTACTCGGGAGGCTGAGGCAGGAGAATGGCATGAACCCTGGAGGCAGAGCTTGCAGTGAGCCGAGTTCGCGCCACTGCACTCCAGCCTGGGCGACAGAGCGAGACTCCGTCTCAAAAAAAAAAAATAATAAATCAAAGTGTTAATGGGATAAAGCAATATTCCATTGTGTATGTATTTACACATGGAATATTATTCGGCCATAAAAAGAATGGAATCCTGTCATTTGCAGCAATACGGATGAGCCTGGAGGACATTACGTTAAGTAAAATAAGCCGGGCACAGAAAGATAAATATTGCATGTTCTCATTCATATTTGGGAGCTAAAAAAGTTGATCTTATAGAGCTAGATAATGGAATAGTGGTTACCAGAAACTGAGAAGGGTAGGGTGGGGGTGATGAAGAGAGGTTTGTTAATGGGTGCAAAAAGACAGTTACATAGGAGGAATAAGTTCTGGTGTTCTATTGCACAGTGTGGTGACTATGGTTATCAATAATTTATTGCATATTTCAAAAGAGCAAGAAGAGAAGATTTCGAATACTCTCCACACAAAGAAAAAATAAAATTTTGAGGTGATGTTTTGATTTGATCATTACACTCTGTATGCATGTATCAAAATATCCCATAAACATGTACAATTACGTTATCAATTTAAAAAACTGTTCTGTCCATGTGTTAACTTTTATTCCACTTTCTTCACTCTCCATATTGAATCCATCAGCATACCCCATCAATCCTGTCTGTAAAACATATACCCCTAAGGTATCCAGTTCCCTCCATATTCACTGTCACCTTGCTAGTCTGAGCTCCATCTCCAAATTCCTTATTGTATGTCCAGCCCTATGTCAGCTGGCCCCTACCTCTCTCTCCCTCTGATCATGACTGAGGCCAGCCCCCCAGGGCTTACCATGCTGGTCACACTGCCCTCCCTTCTGTTCCTCACACGCTCTTGCGTTGATACTGCTGTATGATATCTCTGCCCAGCTGGCCTTTCTGCCTGGGACAGCCTTGCCCCTGGTCTTTGCAGGGCTGGGTAATTTATTTTTGAAAAGGGTTATTTGGCTCATGATTCAGATGGCTGGATAGTTGAAGATTGTGCATCTGCTTCTGGTGAAAGCCTCATGTTGCTTCCACTCATGATGGAAGGTGAAGGGGAGCTGGAGTATGCAGAAATCACATGGCAAGAGCCAATGCAATAGAGAGGGGGGAAGTGCCAGGCTCTTTTAACAACCTGCTCTCATGGGAACTAACAGAGTGAGAACTCACTCATCCTGAGGGAGAGCACTAATCCATTCATGAGGGATCCACCCCTACTACCAAAACACTTCTCATCAGGCCCCACCTCCAACACTGGACATCGCATTTCAACATGGGGTTTGAAAGGGACGAACATCTAAACCATAGCAGGTGCTTACCATAGGTCCAGCATTTTACATGCATCATAGCATTTAATCCTTACAGTCATTCTAACATTATCCCCAGTTGATAGGTGAGGAAACTGAGGCAGAAAGAGGTTAAGTCTGAAGTCAGAGATCTAAATGAGTGGTGGACATGGAGTTCAAACCCAGATTTTTCAGACTCCAGAGTCCATGTTCCTACCTTTTCAGATCTTCCACCTGTCTCAGAAGGTAGGCAGAGCAGAACGGAGGTCGTCCCCGAATTCAGTAGGCAAAATGGTAGGCATCTCTTCTTATCTCCTCCCTTTCTTTCTTTCTTCTCTTCCTTTCTCCCATTTTCCTCTTGGTATCATTAATAATAAAATCTTCAGCTTGTCAGGGGAGAAACCCAGATTGGAAGACAAAGAAAGAGTAAAAGCAGGCCATTCATGGTGGCTCACACCTGTAATCCCAGCACTTTGGGAGGCCAAGACAGGTGGATCACTTGAGGTCAGGAGTTCGACACCAGCCTGGCCAACATGGAGAAACCCTGTTTCTACTAAAAATACAAAATTAGGGGCCGGGCATAGTGGCACACACCTGTAATCCCAGCTACTTGAGAGGCTGAGGCAGGAGAATCACTTCAACCCGGGAGGCGGAGGTTGCAGTGAGCTGAGATCACACCACTGCACTCCAGCCTGAGTGACAGAATGAGACTCTGTCTCAAAAAAAAAAAAAAAAAAAAAACCCGGAACAGCAAATGGCTTCAAAAGAACAACAATTCTCACCAAATTGATGAGCTGTCATCTGGTCTCATCATGGCTTATTTTCTTCATCTTCTGATGGGGAGATTTGTGATCCCTAACTCACAGATCATTCACGTGAAAGTTCTTTGTGAAATGTGAAGTGCTGGGCAAAGATGACCAATCTATTGATTCAACCAAAGCTTATTTATGGTTGTGCAAAAGTACACTCTAATATGCTGCCTTTCCTGAGCCTTGCAACAAACACAATATGAAGCTTGCCTCATAATGATATTTTGGAGGCAACATTGAAAGTGTAGTTACTGGGGACTGTTGTGGGGTTGGGGGGAGGGGACAGATAGCATTAGGAGATATAACTAATGCTAAATGATGAGTTAATGGGTGCAGCACACCAGCATGGCACATGTATACATATGTAACTAACCTGCACATTGTGCACGTGTACCCTAAAACTTAAAGTATAATAATAATAATAATGAAAAGGTGTAGTTACAAAATCCAGAGGAGTGGTGGGAGCACCTTTCAAAATTTGACCTGGAAATCCTCCTCTCCCAGGCAATAAGCCACTAGGCCCCATTCTCCCAACTTCCTACACATCTTTCTTATATCAATTCCTCCTCTCTATAACCACTGCCCCTTCCTTGACCTGACCTTCCCACTTTCCCAAGACTGTTGCAAGAGGCTATTCACTGTTCTTCCTGCCCACATCTCAGCCTCCTCATGCTCCAGAGGGCCCTGTCTGAAACACAGGCATGTACATATAACTCTGCTTAAAATCTTCCAGTGGTTCCCCTGGCATCTGAAGCCCTGCCTCACATATCCTTTCAGTTTTATCTCCCACCCCCTCTCCTCAACCACACATAGAAATATACATGAGCAGGCTGTCACTCTGTATAATGGTGAGATCAGATATGGCTCCCTCCACGCCTACGCTGAGAACTCCTGGAGGGGAGCGGCTTTACTGGTTTCATTTTTCAGGCCCTCCACAGTGCTTAATCCAAGGGAGTGCAAAGGAAATGCAGGCAATAAGTTTTTGCAGGTATGACTTTCAATCTACAAATTTAGATGTACAGTGAAATCAATTTATTTTTAACTGAAGTTTGATTCATGCATTGATTCCACCAGAACGTAGAAACTAAAACTCAGTCAGTAAGATCAGTAAGGTTCATGCCCCTATCTCTGGAGTTACATCTCTCCTGGGGCAGGGCATGCTGCTTCACAGTGTAAGGCATTGTAGGAAGGGAATTCTGGTCCTTGATGCCTCCCTCTCTTCTAGTGTGTATCCACTGAGCTGTTCACATTCCCAGCTGGTTTTTAGCACCAGGAACCATCAGTGCTTTCCTCATTCTGACCATCAACCTCCCCTGGCCTCTGGCCAATTCTCATATCTTATGGCATTCTAGAGGAATCTTGCCATTCTACAGGAATCTTGATGAATCTGCCCAATGAGTACCCTATCTCCATACTACTGTAAGCCACAAGGAGAATCATTCAACTGCTCCCTTCAGCACACTGGGGCAAGTGGGAGCTCTCTGAGACTGATTCAGACCAACTTCCCTAGCTGCATTCAAAAGTCATTTCTAATATAGAGTTCCTATCCCCCATGTAATGTTGACCAGTTGAGAATTCTGTGGGGCATGCAGTGCCCCAGGCTTCACCCAAGAAATGAGAGTCAATTTCCCTCTGCTGTTGACTCTTTCACCCTTTCAGAGTCTATCGCCTCCATTCCTCCCATGGACCACACGTGGGTTGTGAAGTGGAGACGCAGCACAGAGCCCCTTCTCAGGGGCACACTGATGTCAGGGTTTTCTTGTTTCTCCTCTGATCCCTCCTCCTTGAGTGAGAGAATCTTTCAGGTCTGACCAGGCACTTAATTTTTCAAAACCACTGTCCATGACAGAAGTCAGCAAACTTTTTCTCTAAAGGGCCAGGCAGTGAATGTTTTCAGTTCTGTGGGCCATCTGATCTCTATTGTGGCTACTCAACTCTGCCAACATGGCATGAAAGTAGCCATAGAAAACATATGATAATGAGTGTGGCTGTGCGTTAATAAAACAGGTTGTGGGCCAGATTTGGCCTGTGGATTTGGGTCCATTTGGCTGACCCTGGTCTATAGATAAAAGTAATCCCAGTTATTGAGTGCTTGGACTTTGAAAGCTTAAAGGAGAGGAGCTTGCAACCCAAAATATCAAATAAAGTACCTTTTTGTTCTCCCATGCTGAGCTGCAATGGTCCTTCCCTTAGGCAGGTAGCATAAGAGGCCCTAGTTTAGATGTGCTCAGCTGCCTCAGGTGGCATTTGAACAGAGTGGGAGGAGACATTGGGGTTGTCACAATGACAGGGATGGGGTATTGTTAGTGTATTAGTCTGTTTTCATGCTGTTGATAAAGACATACAGGAGACTGGGCAATTTACAAAAGAAAAAGGTTTAATTGGACTTAACAGTTCCAAGTGGCTGGGGAAGCCTCACAATCATGGTGGAAGGCAAGGAGGAGCAAGTCACATCTTACATGGATGGCAGCAGGCAAAGAGAGAGAGCTTGTGCAGGGGAACTCCTTTTTATAAAACCATCAGATCTCATGAGACTTATTCACTATCACAAAAACAACACAGGAAATACTTGCCCCCATGATTCAATTACCTCCCACTGGGTCCCTCCCACAACATGTGGGAATTCAAGATGAAATTTGGGTGGGGACACAGCCAAACCATTTTAGTTAGCTTTTAGTGACCAGAGGCCAGGGTGTTTAACATCTTGCAGTGTGTAGGACAGTCCCTCATACCAGAAACTTGTCATTCCCCAAAGGCCAGTAGGGCCCCAGTGGGGAGCCATGCCCTAGCACTGTCCAGAAAAGGACAAGAAGGAAGATAACAAGCAACCAGCACTGGGAGGTGGGGGACACATTGGTAATACAGTAAAGTACAAGCCCACAGCAGAATCAACCTCGGGCAGCTCTCCAGTGGCCTGCTGGTCGTCTCTTCTTGTGTTCTCAGGGGTGTCTTGCCCTGGGTCACCAGTAAGAGTGTTTGGAGCCCCAGGGCTTCCGAGCATTTTCTCAGGATGATGGAGGGTATCCCCTCCAACTCACGCTCTGTCAAGTATGGCCCCTGGCTGTCCTTTGTCCTATGCATCCACTTCCACCTCTCAGCTAAGGGCACTTTTTCCCATGGTTGTACAGGAAGTTAAAGTTAAAATCCATTAGCTGTGCTTGGCAGTAAAAAAATAAATCTTGTCTTTGTTCCAACCCATGTTTTTCTGGTGACTCATTCAGACTATAACACGATTTATTAGTAAAATTGTCCTTTAGGAACAGGGAAGGAAGAAACCCAGAGGGCTCACCAGCCCCAGCCCCCTGCATCTGGACAGAGTGTCTACCTGCTAAGGCAGTGCGTCCACCCCATCTGCAGCACAGATGTCAACCTGGCCCAAGGCTTTCTTGCATGTAATTGTCCTACAGGTAGGTCCATGTCCCAGGCCTTTCCTGAGACTCCGGGCCAGGGTCTTTGCTGAGCCCTAGTACACATATGCAATTACATCAGCACCCCCATCCCCAAAAGCTCACTGGCTAATAGAGGCCTATAGATAAAGAGTTAATCACAGTGTAACCAGTAAAATAAAAGAGAAAAGAAAGAAAATTCTATGGGGGAGTCAGAGGAGAATTTGCCCAGCTTGGGAGAGTCCAAAGGCTTTAAAGAAAAACAACTTTCGGCCAGGCACAGTGGCTCACGCCTATAATCCCAGCACTCTGAGAGGACGAGACGGGCAGATCACGAGGTCAGGAGATAGAGAGCATCCTGGCTAACACAGTGAAACCCTGTCTCTACTAAAAATACAAAAAAAATTAGCCAGGCATGGTGGCGGGCACCTGTAGTTCCAGCTACTCGGGAGGCTGAGGCAGGAGAATGGCGTGAACCCGGGAGGAGGAGTTTGCAGTGAGCCGAGATTGCACCACTGCACTCCAGCCTGGGTGACAGAGTGAGACTCTGTCTCAAAAAATAAAGAAAGAAACAAGAAAGAGAAAAAGAAAGAAAGACAACTTTTCTGTTTCTGTGTTAGTTTGCTGACGATAATGACTTCCAGCTTCATCCATGTCCCTGCAAAGTACATGATCTCATTCCTTTTTACAGCTGCATAGTATTCCATGGTGTATAAATACCATGTTTTCTTTATCCAGTCTGTCATTGATGAACCTATGCAACAAACCTGCACATCCTGCACATGTACCCCAGAACATAAAAAAAGAAAATTTTAAAAATAAAAAGAACCAGTAATGGTGGTTCACGCCTGTAATCCCAGCACTTTGGGAGACCAAGGCTGGCAGATCACGAGGTCAGGAGATTGAGACCATCCTAGCCAACATGTTGAAACCCCGTCTCTACTAAAATACAAAAAATTAGCTGGGCATGGTAGTGTGCACCTGTATTCCCAGCTACTTGGGAGGCTGAGGCAGGGGAATTGCTTGAACCTGAGAGGCAGAGATTGCAGTGTGCCAAGATTGCACCATTGCACTCCAGCCTGGATGATAGAGTGAGACTCTGTCTCAAAAAAAAAAAAAAAAGAGAAAAAAAGAAAAAAGAAAGGCAACTTTTGATTGTTATTGTGCAAACCAAAAAAGTACTTGCTCATTGTTAGAATAGCGCAAAAGGGTTTATAATTTTAGGAAACCATCAAAAGAAGTCATTCTTGTGTTGAATTTTGAGAATTAAGTAGATGTTAGCTGAGAAAAGACAGTGGAAAGAAGACTGCATCCTAGGAAGAAGGCACAGAGTGAACAAAGGCATGCAGCAAGAAAGAGGATGGTGTTTAGAGAAGGAGCAATTGGCCAATGGATTGTTCTTGTTGCACTATGCGATGTGACGAGGGAAGTGGCATGTGTGAGGCGAGGGAGACTGGAGGGGGTGGAGCAGATTGCACAGGCCTTCTAAGCCATGCTAAAGAGCATAGACTACATCCTGTGGACAATGGAGAACCATGGAAAGGTTTAAGGCAGTGGTTCTCAACCGGGGACAATTCCCCTTCCACCCCTGGGACATTTGGCAGTGTCTGGAGACAAATTTAGTTCTCACAAATGGGGTTGGGGTTTTACTGGTATCTATTAATAGTAGGAAGAGGCAAAACTTCCCACAATGCAAAGGACAACATCCCTACAGCAAATAATTTCCAGTTCAAAATGTCAATAGTGCTGAGTTTGAGAAACTTGGTTAGCGTAAGGAGTCACCCCATCAGATCACTTGATATTGGTGGTAGGACCTCTTAATTCAACCTAAAGCCCCTTGACTCCTGGGGAAGACAGCAGTCTCATGAAACCTATGTGTTAGAATTGGAGCTTTCATCTACCTCTCACTGCCCAGCCCTTGGAACAGTGTAAAGAGGGATGAACTGGGGTATCTCACAGACTGGGTTTTAGGTTTACCTCTGCTCGGTCACAATGGTTACCTTGAGCAGGATATTTGCCACCTCCCTAAAATGCAACATCCCATGTTTAAGTGAGGGTGGGAACATCCATTCCACTGAGCACTCCTGGACAATGTTATTCTAAAGAGTGTGAGAAACACAAGGCCACGTTTATGTCCCTTTTTGCTTTAGAAAGCAAGAGGCTCAAAGTTCCGTTGGAATTTAATAATTGAAAGGCTCTGTGACGTGAATATCTGTGCATCCATTTTCTCCTTAACCTTGAACTCTTGCAGTGGTTCAGAATATAATGAAAGTAATTTACATTTATTTGCTAGAGATTTTTAAAAATTTACTAAGGTAGCTTTGCACCAAATGCATACCCTTCAAGTGTACAAATTGACAAATACATAGGCCCCATGTGTTCATCCCCATAATCAAGCTATAGAGCATTTCCATCCCCTCAGAAAGTTCCCCATGCCCCTTTGCAGTTCACCCTCCCTCCCCCTGCAGCCCCAGGAAACCACTGATCTGCTCCATGTCAGTATAGATTATCTTGCACTGGAGACATACAGCATGTGCTTCTTCGTGCTTGACTTCCTTTGCTCGGCACAGTGTTTCTGAGATTCAGCCACGTGGCTGTGTCCATCAATACTTCATTGCTTTCCACTGCTGAGTGGTATTCATTCTACCACAGTTTATTTAATCACCTGTTGACGGACATTTGGCTTGTTTGCTTTTTTGTTGTTTTTGTTATCCTAAATTAAACTGCTACAAACATTCCTTACTTGCTTAAAAGACTTCAATAGTTCCCCATTATACTTGGAAATGAATTTAAATTCCCTTCTGTATCCTCTCAAGTCCCCTCTGTGATCTAGATTCTGCCCACCCATCTGGCCTCATCTCCTCCACACTCCTCTTTGCTCACTGCTCTCCATCTATCCCCGCTTCTTTCTGTTTCTCAAATAAACCAGAATTGTGGAAGAGACACCATCACCCCTCACCATAATCCTGCTGGCACCAAACCAGCTGAGGGCAACTGGCTGCCTGCCTGGGGTGTGTATTAACCTTCTGGAATCATTAAATCAGACTGATACTTGAATCCTAATCTCTGGCGAAGCATTTTATTTATTTTAATCCCCTAAGCACTTCAGCTTGACTTTTCCTCCGGGCCTGCCATTCTGGGAGAGCTCAGAACGCCCACCCTGATCCTTTCTGATTGAAATCCCCCAAAGGCCAAGGGGTTGGGGTGTTTCTAATGATCTGCTCAACCACGTGGCAAGTCATCTCTAAACCCCATAGTGACTGCCTCCAGCATTAACACTAGAAAAACCGAGTTCTCTGTCTTAGATTTCAGACTTAAACTTTTCTTGAGCACCGGCACTTCACTTAGCAATTTCACCTGTTATCTAATTTAATCCTCAACACAGTCCTGTAAGATAAGATGTCTTCTTTTCTGGAGGGGACGTGGAATATCTGCACTATGTGGTGTGCTGGGCCAGAAATTTCCATATGACAATCTGCTCTTGTTTTTCATTTTGAAATGTTTATCTTAGAAATCCCAAATGTGCCTTCTGGTTTCCAGTAATGTCAAGCTAGATTATTTGGATCTACCCTCCCACTGAAAACCATGAAAAATATTGCATAATGTCTAAAATAAACACATTTCCTTTACAGTATTGATGAGCTGAAGAGGCAATGAGGTTGTCTTTTCTTGCTAGCTAAGAGTAACAAGACAAGTAGGGGAATTTAAAAGCACCCAACTCATGTGTCTTTTCCACACACTTAAAATCCTATAAAGTGACTGTAAAGGGCAAGGGTCAGAAACGAAGGACAAAAGTGAGAATACTTAGAGGACACCCACATTGAAATACAACCCCAAAAGACTATCCTCAGATAAGGAAAACCAGATCTAAACTCATAGTTCTTCACTGAGGTAGAACTCAGAGAAAACCACTTTGGCACTGAATAAAGCAGGAGGAAAGGAAATAAAAGGGGAGAAATCCTGAGAAACTGTGGTTGTCGACCAGCTCTCTAATGAATTTGTATCCTATGAAGGCATAACCTGGGTGTGTCCAGGAACTTTAAAGCTGTGAACTTGGCATGAGATGGCCCTTACTGGTAGTGCCTCAAGGACCTAGAAGAAGAAGCAAGGGCCAAAGACCTCTGGAGAGGGGTAAGTCCCTCCTACATCACAGGAACTCCCTACAATTAATTGTTCAAGGGCAAGAGCAACAAGCCATGGAAGATAAAAAGGCATACAAAGAAACAAAATCTATGATTGAGAACTAAGAGATAGTGGAAACAGACCTGCACAGACTTTATATTTTAAAGCAACTATGCTTACAAAGTTTAATGAAATAAATGACAAAAATAACTGAAGAGATGGGAGGCAGAGAAGGGCAGATCATGAGGTCAGGAGATCGAGACCATCCTGGCTAATACGGTGAAACCCTGTCTCTACTAAAAATACAAAAATATTAGTTGGGCATGGTGGCAGGCACCTGTAGTCCCAGCTACTCAGGAGGCTGAGGCAGGAGAATGGCGTGAACCTGAGAGTCGGAGCTTGCAGTGAGCTGAGATCGCGCCACCGCACTCCAGCCTGGGTGACAGAGCAAGACTCTGTCTCAAAAAAAAAAATAAATAAACTAAATAAACTAAATAAATAAATAAATAAATAAATAAATAACTGAAGGGAACAAAAAGCAATAAAAATCACATAGCAGATGTAAAAATATAAATAGCTTTTACAACTAAGAAATATAGTAACTGGAAATTAATACTGGACATTTTGGCAGCAGATTGGACATGGCAAAAAAATGAGAGAGTAAATTATCTGGAAATCAGCATAGAAAATAAAAATAGATAATAGAGAGGAGAGGGTAATAAATAAGGGTAATATATTGAGAAGTTCTAGCATGCATTTATTCAGAAGTCCAGAAGAGGATAAACAGAAACAATACACAAAGAAATAATGGCTGGGATTGCCTATAACTGATAAAATTTACCTATGCACAGATTTGAGAAACCCAACAAATCCTAGGTAAATTTATTAAAAGGAAATCTACACCTGAACATTTTCCAGAGTCAAAATAGAAAACTTAAAAGCAGTTGAATGATTTTTAAAGGAGAAATAGATATTCTTACAGAAGACATCTCAACAGCAAAAATAGAAACAAAAAATCATATTTTAAATGTGCTGGAAGAAAATAATTGCCAGTCTGGAATTCTAAGGTCAGAAAATATAAAAATATAGAGAAAAAGAGAGACAGAAACTGAGAATTGGTCACCATCAGAACCTCAGTGAAGAAAATTCCAAAGGATTCGCTGTTCAGGTAGAAATAAAGTGACCCCAGATAGAAGGTCTAAGATGCAAGAAAGAACTAAAGAACAAGAAAAGTGTTATATATATGGGCAAATGGAAATTAACAACAATTATATAAAATAGTTGTAAAAATGTCTAAGGGTGTTAACATTTAAAAGTTAGAATTAAAATATCAAACTACAATAGCAGTTACATCAGGAGGTGGATAATTAGAGTTAATGGTAAGGTTTTCATATTAGGGAAAGAGTAAAGGTTTTGATTAATTTCTACTTGGATAAGTTAATTATATATGTAGTATTTTTTCAAGTAAACACCAAAGATTAAAAATAGTGTATTACTTCCAAACTTATAGAAAGACCCAAAAATAAGATCAAAAAGGAAGTCATACACAAACAGAACAGGAGGGAAATAGAAATTCCAAAGTAAGAGAGTATAAGACATCCATGGAGCTGTATTTCACAGACTCTAAGAGGAATCAATTCTAAGAAGCATTATTATTTTATCCATCTTTAATAAAGAACAATGAACTGGCATTAAAATTGTTACAATGCTTTCTTAACCCTTGGAATTTTTATAATAATGAAATAACTTTTTCAGATTTTTTAAAATTTATGCATCTCTCTTGTGCAGACAGAAGAAGAACATCACAAGTGAAATAATCACAAGTGAAATCACAAGTGAAATCAACAATGAACTGGCATTAAAATTGTTACAATGCTTCTTAACGCTTGGAATTTTTATAATAATGAAATAACTTTTTCAGATTTTTTAAAATTTATGCATCACTCTTGTGCAGACAGAAGAAGAACATCACAAGTGCAATCAATGGGTTACGACATTTCTAAAACTTTCACATTTGGAATCTACCTTTTCTAAATATTGTCTTTTTTCTGACTCAGAGTTGTAGATGTCTGTGTTTATCCACACAATAACAAACTCTGCTTCACTAAGAGCTTGGATGACACAGAATTTTATAAAAGAGGGCTGTACTTTGCCACAGAGATTTCCTTCAAAGCTGCTAACTACCACTCTGTAGATGTTAATATACATGCTCAGGCAATGAGAGTGTGAACCCCGAATATCTGAGACAGGTCTCAGTTAATTTAGGTTTATTTTGCCAAGGTTGAGGATGCTCACCGTGACACAGACTCAGGAGGTCCTGATGACATGTGCCCAAGGTGGTCAGAGCACAGTTTGGTTTTATCCATTGTATACATTTTAGGGAGTCATGAGACATAAATCAACATATATAAGATGAACTTTGGTTCAGTCTGGAAAGGTGGGACAACTCAAAGCAAAGGTGGGACAACCCAAAGCAAGGAGGGGGCTTCCAGGTCATAGGTAGATAAGAGACAAATGGTTGCATTCTTTCGAGTTTCTGAATAGCCTCTCCAAAGGAGGCAATCAGATGTGCATTTATCTCAGTGAGCAGAGGGGTGACTCTGAAAGAAAGGGAGACAAGTTTGCCCTAAGCAGCTCCCAACTTGACTTTTCCCTTTATCTTAGTGATTTTGGGGCCCCAAGATTTATTTTCTTTTCACAACAGCTACATCATAGCACCATTTGGCCAATAGTGAGTGCATGCTAACTTCAGAGATGTCAAGAGGTCAAAGAGATGGGCTTCTCAAAACCAATGAATGATGATATAGCATTAATTCTATTGAAGGTAAATAGACTAAATCATTCAGACAAAAGACAACAGATTGTTAATTTAAGTACATACATTTTCTTCAAAACCCACAAAATATATCTCTATATTATTTATGAGCTACACATAGTCAATTCTCAATATTCACAGTTGTTGCATACCAGAAAGTCACCATGAGCACTGAATTAGCAAATACTGAACCATTGCTTCCGGGGAAAATTATATCTATTTATATCATCTAATGTAAATTATCATCTTAAATCTTCAAAATTCATCCTGATACAACCTATTTTACTTTTTACAAAAGAGAAAACAAGGTTCAGAAATGTTAAGTGGCTTGCCTGAGGCTGCCCCACTAACAGGTGCTAGAATTGGGATTAAAACCTAATCCAACTGGCCCCAGAGCCAGAACTTGCACTCTACTGCCCCTAGCCCCTACCATCTTCATTTCTCCATCCTCTGGTTATGTCTGTATGAAGCTGCCGAAAACAAGAAGGCCGAGAGTATCGCCTTATTGGACTTCAGCTAGGAGCATGCACATCAAGTGACTCAAATTTTTAGCTGCTTTGAACATGTCCACAAATGGCCATGACAGTGCCACAAGCATTGATTTTGAGGTTACGAATAAGTTTTAGCAAGTAGGTTAATTTGCAAATATGGAATCTACAAATAATGAGGATCAACTGTACTTCTAAGATAAAGGACATAGGAAGGTTGAAAGCAAATGGGTTTATAAACCATATATACTAACCAAAGGAAATCTGCTGTAGGTTTTTATTATGAGCTAAGTAGACTTTAAAGCAAAACGCATTACTAAAGAAGGAAGTCATTTACTACTGATCAAAGATTCATCAATTTATCAAGAAGCCATACCAATTTTAAAATTTGTAAACACATAGTAACACAGCCTTAAAATATATAAAGCAAATATTTATAGACTTAAAAAGTAAAATAGACATATCTGTAGCCACAGGGGGAGATTTTAACAGGCCTTCAAAAAAAAAAAAAGTCTCACTCTGTTCCCCAGGCTGAAGTGCAGTAACATTAGCATAGCTCACTGCAGCCTCAATCTCCCAGTCTCAAGCGATCCTTCCACCTCAGCCTCCCGAGTGGCTGTGACTATAGGCATGTGCTACCCACCATACTCGGCTAATTTTTAAAAGTTTTTGTAGAGAAAAAGTCTCACTGTGTTGCCCAGGGTTGGGCGTCTTTATGTAATGATAGGACAACACAAAAAAATATAGTAAGGTTACAGAAGATTTGAACAGCATATATAGTATTAGGACAATTAGATAAAGAAAGAAGAAAAATTTGCATTGTGAACCAAAACGAATTTCAACCCATTGATTTCACTTATAATGGGATTAAGGCAAAACCATGAAGCCTGTAAAAGAGAATAATCATGATCATTATCATGATCAGATTATGACAATGATTTGGTTTCTGGTTAAGAAATCCATCACTAACTAATCATAAACAGAAATAGAGAAACTAAGCTCCATTAAGCTAAAGACTCCGGATTATTTAAATTCACTGTGTTTTTTTAAAAGAGTGAAAAGAAAAACAATAGAGTGATAGAAAATACATGCGATACAGATGACTAGCAAAGAACAGGTAGCCTGAATATATGAAGAACCGTAAGAGTCCATAAGAAAAAGCCAGAATGCCCAATCAAGGAAATGGGCAAGAGATTTGAACAAGCACTTCGTAAAAGAGAAAAGCCAAATGGCCCAAAATGTATGAAAGCGTGTTTAACCTCACCATTAATCAGAGAAATGCAAATTAAATCCAAGACTCCTGTGAGATTTGCAAAAATTAAACAATTTAACAGTTATCTGTTGGTAGTGTAAAGTTGAGACAATCCCTTTAGAAAACAATATGCATTATCTCATAAAGTTGAGTAAGCAGGAACCCTGGGACCCAGCAATTCCATTCCTAGGTATGTACCCTGAAGAAATGCAGGCTGCATATCCCAGGATAATATACAGGAATATTGATAGCAGCATTACTTATAATTGCATTGTATGTACACTTGAAACAACTCAAATGCCCATGAACAGTGGAATGGATAAATATATTGCAATGGTAGATTTATGCACTGGAATCTATGAAACAACTTTTAAAAATGGCTACAGGCACTCTCAACAGCATACATGCATCCTACAAACATAGCTGAGAAAAGAAAGCAAGATACAAAAGAATACATACAGGGTGATTCTATTTATATAAAGTTTAAACTCAGGGAAATATAAACTTTTATTTTTGAATGTGTTCTCAAGTTATAAAACAATTTTTTAAAAAGCAAGAAAATTATTACCATAAATGTTGAGATCTTGGTTGTTTGTAGAAGAGAAGGAGGAGATGGTGATTGGGAAGAAAACATAAGCGCTCTGTCTTCTATCTTTCTTTAATCTGGGAGTTCATTATGTGTTATTTAATAAGTTTCTTGCTTAATAACTACTTGTTCGGTGCACATTTCAATATTATGCCCTTTTCTCTGTGTTTTATGTTTTTCACTTAGAAAAACAAAGCTTCACAGGTTTTAGGTTTCCCCACTATAACTTCAGGCTACTCTCACTGATGGGATAAGGAAGAGGGGGAATGGCACTGTTTGCACTTCTGTTCTCTTTGTGATGAGACCATCATTCTCCAGTCTGGCAGAAGGAGGAAGATGTCATATGCCCATGAAATTCGGCAGTTATTTCAACCCTGGCCCTAAAACTGGGACACCAATTGCTCCAGGTCTCAGGTACCCTGGGTCTGACCTTTGCAATGGGTTACAAAACTATTCACCCGAGCAGACCATGTCTGGGGCTTCTGCGACTTTTATCCTGTGCCAACCATGCCTGTAGGCTAAAGTGACAGCAAAGGAATTCCCAATGTCCACATTGCATAATGTGACATTATGCACATTGCATCCGTGATGGCTTGAGGAACTTCTACCAGAATGACTGCCCAGATCCCCCAGCTGTAGTTATGCAATTGAGAAAATGATGCAATTGAGAATTAAATCCATGTTTGTCTGGTTTCTAATTTAGGTTCAAGCCAGGGCTGCCTCTGCCTCCTTCACTTTTTGTTCTAATTTGCAATGTAATGAGATTTTAAAGTTAAAAAAAAATTGTTGCCCTTTAAGATGTCAGAAGAGTGCTTATTTAAAATGAATAACTTAAAAATGATTTATTAGCATTATTAAATGTTATTTCCAACTTTAGCTCCCAGCCAGAGCTTTAGATCCACCACATCAGGTCTGCTAATATTTCTCTTGACTCTTTTTTGGTTTTTTTTCTGAACTAAATAAAGGGACATTGCCGAGAACTTTAGTCACACACTTTGCCCCATCCCCCACCATTCAGTTCATTTCTTCTTTCAGATACAGATGAAAATATCCACCTCAAAGGTCTGATTGTTGGGGCCAAATATGAAAAACCATAACCTATTATGAAGACTCTTCCATGGGAGTCAACAGAAACATAATTAATGCTAATTAGGGTAATTTGAAATTTCCACTTTATTCCAGTTCAAAGTCTCTGATATTATGAAATTTTTCAATTTTGTAATGGTCACTTCCCAATATATTATCTTCATTTGCAAAACAGCAAAAAACTAGATTTGGGTTTGCTTCCTAGGTTAGCAAATTGGGGCAGTTTTGCTGTCATCTGGAGTTTTATCTGGTTCAAATCTCTATCTATCGCAGTTATTATGGGAATGAATATCTTCAATCCTCCCAAATTCTGGCATCTGCTTTTTGATGAAACACTGGGAAAGAGCACGGACCCAGGTTTGGAAATGACATCTATTTGACATCTAGTAAGCTCTTACTATAAATGCTGAGGGTAGGAGATAGATTTCCTTGTCCTGCATTCCTTCCTTTGGGGACCTAGTCATCCCCTACTTGAGACTCAGCATGCCCAGCCTAGCCAGCCACTTCAAGGTGGACCCATCCTCTGCCCCACCCTGCATGTCTACACCAGTCACAGTAACTGATTTGCAGACAAGCACATCCATGTAAGGCTGCCGGTAAGTTAAGTGATACACAAGAAAGTTTAAGTCTACGGCTGGGTGCGGTGGTTCACTCCTGTAATCCCAGCACTTTGGGAGGCCAAGGCAGGCAGATGACCTAAGGTCAGGAGTTCGAGACCAGCCTGCCCAACATGGCGAAACCCCATCTCTACTAAAAACACAAAAAATTAGCTGGGCATGGTAGCGGGCACCTGTAATCCCAGCTACTCGGGAGGCTGAGACAGGAGAATCGCTTGAACTTGGGAGGCGGAGGCTGCAGTGAGCTGAGTTCGCACCACTGCACTCCAGCCTGGGTGACAGAGTAAAACTCCATCTCAAAAAGAAAAAAAAAAAAGAGGAACGTTTAAGGCTTCATTCAGCTGATACATACCAGGAAATACCTGAAGATTAGGTCACCCAAGTTGAAGTGTGGTTGGAATTTGATAGAGTAAAAAAAAAAAAAAAAAATGAGGGGTACATATCCTTGTAACCTGGCTCAGATAGCAGTTTTCATCTTTAATCTGTAAAAAGTTGTGTTTGAAGGTTGTTCCTGTTCTGACACCTCTTGCTCAGGTCCGTGGGTGCAGTCCCATCCCTATAACTGTCAGAACTGTATTTCCTAGAACTGTTTGTGCAAGGTGTTTGTCATCTAGTCAAGGTGCAGGGGCAGGGGAAATGGCAAAAAGCGGGGGAGGGAAACAGGAAAGGATTTAACGCAAAGGCAAACTGGGAAGCTCTGCCATGTCTGTTGGTCCTTCTCTAAGGAAAACCAAAGTCTCTGGTGGGATGTACCCTGGATCTCTCAGCAGAGAGATGATGTCTTTATCTGAGAGTGCCGTCCAGGAGGTGCATGGGCCTCTGGGGCCACCTTACACAGTGTGAAGGATCCTGTCTAAGGATGAAGCTGGATTGCAGCAAATGGAGGAGCCAAATGGCAACTGCCCTGACCTCTGGATGCAATGATGCCTGAAGCAAGCGTGCTTCCATTTCCCCTTTATCCGGCCCATGAGCTCACCAACTTAAGCAGTTTGAATGGAAATTTTGTCCATTGAAATAGAGTCTTAATAATAGGCTAGACCTTATTCAATTTGCACCCCTCCCCCCAACAATCAGACCTTTGAGGTGGATATTTTTATCCTCATTTTAAACATGAGAAAATTGTCCATCCAGTTGGTAATTGGTGGGGCCTCAGTCAAAATGAGATTTGACTTCAAATTATGTGTAAGGACCCTAGCTGCTTTCCAAGTTGTTTTTAATTTCTCAATTTAAAAATAGTAACTTGTTTCAGGGCTCAGTGGGAGACAGAAAAACCTAAATTCTAGGAAAGTGATTGAAACTCTCTTCTCCGAGTATAAGGATGTAACATGGTGGCAAGAATGAAGCCTGATTTAGCAGCAGGGCAGGTGGTCGTCCCGGACAGAGACAGAGCCAGAAGTGGGTGGGTGCCTGCCTGAAGCCCAGCCTGCCTCTAGGCTCAATCAATCAGAACGTGACTCAAGGGAACCCGGATTTGCACCTACCAAGAAAGGGAGGGCCTCAGGGAGTTCATGCTGGCAGGTGATGGTGGAAATGGGGCAGGACACAAAGGGCCCCAGTGGACTCCCACTGAGGGCGGTGCAGACTCTGCCTGCACTCACAGGGCCTGGCCGGTAGAGAAAAGAGAACAGGGCATGTATACAGAGAGGAAAGTAATGTGCCAGGAAATGGGGGCTCAGCGCAGCCCAAGAGAGGAACCAAGAAGAGATGATCAGGTCGCTTGTATTGTGTCAGCTTGTGCCAGCCTTCTGATTCCACTTTCCCCTAGGGAAATAATCTAGGCGGAATCTGAATCTTCGAACACCACAGTGGGGAGTCAGAGAGGAGATAAACAGACCAAGACTCGTGCCTGTGCGTTTGGGCATTTTGAGTCCCCCAGACCATCTCCCAAACTCAGGCGGAGAATCTGCCTCCACTGGAGAGAGAACCAGTGATCTTGGCTGATAAAGCTCTGCTTTAGGCCCCTGTGGTCCAAATCAGGAGCGCTTGTTTTCATGTTTCTGTGAGAGAACAGGGGTTATCCTGCCACATAAGGGCCACAGTGCCCTCTCTGACCCCATCAGGATGGACGCCTGCTAATTTTGGCTGTGGCTCAGCTGCACGATCACACCTTCCCCTGCAGCCCACTCCCCACAAGCAGCGAGCGGCCTCAGCTGTGGGTCCCGGGCCCCTTCACACAGTTGAAGCCCCTCAGGATGAAGCTGGAGCGGCGCATGTGAGAATCAGGATTGCTTGGCCCTGCACTGGATGGAGAATGAAGGAGAGAGACTGTGGCCTGAGCTCCGAGTCCCTTGATAGTCTGGACTCGCTGTAACAAAAGCTGATAGTAATAACAATCTCAGTTTGTTCTAATCCATACAGGGGAAGTGCTCTGAAAATTTTCAGGACCAAGAAGTAAGTATTTCAGGCACTTTGCAAAGTGTTTTCAAAATACCACCAACTTTAGTCTTCACAGAAACCCTATGATATGGGGACTTTATCTTCATTTTGCAGGTACAAAAACAGAGGCTCAGAGACATGAAGTCATTTTGCTCAAATTCTCACAAGAAGTAGATGGGATGTACAAAAACTGGTGATGATATACTATTTCCTGGTAAACACTCTCTTTCTATGTGCACCCTGCATCCCATGCCCATAAAAATGCTCTGTATCTCGTGCTACACAAATTCATAATGTCTAGCAGAACTCAGTGAAACATAACTTCAGAAACATTGGTAGATCGCCCCTCACCTTCTGAACTAGTGGTCATAACTCCACTCCTGACTACTCAGGTGACCTTCCAACATCCCTGTGCACACTCTGGGTGACATACAAACTGACCTAAGAAATCCAGAAGATTAGACATAAGTTGGCCCTGTGGTCCATCTAGTCCAGAAAACAGTCTTCATGCAATTACTCCAAAAATTCAGGAGTCCACTGACTATGTAGTTCATCATTCTTCATTTTATGAACATTTGCATTCATTTGCTTAGTAATTCATCCAGTATTCTTTGGGCCAAACCTTCTGCTGAGCTTTTGAAAAGCCAAGATGACTTTGTCGTAGTCCCTATCCTCAAGGAGCTAGGGTTATGGTGAGTAGGAAAGCCAGATTTGAGAAATAATTACAATCCATGCTAAGAAAGGCTGTGCGGGAATTTAAAAGAATGAGACAGAATTACACGACATAAGGGGAAGAAGTTTTGAGGGTGTAGTGTTGAGTAAAAGGGATTTTTATCCATTTTGCTCACTGGTACATTCCCATCTCCTAGAACAGGGATCAGCAAGATAAGGCCCATAGGCCAAATCTGGCCCCAGACCTCCGAGTTTTTAAGTGTGTACAGAGTTATACTAAAAATAAGGAAGTGTATCCCTTGGAGAACATGTGTAGCCAGCAAATTCTAAAATATTTACTATTTGTCCCTTTATCAAAAGTTCATCAAGCCCGGTCCTTGAAATATGCCTGGCATATTTATATTTTAGGTATTCGGTAAATATTATTTGAGTAAGTAAACAAATATGTACTATATGAAAATGTACAAAAAATTATTCTTCTTCCATGTATATGCACATGGTGACTTCATAGAAAAAGACCTGGAAGGATACACTCCAAACTGTCAAGGTCCATTTCTCTGAAGGGTGGAGAAAAAGAGTAGGATGAAGGTCATGATCATATTAATGTAGGCTGTCTATAATATGGAATTATGTTTTATAAGGAGAATAAGTATTCATGGATTACCTGCCCTATTAAAACGTAATACTTTGAAAAATATTCTCCCGTTAAAAAATAAGCTTATTTCAATGGAGAATGAGAGCTGGCCCTCCGCCCAAGTTACTTATCTGCTCTGATCCTGAGCTTTCTCCTTTATAAAATGACAATGAAATAGTACACCTTCATGATGATTAAATGAGATGAGAAGTGGAAAGCACCCAGCATGTAATCATCACTCAATATTTGTTCACCATGGTTATTGGCCTTAAAAGAACATTCTAAGTTCCCTGTCTCAGTTAATGACAAGACCACCCATCTACCCAAGCCAGAGCCCTGGTAAATGCCTGCCCCTTGCTTATTACTCCAAATCTTGCAATTAATCAGCAAGTTCTAAACCTTCTCCCTTCGAGAAATGTGTCATCCAAACATTGCAATGACTTTCTTACTGGTCTCCCTGCTCTGCCATCTTCCCTTTCCAAGCTATTCCTCCCAGTGGACAGAGTGACCATTATGTCCTGCTCACAGGTCAAGACAGCCTCTACTCCTGCACCATAAGGGCCAAATGCTGAATGTAATACTCAAAGTTCTTCCATAATCCACACCCCCACACCAATAGCACCCTAGGCAGGGGCCTTCCTGCTCTTTCAGAAACATGCTCCTTGGCCTCTACACAGCTGTTTAGTCTGTCTGACATACTTTCTCCACTGTTCCTACTTCCCAAATATTGATCTATACTTCAAACACTATCTCCTCTAGAATGTCTTTCTCAACTCTATCCACCCACTTGTTCATGTATCCACTCACCCACCCACCCATCCATCTATCTATTCATTGATTCATCTATATATCCACCCACCCACCCACCCACCCATCCATTCATTCATCTATATATCCACCCATTCATCCATCCATCCATCCATCCATCCATCCATCCATCCATCCATCCACTGACCCATCCATCCACCCATCTACCCATCTATTCCTCCATCCATCTATTCATCTATATATCCACGCATCCACCCATCCATCCAATCACTCACAAACATTCATTGAAGACTTGATATGTCCTAGGAACTTCAAGAAACTCTAGAAATACAGGAGGCATTAACCTGAAAACATGCCCTGCCCTCTAGTGCAGTAGACTAAAAAAATGAAGGGAATATACTCTCCCTGGGGAACATTTTTAAATGTTCATTTCTAGTTAATTTTTATCTTATCTTTTTTCATTTCTACTTTGCATGTGTTTTAAAGTATGAAATACATTAGTACAGTGGTACAAGCATACAGTGTGTAAAGTAAAAAACATACAATAAAGGAAATGCTTTTTTAAAAAAATAATAGCGCTGTATGATCAAAGATATTCCACTAGCACTGGGAGAATACTTGCAGATTCCAGGAAACTGGTCACCCCAGAGCCACAGGCTCTCTGTGTTTCCCTATTAAAGAATGTAGAATGTCTTATGATTACCTGTGTACCACCATGATGAAGAACGTGGACTCTGGAGCCTGTATAGACAGACTGAGGTGGTATTCCAGCTTTGCCACTGACTATCTGGGTGACCAAAGTGCCTAGCCTTTTGGTTTTTAGTTATTCAGTATTTCATATATTAACAAGTTAATATATGAAAAGCCCTTAGAAGAGTATCTCTAGGGCTCAACACTGCTGTTTTCCCCATCAGACTTGCCAGGCTGAGACAACTGTCTTCCCAGGGCTAGCCTAAAGCTCTGTATGTAGTAGATAGGCACATAATGTGTGATGATACAAACTCATAGTGGGGGTGAATTTATGAGATTTTCCTCTCGATGAACAACAAATTCCTCATCAGCAAATGGAAGCTAGCCACATTCAGAAGCAGCTCTCTCGGCTTCAGCCCAGAGACACATATGGTGCAAGAACGCCCATTTCATCCCATCTCAGGTGTTAATTACCAGCTTCTAGCTACCAAAAGCTCTGAAACAACACTAAGGAGAAGACATTACACTATTTTTAGCAATATTTTGACAGCTATATTAATAAACAATAATTTTCTTATCATCTACCAGCTGATCACCACTTGCCACCAAACAGATCAGCCTTCAGTTCAGCAGGGATAAAGGGAGCAGAGATGGGAAACTGTTAGTTTTTTTAAAGTGAAAATTCCAAATAACAGGGCCACTGGCTTTGTAATGGTCTCAGGCATGCCTGCTGCTCATTGCTTTGTGGAAGGCCTACTTCCTTTTCCATTTCAACCTGCAAATCAGTCAAGGTGCACAGGATGGGGAGACAGCGTAAGAACCAGCTGAACCCCTGTTCAGTGAGAACCCCCCTCAGGTTCTCACTCTAGAAAAAAACAGCTGGACTAGAAACACAACCCTTGGAGACAACAGGACCAGGTGGAACATGAGTAACATGACCGGTTATTCTCTCTCTAATTATTACTTATGGGGTCTGTAGTGTACGGATGTGTATCTGCTAATCACAGGCTTCCAGATGAACCCAAGGCAGCCTTTTCACGTTAACAAATGAAGACACTCTTAATTTAATCACCCATTTCTGGGTCAGGGAGCCCCAGCTGCCAAGGCTGTTTGGTGCAGGGCAAACACAGCACCCTCATCACAGGGGCATTTGCAGTGGAGTGAGCCAGGCCTGGATTTGCAAACCTTCCTGAGGGACATCAACCCACCTCCACTCAATGAAATGAACCATCACTTTTCATTGTTTACATATAGTCATTTCATCAATGAGAATGAGAAGGAACTAGGAGGAGAATGAAGGAAGGAAGAAAAGGAGGGAAGAAGGATGGAGGCAGAAAGGGAGGGAGGGATGGAGGAAAAGGGAAAAGGGAGGGAAGAAGGTAGGTGGGAGATCTTTTAGCAATACATCATTTTCCAAAGAACAGAAAAGCAGTGTCCATGGTGTATTTATAACGTGTAATAGATTTTAATTGATTAGTGCCAATGGTGCTTCTAAGACAATTTTTCCAATCTATACAAATGAAACATATTTTCAAAATATATGTTCAGAGCAACCCAGTACTGCCATCAAGAGTTCTGACTTGCTGGTCAGGGAGTTGGGTTGGCATCTTAGACTCACTACTGACTAGCTGTAACAAGTAAATTCACAACTCTGTAATCTCTGAGATAATATTCATACTTAACTCACAGGGTTGTTTGAGGAGTAAATAAAATTAATGCACTTTCTGGGCTTAGTACAGGGCCTGGCACATAGTAGATACATAAAAATTGCTTTAAATAGAAGAGTGTCTATCAAAGGGACCCATTACTGACTGATTGGGACTTTGTGGATTGTGGAGCTGACAAGAGGGTTTTCAAGGGCAACCAGCCCTTTGGGGATGAAGGTCCATTGGGGGTTGCAGCCTCCTGAAAGGGCACAGCTGGGGTGGAAAGGGCATTGAAAACAGCTTCTCTATCAAGGTATCTCTGCCTACATATCATAAAAAGCATTGGAAAGTCACACATCTACCTGTGGTACGCGCACACAAATGAAAGATCCAGAGAAAACCACCACTTGAACTTTTGGGAGCTGCCAAAAAGTTCATTTTGTGCTCATCTCTCCAAATTAAGATGTACTTGGCAAATGACAGCTCTGGCTGTAATAAATTCACTTGCTCACCAGTTAAGGGCTGGGAAGCATTTTTAGGAGGAGGCTAAAACTCAAACACTCCGTCACAATTTCTTTTTCTTTTGATGTACTTCAAGGTTGACACCTTTGTGCGCTGGAGAGATGACTAACTTCCGTCTGATAATTTTTATGTCTCAAATCAGGCGGTCCAAAAGTTTCATCATTTCTATTATGTAAACCATAGACTCAGAGCTGCTAATTAATGTGTAACATGGTCTGGTTTGAAGATTTTCTCTTGTTTTTCTGAATCCTCGGTAGATTTTTAGGTTTATTTTTAATTGACAAATAAGAATTGTATGTATTTATCGTGTACAACAGCATTTGATAGATGTATACATCGTGAAATGGCTAAATCAGTCTATTTAACATATGCATTACCTCATACACTTTTTTGTGGTGAGAACACTTAAAAATCTACTTTCTTAGCTATTTTCAGGCATTCAATATATTGTTATTAACAACATCACCATATTCCACGATAGATCTCTGGTACTTATTCCTCCTGCCTAACTGACATTTTTGTCCTTTGACCAACATCTCCCCAGTCCGCAACCCCACCCCAGCCCCTGGTAACCTCCATTCCACCCTCTGCTTCTGTGAGGTTGGCTTTTATTTTGATTCCACATATAAATGAGATGATGCAGTATTTGTCTTTCTGTGCCTGGCTAATTTCTCTTAACATGATGTCCTCCAGGCTCATCCAGGTGGTCACAAATGACAGGATTTTCTTCATTTTTAATGCTGAATCATATTCCATTATGTCTGTACACATTTTCTTATCCGTCAATGGACACTGACGTTGATTCCTTACCTTGGCTCTTACGAACTTGGGAGTGCAGGCATCTCTTTGACATACTGATTTCCTATCTTTTGAATACATTATTTCCATTTGGGGAAACAAATCCCTAAATACTTGAGGTTCTACGTTCTGTGTCTTTCTGTTAAAGCCCCTTCCTTGTCTTGCCCTGTTTTAGGCTGCCCCAGTTGGTGAGATATTTGGAGCCAGCTCCGGGCTGGACATTGCCCCCAGCCTGGGAAAGCAGAGTGGGGGGCAGTGGGCCTGTAAAGGGAAACTTGGACACTTTGTTCCTAGGGTTTCCAGAAGCCCTCAAATCTCACCTCCCTCTGGTCTAAGAACCAAAAGTGCCTCCCGAGTTCTAAGCAGTTTGTCCAGTGTGAGACACAGCGTTAGGGTCCAGTAGCTCTTCCCCTGCCTTCTTCCCCAGACCACACCTGCCTGACTCCGCTCCTGCTGTCTTCAGGCCCCTTCCTGTGTTCTCAGCCTGGAACCAAGTGTTCATTGACAGGGACCAGCTCATAGGCTGCCTGCTGCTTTTCCTGTTTGGGCTGGGAAGGAGTTATCTTCCCCTCCTCTGGGTTCCGGCTACACTCTATGCATCCCTCCACTTCCAGGGGTTCTTAGCAGGCGCAGCCACGCCTCCCTGATGCAGCCTACCCCATCACAGGGCTCTTTGGGGTTGTCACATGACTGGAATTTAGTGAGTGGGGGGCCATTGTGCTGAACCTCCTTCATCACCCCACAGCACAAGGGCAAAACAGCAGCTTTCTGGGAACACCATCAATGTTTCCTGGGAAAACTGCCTGCGGGGCGAGACTGAGCCCCAGTGGATAGGTGCATAACAAATGATCCTTCAATAAATGAATGAGTGAATGAATGAATGAGGGAGAGAGCATATCACACATCTTGTCACTTTCTACTTGTTATTTAAGGCCATCCTAAAAATTCTCAAAGCTCAGGGCCAATAAAAGCCCGTTTCTGCTGCTGTACTAGAACCTTTCTTTTCACAGGTATCCTGCCTCCTTAAGAACCAGCCCATCACCAATTGCAGGGCCCAGAAGAAATCATGCAGAGCGGGGCACTCACCAGACCCAGCCGCCATGCTCACCCCCATCTCCTCCCCTCTGCTGATGCTGCCTGGGTTCAACAGCTGCCCTTATGCTGGGATCCAGGGCAGGCCAGTCCTGCAGTGGTGCCTACACTTGTCTTTTTGAGCTTTCTGTCCTCTGCCTGGTTTGCTGGCTGGTTTATCACTCAGTCTGCTTCTCTGGAACATGGTTCCTTAGACTGACCTCTCTCTTTTTATGATCTTATTCATTTTTCTACCCCTAATGCGCATGATTTGCTCCCATCAAAAAACTCCAGAAAATCACAGGCTAGTAGTGTCCTGGACTCTGTTTCCTTCCTTTATTATCTTAAAGTACTCAGCTAGGCCCTTCCCACTACTAAACCGTGAGAACTGTGTGGCCCAGTATGTTTCCCTCTTCTCCTTGGCTGCCAGGGAACTCAGAGCTATGTTTTATGCTCAACAGCTTTATTCACTTTAAGCTCCTAGATGGAATCTTTTCCATTACCTTTATTTCTTAGTTCTTATCATTTAACTGAAAACTTTTGTTTTTGTCCCAGGTCCCTCCCATGACACAGGTTATGGGAAACCCAATTCAAGACGAGATTTGGGTGGGGACAGAGTCAAACCGTATTGTTCTGCCCTGGCCCCTCCCAAATCTCATGTCCTCGTGTTTCAAAACACAATCATGCCCTTCCAACAGTCCCCCTAAGTCTTAACTAACTCCAGCATAAATAAATAATAACTCCAGCATAATAAATCTGCTTCATTTATTCTAAGTTGACAAGATCTGGAAAAAAAGTGGGGGTGGCGGGGGAATTCTCCAGTTTGGCTGAGGTCCTTTAAAATTCTATTCTCATCTCATACAACTTCTCCAGGGAAAAGGTACTCTCAGTCTAAGCTTAAATATTTACAGATGTGGCCCCCAGATTGCCTCAGCCCCCCATTTGAGCCTCATTCTCCCAAATCCTTTGTAGCCTGGAAGGCCAGTTTCAGCCTTTTCCCAGTCTCTCTAGCCCTGAACCTGGCTCCGGGCCCTGGTCACCAGTCTCCTCTCCCTTCCACAGCTCACTGCCTGCTGAGGCCCTTCTGGCCTGGAAACTCTCACCCTGAGCCTCGCCCTGAGGGCAGCCCCTAGCTGGGTGGGTTTGGTCTCCTGCATGAAGCCTTGACAAATTCCCAGTCAGGGCTCTCTCCTCCTCTGTGGCCCTGTGGCAATTCCTGTGGTTTTCCCCACTGTGGTTAGCTGTATTTTCCACTGAATAAGAAGAAGAAGTGCTGACATTGATTGTGTCTTCTCTATTTAGAAGGCATTATGCTTTGCATTTTGTACTCATTCCCTTATTTAACCCACCTATAAAGAAGAAGCCATTTTATTCACCATTTTGCAGATGAGAAAACTATGATGCACATACTTTTTATCTGTATCCAGGACATGAATTCCAGGAGATTAAGTAAAGATCCTTTGTGCCTCTCTCAGCATCTGTCACGGGGCCTGGCACAGACGTTTAATATGTAATTTCTGATTGATTGATTAGTTGATAAGCAGAATGAAACTCTCACCCCCCCACCCCCTCCCCGCCCAACAAAGAAAATCAAAACCCCTCTCCAGTGGAGCGAAACCCTGGCAGAGTTTGATTCAGCCTAAGGCCACCCCAGCCTGCAGGACTTGTGTTCTTATGTGACACTGGTCGGAGACATCCTTAGACTGAGGTCAGCCAACGTATAGCTATGTCTCTGAGCTGGTCTGCACAGCTCTGTGGGCCCAGGGGCCAGAGTCATGCTGGGACCCAGCCTCCCTCTAGCATAGGTCTTATCATACTCTCGTGGTCTTCTTTTCCTCTACCTGTTCCCTCGAGGAGACTATGTGCTTTGGTGGATAATCACAGAACAGAAGTCAATAGGGGAGGGAGAAAGGGAGCGAGGGAGGGAGAGGGAGGAGATAGGCAGTTAATTGAGTGAGTTTTAGGGTAGCACATGTATGAGGCTCCAAGACCTTGGTTTTAAAAAGCATCATCATTACTTGATGGGAATAAGGAGCAAGGATCTTGGAGCAAATGAGCATAAGGAACTTTCCAGAAAGGAGACTTAAGAGAGTTAGAGGCAGGCTGGGGGAAGGCAGAGCTGCAGAGGCCAACTTGTGGACCCCACTAATTCTCTGAGGGAAGGGCCATGAACCTCAATTTTTCTTGTGCTCCAGAACTCACTGAGAGTTCTGAGAGACATGCGCATTCTTCACATGGCTGCTTTACCCTCTTCTTGTATTGGGAGTTGATTTTCCCCAGCAAAAAGCACTGCCAGAAGCTGAAAACTTAAAACAAAGGATCTGCACAAAAGAATCATGTACCCCCTCCCTTTCATTTTTTTGGAACAATTTCACCCTCTGTAGTCCTGTATGGTTTCTGCATAAATTACTCTGCAAGACCGTCCTGCCGCAAGCGAGCTTGCCCGACTGCCTTTGCTGGGGCTTCAAAGCTGCCAGTTAAGCTTTAAGCATCTTGAAAACGTATTGTCTGGAATGAAACAACCAATTATGCTTTCAGGTTTTGTGGCATAATATCGCAGAAACCAGCAATTACAGAATCAGAGTGGCATCAAATGGTGTAGAAGGGAGTTAGCACGGATTATTCTTTAAATAGCAGTTACATGAATTCATAATAAATAGGTATTAGGTGTTAAATGTATGATAAGTAATTCTTGACAATGCAATTATCCAAACAGAAGAGGGAAAAGTGGCAAAGTGGCATTGTCAACTTCTTTTGTGCGTAGCGTGCTCAGTGAGACTGAGATGTGGAGTGAATTTGCCTTTGTTCCGGCCTGGAGTGGAAGCAAGAATACAGATGTGGGCACGGAAAGGAATTTGACTGGTTCCAAAGAGATGGCAAGTTTTCAAAAGAGCAAGGCCCTTTCCCATTGGGGCAGAATGTGGCTGACCAGAAAATTCCATGACAACAAGCTCTGCTGATACAGAGCCAGTTGATCAAACACATATTTAGAGAGTGCCTGCTATGATATAATTTGTGTGAATGTACCTAGCCTGGAGCTTGACAAATAGTAGATGTATAAGAAATGTTTGTTAAATTTACCTGGCACTTAGGACCAGGGCTGCTTTGTAAGGTCTCACAGGCTGTGCACTGCACAATTCCAGGGAGCAACATTTATATAGATGATATGTGAGTAGCTTCTTTTGGAGTGATGAGAGGTTGTGACCCTGCTTAGAAGGTACAGTAGAATTTATATCTCTGAGCTTGGTACTTCAGTTTGATTCTCACCACAGAGAATAAAATTTCAGTGCGATGACTTTCAGCAATGTTTTTCAATGAGTAAAATCGAGGGCCAGACTACTTGATGTCAAATCCAAGCTTCCTTTACAAGCTGTGTGTCTTTGGGAAAATTACTTAACCTCTCTGAGCCTGTTTTCCTTGTCATAAAATATGGATAAATAATAGTATCTATTTCAAAGACATATTGATAAAGATTAAATTATATCACATATTAATGAGTTTATGAATAACCTTATAATACTTCTTCCCATTTTTTCCTGGACACTCAGCTAGACTACATTTCTTAGCCCCTGACACTTAGGTGTGGCCATGTGACCGAGTTCAGGCCAGTAGAATGTGAGTAAAAATGACTGCATGACACTTCCCAGCCTGCCCCAGAGGACCCGGAATACAATTCCAAAGCCCTGAGGGGTGGCAGAATGACAAGATGAAAGCTTTGGTCCCTGAAACGTCTTGTGAAGGAAAGCTCCCTCCCAATTAGGCACACGGAGGAAGAAGTAACTTTCTGTTGTATCAAGCCACTGAGATTGTGGTTGATTGGTGACAGCAGTTATCATTACCCTATCTAATGCACACATTCAGAGAACATAGACAACGTGTGTGTTTTAACCATATTACCTTGGGTAAGGTGTGAAGAGGCCAAAGATCAAAGGAGAAAAACCAGAGAGAGTTTTACAGGTTTCTTACTCACAATTCCCTAGGAGGAACACATCTCACCATGCAGCGCTGCTGGGGGAAGCACCAGAGTCGGTCACAAAGCAGGCAAAGAGAGGGGATCTGTGGACAAGTACCTTTACCCTCAGAAAGGAACCCGTGAGGCATGGTAAGTAGGCTCAGAATTGGCTAGTGTGAGCAATTTTCAGTGGGCTTTGGGACAGAGTGGCTGTGCCTGGTTGTCTGGTACCTGGACCGGGGAAGATCAGAGCAGGTGCACATTGTCCTAAAGCCTGTTAAGGGAAGTGGTTGGGGTATGGACATAACCAGTTGTTTAAGAGGGGAAACTGATTGTCTTCCAGCCAGGTCCTCGAAACTGGATCAAGATGACATTGATAAAAACTTTGTTATAGTGTGGTACATTGGGGTCCCCCAGTGAGCCGCACAGCTGGAGGTGAGTGGTGGTGAGTAGTGAAGCCGAGCTCCGCCTCCTGTCAGATCAGTGGCGACATTAGATTCTTACAGGATCTATGTGAACTGCGCATGCAAGAGGTCTAGGTTGTGCGCTGCTCATGAGACTCTAACGATAAATGCAACGCGCTTGAATCATCTCAAAACCATCTTTCTCCCTCAGGTCCGTGGAAAAATTGTCTTCCACGAAGCTGGTCCCTAGTGCCAAAAAGGTTAGGGACTGCTGTGGTACATGATGGGCACTTCTGTGAGTCAGCTGCCACTCAGGGCAGGGAAGGTAGGGATGTTTTGTGTGTGCCAATACTGGAGCTATATATGTTGAGCTTACAACGATAAAATAGCCCTGTTCTGCCAGTCCAGACAAGCAGCAAACTACATGGAAAGGTAACTGGCGCTGCTGAGAGGCGAGTCCTCCAGGTGGGAGGCACCAGAAATTGCTCAGCGATCTGCAGCCTTGCACCATCAGGTAGCTCCGCTGCTTGAGAGACCACATGGATAAGCCACATGGAGGCATCAGACAGAGAGGGAGAGGCCCTGAGATGATACAGGGAAAGACAGAAGCCGTGCTGAGCCCAGGCATCCAGCCGCTCCTGCCCAGGTGCCAGACGTTATCACTCGCCCTGGGAAGCAAGCTGCCATGTTGTGAGTGGCCCATGTGGTGAGGACAGGAAGCCTCCTGTCAGCAGCCATGTGAGTGAGGCTGGGAGTGGATTCTCCAGCACAGTGAAACTTTCAGAAGACTGCGGCTCTGGCTGGCAGCTTCCCTGCAAACTCACAAGCTGGCTCCCCCTAGCTAAGCTGTTCCTGTGTTCTTAGCCCTCAGAAACAGACGATGAATGTTTGTTTTGGTTTGTTTTGTTTTAAAAGAGTGTCGTTCCTGCCTATGGCATGCTCACGGTTAGTTCAGGGCAAGATTGATGAGTGGAGCATGCAAAGAACATAGAGGAGGAACCCATTGCATAGGGGAGGCTCTCCCCTTGTGTGGGGAGAGTCTCAGTGCAGGTGGCACATACACCAGGCCTTGCAGAATAAATGGGAGAGAACACCAAAAAGGAAGCCATGGAAGGGCATTCCAGACAGGAAGAACAGCCTGGGTGGTGGTGCAGAGGCATGGAGGGCATGGCACATTGCAGAGACAGCAAACAGCTCCTGGGGTTAGAGGATAGGGTAGTTCAAAAAGAGGCATCTGCAAAAGGCTTTGTTGAGAAGGAACTTGCGGGTCTTTTGAAAGAGTTTGGTATTTATTTCATGAACAATTGAGGGTCTTTGAGGATCACAGGCAAATATACTTGTGTAATTTTTTTTTTTTTTTTTTTTGCGATGGAGTCTCACCCTGTTGCCCAGGCTGGAATGCAGTGGCGTGATCTCGGCTCACTGCAACCTCTGCCTCTTGGGTTCGAGCAATTCTCCTGCATCAGCCTCCCGAGTAGCTGGGACTACAGGTGCCCACCACCACACCCAGCTAATGTTTTTGTATTTTTAGTAGAGACAGGGTTTCACTGCATCACTCAGGATGGTCTCCATCTCCTGACCTTGTGATCTGACAGCCCCTGCCTCCCAAAGTGCTGGGATTACAGGTGCCTGTAGTCCAGCTACTTGGGAGGCTGAGGCAGGAGAATGGCGTGAACCTGGAAGGCGGAGCTTGCAGTGATCTGAGATCACGCTGCTGCCCTCCAGCCTGGGCGACAGAGCGAGACTCCGTCTCAAAGAAAAAAATGTGATGCATGAATGACTTGAAATGTGCTTGTACATGAGGACCTGCCCTAGCTTGCTCCTCTTAGAAGCCCAAGCCTCCATGTGGGCAAGACCCAACAAGTTAGTTGAGAAATGTAGGGCCTAGTTACCCCTGTTGCACAACTGACATCCAGCAAACTCCCAGAAGCAAAGCCATCTACCTCACTGCAGATGCATCAGTTAGCCCAGTCAAACCTACGGAAGAATCAACCAGCTGAGCCCAGCCTAAGTCACCAACTTGCAAAGTCAGCTAAATCAGTTGATGCAGAATCGGTTGTTGGTTTGGCTACTAAGTTTTGGGGTGATGTGTTTTATAACAAAAGCTAATGAATATACCTCCATACCTCAAACAAAATCCAGAACGTTTACCATGACCTGCAAAGCTCTACATAATCTCTGAGAACCGAAACCATCTAGACACCCACAGCTTCCTGTCTACATTAATGTGACTTTACTTTCCGCCTCTTGATTGGCATAGCTTTACTAATCCAGGAAACTCTAGCCTAAGAAGGTAAAAATTTCCACTTTATTGTTCATTCTACAAACTTCCTGAGAAACCCATCAACTCATTAATAGAAAGCATCAGTTTACACCTGAAAAACCCTTTGAACCCTTTTTTACTTGAAAATTCTCACCTTGCAGTAGCCACCAAACCTAAACTATTACATCATGATTCTTATCCAGTCCTAACTAAGCTCCCTCATTGAAAGATTTGCCTTAAACAAGACTTCAAAAATCTCATGAATATCCCAATTTTGCCCTTCCCCATCTGAGATACAACTAAAACTCTGTTGAGGTGGCATCCTTTCTTATGTGGGTAAGAATAAACTCAGCTTTATCTTATCAACAGGTGGTTTTGGTGATCTTTTTAGGAAGCCACATTCATCTTCATTTCCTGCTACTCACCTCCACCCTGTGTTATTGCTTTCCAGCCATAGCAGCCTCCTTGCTCTTCCCTGAACATGGCAAGCATTTATTGTCTTCAAGAGTTTATGCTTACTGTTTTCACTGTCTGGGATCCACGATCTTTTGTATTTACCTTTTTTACCACTTCCTCTGCTGGGGTCTGAGTTTGAGTACCACCCCCACCTCCAGAGTCCTTTCCTAAGGAATCTCTTATTTCTAAAGCATCAGCATCTTTCACTCTCTATCTTCTTGCTTTATTTTTACTTTTCTTCATAGCACTGAGCTCAACTGAAATTACTATATGCACACACACACACACACACACACACACACACTTGTTTGTCTATTTTTTGTCTTCCTTCCTTTCTGGAAGGTATGCTCCAAGAGGAGGAGAACACTGTCTGTGTTTGGCACCACTATAAGCTCTGTGCTTAGAAGACACAGGTTTGATAAATACTTGCTGAGAGAACATTGGTAAGTGAGTATGAGATGCTGTTGGTGTTTTGTTAGTATTGTTGTTGCTATTTTCAGCATTCTATTCTGTGCTATGCTTTTTCTTTCCAGAACCAAACTTTCATTGGTCTTCCGTTTCACAAATCCTTCTGAGATTCTCTTTTCAGAAATCAACAGTTTTATACCTGCAGCCTCTTCACTGAATCTCTGCCTCATCTACCTCTGTAGGCGAGCCTTGGCTGTCTCCTGAAGGCACCACTTTCCCAGCCGCCCCATGAATGGAACTGCTAGTGCTCCTTTACCCTCATTTCACATGTGGGGAACGAATGGTGCTGGGCATTTTCTCAACCACCTTCCACTTCTGGATTATTTCTCTTCAACCTCACATGAAACTCCTGCTCCTCTGGCCTCACACAGCCCCTTATCCCTCCTCACTGCTGATCCTCAACTTATCTGCCCATCATTCCCCTCCCTCACTAAAGACTCAGCTTCCTGGTTCTCCTTCTTCCTCTCCCTTCCTCTCCCCAAGCCCTGCTGGTATCAAGGTGACCTCGCTATCCATGTGGGCACCCACCCATCAGACACTCTGGTTATATCTCTGATGTCTTCTTTGCCCATGATATTTACCTCTTCTTCTCTTCATTCATTCATTTCCATGATGACTCTCTGGGCTCTGCATAACCTAAAGCCCTTTCACTGAGGAAATATTAAACCTAAGCATGGTACTTTCTTTTATTTTTTAAATGCATTTCTATTCTAAGTTGACATATAATAATTATACATATTTGTGGGGTACATAGTGATGTTTCAATACATAAAATGTACAGTGATCAGATCAGGGTCATTGGCATATCCATCATTTCAAACATTTATCTTTCTTTGGGCAGGCATTGTTCTTTCTGAATACAATCTCTTATCTTTCCAAGACTCTCAGTTCGTTTCTTTCACCACATCTGACCTTCAGCATCAAAGAGGCCCCAAGTCCCACCACTTCTTGACTAGCTCCTCCTCATCCCTCTCTCCTGGTTCTATATCTGTCTCCATCAACTTGGACCTTAAAATTTATGACTTTTACACCCCTCTTACCAATGGTCTCAACTCACTAAACCCACTGTGCCTCTGCCACTTATGCCAGCCATGTTCCAACCTCCCTTCAACCCTGATGTTTGGATTCTTCATGCTCACATCCTGGCTCTTAAAACCTGGGGGAGAAAATCTCACCACCTCGCAGACTGGTGCCACTACAAAGCCAAGGTCTTCAGGCTCACCCAGAGCATCAGTGCTTTCAGAAACTACTCTGTTTCCTGAGTACTCTGTCTCCCACTCTCTAGAACATCTATTTCAAATTTCTCCACACTTCTCAAATCTCCTACTCCACCACCTCCCACTCACTGTAGGCAGATAACCTCATCTCCTACTGCACAGGAAAAAAAAATAGAAAGCTTACATAGGAACTCTTGCAAATTTCTGATACCAGAACCGCCAAGTTAACGCATCTGTATCCATCCTCCCTCCCTCCTGTGACAGTGAAGGGGGACCCCTCCCTTACCTGTGCTCTGGATTTTCTCCTCTCCTATAACTTTTAACTCTCCCTCTCTTATTGATTCTGCAGTATCTGGGTTAAATCTTTAAAGTCTCCCTGATGACAAACAAAATTCCCCTTTAACTCTCCAAACTCCCATGAGCTGTAACCTAGCTTCCCTATGCAGCAAAGTTCTTGAACAAGGTGCTTACCATCCTATCCTCATTCCCTCACCCCTCTCTCCTCCCTGGACCCACTGTGCCCAACATCTGCGCCCTTGTACCTGCAAAGGCTCATCTCACTATGGGGACCAACAACCTCGCTCACAAGTGTTAAACTCCAAGATGCTCCTTTCTGCTTCTGTCCTTGACCTTTCCAGTGTTGACAGTGATGCCTTTGAAATCCTCCTCTCCTTGGCTTCCATAGCAATACGCACTCCTAGAGTTTGTCACCCTCTTTTGCCCCTCCACTTCATTCTTCTTCACAAGGGCCAGCCTTCACGTGTTGAGGTTCTTTGGGATGCTGCCTGGCTGTTCTTCATTGTGGACTTGATGTTTTCCTCTATCCTGTTGTGCACATTCTTACGGCTTCAATACTTTGTCTAAGCTGTTGATTTCAAAGTTGGCATTTCATCCCAGCTCTCTCCTGAGTTTCAGACTGCCTTTTCAAAAGCCTACTGGGCATCTCTATCCAGTGGTCACCCAGGCACATCAACTCATTCCAAACTGGTGACTCTCCAGGTATTTCTATCTCACCCACCCCAAGATGCTCAAGCAGAACACCTGGCATCTCCTTGGGTCATCTTTTCCCCATCTTTATACTTATTCTCCATCTAATCCCATCTACCCATTACATGTTTTTTAAATCCATCCACCTCTTTTCAACCCCACTGCTCATTCCCTACATCATTAACATCTTTCTCGTAGACTCCTTGACCTCCCTCCAAATTCTTGCTGTGGTCTGAAGAATTTTTCTAAAGTGTAAATCTGGCCAAGTCAGTCCCCTGTGTAAGGCTCTTTCATGGTTTCTCGTTGCTTTTAGGATAAGTTCAAGTCCTTATCAAGGATCTTAAGACCTACCTTGCCTGGCCCCAGGTTACCCTCCCCAACCTAACTCATACCACTCCCAAACACATATTCCAAGTTCTGACCATACAGCACTGTTTTCAAATCCTTGAACAAGCCAAGGGTGACTTGCCTCTGGGGCTTTTTCCTGCCATTCTTCTTCCTGGAACACTTTCTCAGAATCCTGTTTCTCCACTAATTCCTATTTGTCTTTCTGATGCTACTCCACAGGTCCCCTCCTCCAGGAAGCCCTCCGTGTTCTCCCAGGCTAGATGAGAGCCCCTCCTCTGTATCCTATATTTCTTGGGCACACAATAATTCTGTACATTTGAAGCTCATTCTACTCTTTCTACTTCCTCTGTCCCAGCACTTAGTACAGGTGATTGTAGCAGCCTCTTTATGGGTCAGAGCCGCCTACAGGACCAGAAGCTTCATGAAGCCAGCACCCCAACTTCCAACACCAGCGTCCGCAATGCCCAACAGAGATCCCAGGTAAACACTTAGCATAGCATATAAATTAAATTACAAGGGGTCAATGATAATGAGTAAATTAGACATCATCAACTTATTCTACTGTTTTCCTTGAGCTCTGCTCACCACAACCAAGAAGGGCTGGAAACTGACAGGTGTACTCAAACTATACTTTGGTTTTCACAGCACTGAAAGTCTAGAGTGGTTTGACCAATTGTTTTATTAAATGGACAAAACGTTGGAGTCATTTTAGACACCCTAAAAATTTGGTGTAATTTTTTTCTCATTTCATATGCATTCTGTGTGTAAAGTAAGAATTTGCCAAATACAGGGAAACAATAGCAAAATGAAATCACCCCACAGTGTCACCATAAAATAGTACTGTTATTACATTTTAATGTGCATTCTCCCAGTATTTTTTTCTATTCACTACTATTCACCTTTTTTTCTTTGGCAAAAATAGGACCTATGGCATACACTATTTTGTAGCCTTTTTTTTTAACTTAACAATGTGAGAATGAACATTTTTCAAAGTCAATAAAGATTATTCTCTTGGTGCATGGATTTAGTGAATGCCCTGTGTTTTGTTTGTTTGTTTGTTTTGTATTTTTAGTAGAGACAGGGTTTCACCGTGTTAGCCAGGATGGTCTCGATCTCCTGACCTCGTGATCCGCCCACCTGTGTTTTATCACGTGGATGTGTCTACTTCATTAAATTCTCAGCCAAAGGAGATAGAACCTTTGAGTTTCCTTGCCCCCTAACTCCCCACCACTCTTTTTTTTTTTTTTTTTTTTTTTTTTGGACAAACCTCTTTATAACTTCAGCTTTGCAAACTTCCATTTTGGTTTCCTTAGACCAAACAGTGGACATTATTAAGGGTTTTGATACATATCCAGAAATTCTGAATCAATTAACTCTCACCAGGAGGTATGGGTGGGTTTATATCACTAAAACTATAAGCATATATTTGTGACTTAGCAAGCCACTTATTATTATTAAAATTATTATTAAAATTTGTGTCTTTTATTATAGGGAGGTAGAACTTCTTAAAATGTATTTATTGGGCACACAATCACTCTGTACCTTTGACTGTTACACTCTCCTCAACCTATTTTTCACACTTAGAGGCATCTGAATTAGCAACGCCCAAACCAACCTCCATCTGAGGAAAGCTCACATGTGCATGTTTTCTATGCATTTCTTCATGCAACATGGAAATGTCAACAGGGTGGCCCAGGGGTCCTTCAAGAATGAAACTCATTCAGCAGAACTGGAGGTCTACCAGGCCCGTTTGAGGCACCAGAGCCATGGCAGTGAACAGAGAGCCAAGGTCCTTGTCCCCCGGATGCCTACATTCCAGTAGGAAACATAATTTAAAAGTCAACAAATAGGATGATTTCAGCAGTAATAAAGAAATGAAGAAGCAAAACGTGGTATAGGAGAGAGTAGTTATGGGTAAGTGTGGAGCACTCAGGTCAGGTCTTTCTGAGAAGGGGACCTTTGGGCTAAGCCTCGAATGTCAAGAGGTATCAGATCTGGGAAAAGTATGTCGCTGGAAAAGAGAATGAAAATTGCACAAATTTGGCACATTTAAGCGTCAGAAAGGAGGCCAGGGTGTCTTAAAAATAGAGAAGGTGGAGAAGGGAAAATCGTAGAAAATTAGGTCTGAGATGTAGGAAGGGACCCGAAAAATTAGGACTTTGGGGGCCATCAAGAAGAATTTTGAATATATAATATATACCAAGCACTTCCAAATTTCTAATTTCATGCTCTTCTCAAAATCCTGGGAGTGGAGTATTGAGTATGACCACTTTATGTAGTTCCTGGCACAGATTAGGCTCTCAGTCAATATTTGTCAAGAGAAAGAATGAAAGAAGAAAAAGATAAAAATAAAAAAGAGTAAACTGAAACACAAGCCCAGAGCTCTCTCCTCTCTGAAACCCCACTGCTGGCTCTGAAGTTGACAGAGTAGTCGCCCAACTATCGAAAGGCATCTTCAGGCTCACTGAAATTGCAAAAGTTTCTTCATTCAAATTGCTATCCTGACAGCAATAATTCTGAGAGAAACAGAAGTCACAGAAAACACAAGATTTGATAGACTCTGAGTTAAATACAGCATAGCACCCCAAAGCATTCATTTGGTTAATGGTGGGTGGAACTATTTGAGCAAAACATTTTGTGCCTACAAGCAACTGCAGGTGCAGGCAGGGAAGCCTGCACGAATCTTTCACCAAATTTGGTCCCGAAAGTTCCCCAGAAGCTGGCACTGGTTCCCTTCCCTTGTAGTTCTTTTAATCCCTGCTTTGATGGCGGAAACATTGTGACAGCTGTGAATTTTTTTTGGCAAATGTATCCACTCAGGCCGATTTCCTGTTTTCTTTCCTCCTCAACAGATACTAGGAAACTTAGCAGACCTGTCTCTGAGTTTATTATTTCAAAGATTTAATAGATGAACACTCTGGTTTATAGAACAGAGACCAGAACTTCAAAAACCTCTATCGATTGTACCATTCATTCATTCGTCCCATTTTTTAGCATAATACACTGGGTTAGAGAGAGAAGATGAATACGATCTTTGCTTTCACAGAACTTACAGCTAATGTACAGGCAGTAATTAAGCTACAAGTGTGATAAAGGCTGTGAATAAAAAACTCAGGACGCTGAGGAAAAATGTAACGGGAGAAGTTAACTTCAGTGTAAAGATCAGAGAAGGCTTCCCCGGGGAAACAGATTTTGAACTGATTTTAAACAATAAATAGAAAATAACTATGGTTACCAGATTAGGATACTAGGAGATGGAGGGCATCCAAACAAAGGGACCTGTGGATCCTGGAGTGAGGAGGACATGCTGAGCTGGAGAAGTGAAAGAAGACCAGAGAGGCTGGAGCTTAGGAAACTAGGGAGAAGGCATAGGAGATAAAGGTCAAGAAAAGGCAGATCATCAGCCTACTGTAGGTCATGTTAGGGAATTGAAAGCTTCATCCAAGGTGCAATGGAATATCGGTTAGCTATCGCTGTATAACAAATCCTCCTCCCCCCACCATCTCAATGGGTTAAAGCAGCAATCAGTTATAAATCACATGTTTATGGATCAGCTAGGAATGACTGAACTAAGTTGTGCTCCCTTGGTCTTGGCTGTGCTCAGTTGAGTTTATCTGTGCTCACTTGATCTTGGCTGTGCTCGGTTGAGTTTATCTGTGCTCAGTTGATTTTGGCTGTGCTTGGTTCATCTTGGCTGTGCTCTCTCATGTGCCTGCAGGTCAGCTGGAGCTCTGCTCTAGGCTGGGTTTGGCTGCAGCATGTTGGCTGGGGAAGCTCTGGCTGGCTGGTCTAATCATCTTAGGACCAATGTACCCAAGCAAGTCCACTTTATGAAGACAGCAGAGGCAGGAATGCCAGGCAGAAGCATGCCAGGCTGCTGTCACTTCCATCTCATTTTATTGGCCAAAGCAAGTCACATGGTCAAGCTTAGCATCAAGAGGCAGGAAAATAGACTGTCACTTTAGTAAGAAGACCCGAGAAGTCACTTGGCAAAGGGTAAGAGTACAGAGAGAGAGAGAGATGAAGAATTGGGGCCATTAATATAATATATTATGCCATACATGAGAAGTCAATGCAAATTTTTAGGCTGGTGATTGACATGTCATCCAAGAAAATTCTCTACAGCACCAAACATCTCTTAGTGGGGCTTGAATACGGCTTTGTGATATATCCTACACTTACCTATCATTCTAAGGTCTGTCCCAGATTCATAGAATCACAGAATCTTCTTAATTCCTCCATTTTATGCTTTTAAAACCATCCTCTCTCCTCCATTACTGGTACTAAATGGTACTTTAGTTTCTATTCCTATCATCTCTTCCCCAGACTATCAAAAGCATCCCAACTAATATCCTTTCAGTATCTCCTCCTCCAACCCACTTCCACATTACCCCCAGAGTGGCTTTTGATCCTATCTCTCCCATAAGATAGGGTTCCCCCTTCTTGACTTGACATGCAGGCTTTTCTTAGAACAGCACCACATTTCCTCTCCATGAGCTCTGTCTCACGTGACCTGTGATCCAGACCTAACTGAGCCTCTCATCTTTCAGCTGTCTTCACTTGGGCATGTTTCTGTGCCCCTGCACACTTTTATTTCCTCCTGCTTTTCTATCTAGAATTTCTCTACCTCTAATTGTCTATCTGGAAAAGTGCTCATCTTTCAAGATCCAACTCAATGGTTACCTTTTGTTTATTATTCCTGCCCATCTTCCAGGGAAGAAGTATTAGCCGCCCTTATTTAGCACTAGCCGTTGTGTATGCAATTATTTGTATCCAATCCTGTCTCCTCTTACATGGTTGGGGATATACATACACTTGGCTGTGTAAGAGAAAAATCACGTATAGGAAGAAATTGAACAATGAGAACACTTGGACTCAGGAAGAGGAATATCACACACTGGGGCCTGTTGTGGGGTGGGGGGAGGGGGGCAGGGATAGCGTTAGGAGATTCACCTAATGTAAATGACGAGTTAATGGGTGCAGCACACCAACATGGCACATGTATACATAGGTAACAAACCTGCACATTGTGCACATGTACCCTAAAACTTAAAGTATAATAAATATATATATATAAAAAGAAAGTTTTAACATGTAATTTTATTTCTACTTATTTTTACAAGTATGCTTTAAAATTTGTATATCTTGTATATGGTTTTTAGTATATTAGTGAAGAAGTACAGGAATATAATTTATGAATAATAAATAGGAATACTTATTGAAGATACAAGCTCAAAAAATGTGTATAGATTGGTATTTGGAAACCACTGTTTTACACTGTTCTCGGTCGACAGGATATTTCATCTTTACCAAACCTATGGCTGAAATTCTCCCAAAAGCAGTGGCAGGGGAATTCCCACAAGGAAGTGCCCCAAACCATCTCAAGATAGCTCTGGTTGGGATTCCAAAGAAAAGAGCACTAAATGCCAGGGTGATTCGCCCAAAGCATTTATTAGGGGAATTTACAGAGTGGGCTGCTGGGTCCTCATGATGGACAGCAAGAGACAGATGTTCTATCTAGGTGTGTCTGCAGTTAGGAGTTGAGGTATGGAGCTTAGATGAAGGTTTGAGGCATTTGGATCAGGCCAGCGCCAGTTTCTTTCAGTGTTTTGGGCAACAATCTAGACATCTCTAACAGTGCCTGGGAATGTTCAAGACCTGAGATGGGATATGAACAGGCAGCTGGCCAGCTCACAAAGTGGTCAAGGCACTCTGTGTCTCTCCATTAGGACACAGGAAGTGGAGGGAACCAGGGAACCCTACATGGGACCTCAATATCAAAACCAAACCTGAACTCATTAAGTTTTAAATGGAAGCCCATAGCTTTAAAGTACAAGGAGACTTTTATTACAATGGGGAGCAAAGCTGTCAGCCAAATAGGCCTTCCTCCTCCCCGCCGAACCTCCTGCTACATACACAGAGGAAAGATTTCATAAAATATTGTAGTTTTCCTGGACTCCTGATAATAAATTAAACACTGGTTCTAGATGGGTCATAAATACATCTCTGCCAACTGTTGTGTATGAATCAAGGGTTTGTATTCCCTAGAACTAACATAAAATCATGCCTGGAGACGAATCCCAGGGAATGATTGACATATGTGCCTCTTGTCCTCATGATCTATCTTAGAGCATTTGTTTACATAGAGAAAGCCCATAGTCTCTACCTCTCTGGTATAAACTCAGCGTGGTTGGGAGGAAGAACCTGGATTTAAGTGATTGGCCATGCAAATAATCCTAATTTAAAAGACTTTCTTCTCATTTCCAGGTCAGTAGGTTGACGTCCTCTTTTATGGTTGCCAGAAACAGAAGTGCTCACTTAAGTGACCTTATCACTAGCACACAATGACTCTTACTACATTTAATAGCAAGAGCTGACTGCCCCAGAAACATAGATTGCTTCTAACAACAACAGTAATGGTTAAGCTTTTCTAGACATACACAGTGTCCTGGGCTCTCTCTTACTTGCATTATCACACTTACTCTGTACAATATCCCTGGCACAGATCCTTTCATTATTCCCACTTTGTAGATCAGAAAACTCAGAGCTTGGATGGCTTGTCCCAGGCTATACAACTAGTCAGTGGCTGAGGAAGAATTAACACCCAAGTGTGTCTCAACCTACCATGAACATTTTTAACCATCTTGCTACACTAGCTCTAAAAATAAATCAATTAATCCACATGAAGGGGCTGATGAAGGATTTTCAGAATTTTTCCCAGCTCTAAAATTCTAAAATAATATGAAAAATGTGAAATGTTATGCAATATATTCTGAAGTCAAAGAACAATGCCTTTGCGTAGCAGTCACGGTTTATGGAGCTTCATGCCTCAGCATCCCATCTAGTGAGCCTGATACCCAAGGTTACCCATATAGATCACATACCCCCAAGACAAACACTGCTGTGTCCCCGCCATCAGACCACTGGAAACCCTTCCAGAAAATAGAGTAATGACATTGGTTACAATGACGATCCAGGGCACATGTGACTTCCTGCTGTTTTCTCCTTGCCAGATGTGGAAACGAATGTCTTAATGCGGGGAAATGTTGGTAATTGCCAAAGATGACTATTGTAGCTTTTTTCAGAAATAAGGACTCATTTTTAGAAAAGAAAAAAATTAAAAAGATTGCATAATGGCTCAGTGGAAATTCACAAGCAGGCAGACAATACACACACACTGGATGCTTCTCTCTGCTGTAGAAAAGAATGAATTTCAGATTAAAGACTAGTTTTATTATGTTCCCAGATGGCAGGCCATCTTTATGGAGTTTAATTTTTTTAACAAATTGTGTATCGAATAAACGTCTCTAGAGAGTCTTTCATGAAAAATAGCAAAGCTAAGAAGTCTTGATGGAGTATTTAATGTAAAGGGAGTGGCATGAGCAAAGGTTATTCATTAGTAGCAGGGAAATGGAAAAATAAGAACTGATGAAGGTCATCGGCATGGGAATAGTTCCCCTCAACTTGCAGGATTCTGCACGAATCTGGGCCCTCTCCTTTCTCTCTGATCCCCCTTTTCTTGGCCACCTCCTGCTCTTGCTTCTCTCTCTTCCACCATGTGCCTCACCCAGGGGCTTCCTGAGATCGATTTGCTGTTCTTACTGCTCTCTGCTCTCCTTTGCAGGGATCCATATCACTGCCCTATTCCAGTTTTTATTGCCATATGAAATATAACCTATATGATTTATGGCATATATAGTTTGCTAGGGCTGCTATAACAAAATATGACAAATTAAGTGACTGAAAGAGCAGAAATTTATTTTCTCACAGTCCTGGAGGTTGGAAGTTCAAGCACAAAGTATCAGTACATTTGGTTTTTTTGAAGGTCTCTTCCTTGGCTTGCAGGTGGCTGTCCTCCGCCTCTGTCTTCACATGGCCTTTTCTCTATGCACCCATGGCCCTGGTGTCTCTTCTTATCAGGACACGAGTCCTATTAGATTGGGGCCCCAATCTATGCTAATTACTTCTTTAAAGACCTAGGCGGTGGAGGAAATGGAGAAGTGGTGGACAAGGAGTCTGAGTTCTGGAGCTTTATTGTCCCCCATAGTGGCTATAATAATCATGGTTAATAATAATACATTGTACACTTGAGAAGGGCTAAGACAGTAGATATTAAATGTTCTCACTGCACAAAATAATAACGATGTGAAGTGATGAATATGTTAATTAGATTGACCTAATCATTTCATGCTATATACATATATCAAAATATCACAGTACATGCAGTAAACATATACTACTTTTATTTGTCAGCTACTCCTTAATGAAGCCTGGGTCAGGGGGGACTTATCTCCAAATAGGTTATGTTCTCAGATACTGAGGGTTGGGGCTTCAGTATATGGATTTTGAGGGAATACAATTCAGCCGGAACATGGCACTGTCCTGCTTACCTGGAACTTCTGTTTTATGCTCTGGCCTCTTAGTTTCTGTCACTGAATATGTTCACATCACCTTATTTAACAAATTTATTCAGTTATTTAACAAGTGATATTTTGAGGAGTCTTTTTGTGGCTGCCATCATTTTAGATGTTGGGGATGCAGTGGTGAAGGAAGCAGATGGAAACCCCTGCCTTCATGAAATTGAATTCTAACAGTAAGAGGCAGACGAAATAATAGGTTTAAATTAAATGCATAATTTGTTAGATGGTAAAACATGCTTAGCAGGGAAGGAGGATAGGGAGGGCTGAGGCAAGAGTGGCAACCATAAAAATGATCATCAGTGAAGGTCTTGCAGAGAAGGTGAACTGATGGTGGCATCTGAATTAAGACTGAAGAAGGCGAGAGAACAAGATTTAGAATTGGGGTTTGAGATCTTTGCAAGAAAGGCAGGAGGGGATTTTTTTTTTAAGTGGGCAGTAGGATGCCTGATAGAAAGCTTAGCTGAGAACTTAATCTGGAGATACTAGTTCTCAAGTACAAGTTTTTACAGCCTCAAGTTCAACATGCCAAAATCTAACCTTGTCACCTGCAGAAACAGCCCAGTTTCTTTCATTCAATGACTCTTTGTGTGCCCAGCACCAAGTACCAGGCCGGGTCCAGGCCAGGTACACACTGTGTGCCTGTCGGATGAACAAGTGAGCCTCTGCTCTGGGCTCTAGGAAAACAAGGATAAATAAGAAAGAGCTCCTCCCTAAAGAAGCAAACACCTTCAGGGCAAAGACAGCATCTTAGACTGGATTCCCCCAGATGCAGTCCCTGAGTAACCAAGGGTTTGGGTGCAAGCCATTTATTTGGGAAGTGAAGAGAAATACTGGTAGGGGTGTGAGGGGGTGAGATAGGAAAGGTAGGCAGCCAATTAAAAACGGCATTATCAAGTCAGCTAGTGCTGTGGCTAACTGGAGCTTTATTAACCCGGGGAAACTCCAGGGGCCATAGAGTCACAGCTCAGAATTACCCAGCCCAAGGGTAGGGGAGTGGAGGCCTTGGCTGAGGCCTAATCCTGGAGGGCACTGGCGTCCTGACCTCCAATAGCAATAGAAAGTCCTCAGGTAGCTGGAAGGTGTGCACTGAGAGGAAAATTGGAGAGTGGGACGTGGGTGTGACACCGATGGTCTTGCACTCAAACCCTTATCTATGGGACTGTATCTGGGGGAATCCAGTCTCAGACCCACAAATGTGTGAAAAAGCAAATACAATGTAATGTGACAAGTTGCTGGCAGGGCTCATCTGCTATGGACCATATTGAGTTAGCCGTGGGACCTAACGTGTAACTTGGCTCAGCCTATATGTAAACAAACATTTGTTACATAAATGGACAAAGTGCTGCAGGAAATACAAAGGAGAGAACACTATTTCCCCAACACTTTTGCCACAGACACTGGCTAGTGCTTTCCCTTTCCCTTCTTTTCCCATGCAGACCACACCGCCCAGCCTCCTTTGCAGATAAATGGGGCCACGGGACTGAGTCCTGGTCAATGGGATGTGTTCAGAAGGGATGTCCCCACTTCCAGACCAGGCCCACTAAACCCTCCCAAGCACAATCCTCATGACTTCTCATCTTCTGGCTGATTGGAGCAATCTCTGAGGCCTAGAGGGGAACGCAGCCAGGAGATAGAAGGACACCCGGTCCCCAAGCTTGCTACTTGGAGGAGAACATTGTCATCAGGAACACTTGTGTTGAGTGCTTGTTGAAAAAGAAGTCAATCTATTTGGTTAGACCACTGAGCTTTAGGAACTGTTTGTTATAGCAGCTAGCCTACCCTCATCCTGTGGGTGCCCTGTATATATGTGTGAATGAATGCTGATGAGAACAGATTGTCCATTTCACTCTACTCAAAGTTGGCAGTGCTAGTAGAAATGCCTGAAGTTGTGCATCCCTGGCAATAGCAGAAGGGAGAGGTGAAATGACATGAATAACCAACTTCATTTCATTCCTAGGGTTGCCCAAGGCCAGCCCTGCTATCAGCCCTATAAGCAGAGCCTGTCTTATTTAAATTCCTCCTGCAGAAGTGTGTGCCTGTTTCCTTTTATCCTATTCCCAATATAAATGGAAAAAATTTTGGCCTCCTGCCTGCATAAAATTACCTCTCATGCACCTGACGGTTATTATTAAGTTACCTCCTTCACCTTTTCTCCCAAGTTCTCCTTTCATTTCGTAAGTCAATATGGAAACTAGCTTTGCAATTTCAGCCCCTTGGAAAATTAAGCAGCTTTGTAAAGAAGCAGCATTGTAGGAAAACCAGCAGCTGAGTCTGAGCCGATATGAAGTGCGCGGTTTCTTCCAGAACCAGCTAGCTGATCTTCCTTGCCTCCCTCTGGAAGAAGGGAGGCTGAGGCAGGCCACAGCCCAGAGATTTTTTTTTTTTTTTCTTTTTTTTTTTTTTTAGACAGAGTCTTGCTCTGTCGCCCAGGCTGGAGTGCAGTGGGCAATCTTGGCTCGCTACAAGCTCCGCCTCCCGGGTTCACGCCATTCTCCTGCCTCAGCCTCCCAAGTAGCTGGGACTACAGGAGCCCGCCACCACACCCAGCTAATTTTTTGTATATTTTTAGTAGAGACAGGGTTTCACTGTGTTAGCCAGGATGGTCTCGATCTCCTGACCTTGTGATCTGCCCGCCTCGGTCTACTAAAATGCTGAGATTACAGGTGTGAGCCACCACGCCCGGCCTAGCCCAGAGATTTCTAAGAGGAAGAATAGAGCTTAGAGAGGGAAGTATTGGGCACCGACTTTGGGCACCACTGCACTTTATACTCTTTTCATCTTACTTGATTCTGGCAACTACTCTGTGAGTAGGTATTATAATGGTCATTTAATAGATATGAAGACTGAGAAACAGACAGATGAAGTCACCTACAAAAAGGCACACAGCTAATATGGGAGTCACAATGGGAACCCAGTTCTCCTTATTTCCGCTATGACATTGTCTTGCTGCCTTGAGCTAGTTGCATACTGTTATGGATTGAGTTGTCCCCACAAAAGATACTAAAGTCCTGACTGTGAGTACCTGTAAATATGAGTACTCTGGAAATAGAGTATTACAGATGATCAAGATGAGGTCATTAAGGTAGACCTTAGTCCAAGGTAACTGGTGTCCTTATAAAAAGTAATTTGAGCCAGGTACAGTGGCTCAGGCCTATAATCCTAGCACTCTGGGAGGCCAAGGCAGGAGGACTGCTTGAGTCCAGGAGTATGAGACCAGCCTGGGCAACACAGGGAGACTCTGTGTATACCAAGAATAAAAAAAAATAGCCGGGCATGGTGGCACATGCCTGTGGTTTCAGCTACTCAGGAGGCTGAAGTGGGAGGATTGCTTGAGCCCTGGGATTTTGAGACTGCAGTGAGCTATGACTGCACCACTGCATGCCAGCCTAGGTGACAGAGCAAGGCCCTGCCTCAAAGAAGAGAGACAGAGAGAGAGAGAGAGAAGAAGGAAGGAAGGAGAAAAAGAAAGAAAGGAGAGAGAGAGAAAGAAAGAAAAAGATAGAAAGAAAAAAAGAAAGAAAGGGAAAGAGAGAAAGAAAGAGAGAGAGAGAGAGAAAGAAAGAGAAGGAGGGAGGGAGGGAGGGATGAATTTGGACAAAGACACACACAGCTAAAAGATGACGTGAAGACACAGGGAGAAGATGGTCATCTACAAGCCAAGGAATGCCTGCAGCTACCAGAAGCTAGGAGGGAGGCTTGGAACACACCCTTGCTCGCAGCTCCCAGAAGGAATCAACCCTGTTAGCAGCTTGATTTTGAATTGCTAACCTCCTGAACAATAAATCAATACATTTTTGTTGTTACAGCCACCCAGGTTGTGGCACTTTGTTATGGCAGATACAGGAAATGAATGCACTTCCCACAGTGGAGTCTCAAGTTTCTCATCTGTGTAGTGGAAAAAGGAACAATATCTCCTTTGGGAAGTTTTAAGGTCTGTTGAATGAAATGATACTGCACCACTTCCAGAAGAGCTCAATAAATAAAAGACGTTATTAGTAACCCTTATTCTGCAGGAAATACTCCCCCTTGGACATTGCAGAAAAAGCTACCACGTTTCTGCTTTGTTTTCTGTTTTTGTTTTCTTCTATCTTCAGGAGAACATTTTCTTACTCTCTGGGGCTGCCTAGTTTTCTATGGAATTTCTTTCATAATGTAGGATTAATGAACAAAATGAAGATAACATTATTTACCTGACAGATTCAGGCGAGAAATAAAACAAAGCATATATGTTAAGGTTTTTAGCAAAATGTCACATTCTGTTCAGCTGTGAAGGAACATGATTATCGGACCCCACATTCTGTGTTTTGCTGATGAAATGTTTATGACACCGTGACCCCAGTGTATGGCCTCAGAGCAGGTGTCACTCCACGAGACAAAGTCCAGCCACCAAAAATTATTTTCAATAGAACCCAAATTCTTTCCTTTGTCTCTCCAGTGCAGTGAAGCCCTCCTTTTCAGTCTTCTGAAGCTCTCCTTTCTAGTCCCACATTCTTTAAAACGAACCTCCTTCTGCCTTTTCCGCTGTTCCTCCCTCTCTCCCTTGCCTCCTTTCGTCCCCATCCACATATGTTTTCCTTTCCCTGTTCCCGTCATGTATAATAGAAGTTAAACAAGCCACCAGGCAAAGGTGGAAGCAGGGAGAATACTCCACCCTCTTTAGCAGCAGGAGGAAGAGGGGGAACACTGAGAACATTGGTGTGTTCATAATTTTTGTTCCATTACAAGGAATAGGTGGCTCTCAAGCTGCAAGGTAGGGCAAGGCTGTTTTGATGAAAGGAACAACGTTAAAAGCACAGTCAGTAAGATCTGAATTTCGATCCCAAATCTGACAGACGCCTACTGGGCATGGCGTTTAACTTCTGGGAACCTCTGCAAAGTGAGGATACAAGTGCACATTTCACAAGATAGGCAGAGGATCAAATGAGATAACAAGTGTAAATCACTCGTGGTATCTCACCATAGTAAACAAGAAAGACTCAGAGGATAGCAATGGAATGCAAATTTTTAGACGACACATGCACCCCCCAACTGCCCACAAGGAAAGAGGGAGTTTCCTTCACTCAATATTAAACAAAAATAAGTAGGCTTTACTCTGATTGAATCAATTTGGGTCACTTGCCCACATCTGGAACAAATACTGTTACTGGGAGGAAGCTTTGCCCTGGTTCCTGCCATCTCTGAGCCATCATTAAGACTGCCTTGGTCCAGTGAGGCTCCAGCCCTGGGGTGGGGGCGTGCTAATAGAGAAGGGGAGGAGCAGTAAACAGAATTCTCCCTACACTTCCCTCTGGTCAGTGAGGTGCCCCGGCCCTCCCTGTTTTCTTTTCATGGAGTGTGAGGAGGAGCACAGTGTTAATTCCAGATCTGAAAGGCTGTTTAGAAAGTTGTTTATCTAATCAGCTATTTACAAGCCAACAACCCAAAGAAACTGTTTCTTTCCCATCCAGATCTGGTAAGTCTTCCAAAGGAAGCTTCTCTGGGTCCCTAGGCCTTTCTCCACAGCTCAACCCTGTTCATGGCAGGCAGAAAACTCCCACCATGAGTGACAATAGAGACTCATATTTATAAACTACTTTGCAATTTGCAAAAGGCTTTCACATCTGCTATCCCACTTCATCAATGAGGGATGCTGGGGACGATGCTGGTTTGTGGATTTCAGAACCATATTGTACTAAGGATGGAAAGAAAGGACTCTGAGGAGGAGGTTCTGTGAGGCCAGGGTGGTTAAGGCTTGCAAGGAGTGTGGGGTTAGATAGTTATAAGGGACATTATAGTTTCTGTCTACCCACCAGCCATGTCTCCTTTTGCAAATGGACCCCATGTCTTCCTTCGGAGTATCCAGTATCCCCTACAGAATATAGCCTTGGGTCTTAGTAGTATTGTTAGCCAAGATGTGCATTCCTGCTGACTCCAAATGACCCCCCACCTATGAAAATCCATCTAGGTTCTCACCCTTTCTGGAATATGAATTTTGGTCAGAAACACAGCCAGAAAAGGGCATTCTGAAAATCCTTGAACTTGGCTCTGAAGGAGCCAGCTTTCCCCCTGAGCTTCCTGAGCTCAGGGGGAAATCAGATTCCATGAATAGGTGCTCGACATTGCACACGTAGTGGGCACTGAGCTAAATGGTCCCTGACTGTCTTCTTATGTTAAATATCAGCCAGGCAGAGATGCATAGTCCCATTAGTGACATGAATGGAAAACAGAATAAATACCTTGAGATATTAAATGACTTAACGACTATCACTCAGCCCATACGTGCAGTTCAACTTCAAGGCCAGGGCTCTCCCCTCACCAACATGACTGCCCTAGGCTTTGCTTTTCTAATACTATCTCCAATTCCTGCCTTCGTCTTACTAATTTCCACCCTCCCTGTGGCTCACAGCCCTCCCCATCCTGAAGGTGGGAACCATTGGTTTTTCATCCTCCACAGAGGAATAGTGTCAGACATACGGATGGAACTTGATCAACACTTCTCAAATAAATAAGCACGTACATACAGAATCAGTTGACTAAATATGTGAAGGGAATTCTGTTAAAAATATTTTAATTGATATCCACATATCATAAAACTCACCATTTGAAAACAGTTCAGTGGGTTTTAGTACATTTACAAGTTTGTGCAACCATTACCACTCTCTAATTCCAGAACATTTTTATTACTGTTGAATAGTAAGAGTTCTTTGTATATGCTGGATGTTAGACTCTTATCAGATACATATGTGCAAATATTTTTGTCCCATTATGTGGGTTGCCTTTTCACCTTGTGGATAGTGTTCTTTGGCACACACAAGTTTTTCATTTTGATGAGGTCCATTCACCCATTTTTGTTGTTGCTGTGTATGCTTTGGTGTTATAGGTAAGAAAACATTGCCTAGTCCAAGGTCACAAGGATTTACACATCTCTTCTAAGAGATGTATAACTGTAGCTCTTACATTTAGGTCTTTGATCCATTTGAGTTAATTTTTATATGGGGTGAAGTAAGAGTCCAACTTCACTCTTTTACATGTAGAAATGAGACTTGTCCCAGCAACATTTGTTGAAAAGACTATTCTTTACTTGTTGAATGGTCTTGGCACTCTGGGTAAACATCAATTGACCATAGATATATTGGCTTATGGCTTATGTCTAGAATCACAGTTCTATTAGGTTGATTTATATGCTTATCCTGTATCAGTTCCATACTGTTTGTAATACTTGAGCTTTGTATCATGTTTTGAAGTAAGAAAAAATTTCATTCTTTTTCAGGAGATTTTTGGCTCTTGCATTTCTACATGAACATTAGAATTATCTTGTTCATTTCTGGAAAAAAATAGTTAGAATTTCACAGGTATTTCATTGAATCTTCGGGTCAACATGGGGGAGTATTGCTATCTGAATAATATTAAGTCTTCCAGTTCATGAGCATGGGTCATCATTGCATTTATTTAGGTTTTCTTTAATTTCTTTCAATGATATTTAGTCATTCAGTAAACAAATCTTGTATTTCCTTTGTTAAATTTATTCCTAAGTATTTTATTTTTTAGTTATTACAAATGGAGTTGTTTTCTTAGTTTCATTATTGATTGTTCATTTCTAGTGTACAGAAATATAATTGATTTTTATACTGCTATTGTATCCTTCAAACTTGTCTATTAGCTCTAATAGTTTTCTATGGATTTTGTACAAATCGATGTAGTTTTACTTTTTCCTTACCAATCTGGATGCTTTTTATTGCTTTTTCTTGCCTGTTTTCCTGGTTAGAACTGCCAGTAAAATGTTGAATAGAAGTGGTGAGAGCACACATCCTTATTTTATTCCTGATCTTAGGAAGAACATTTTTAGTCTTTCACTATTAAATATGATATTAACTGGATTTTTCACAGATGTGTTCATTCATTATCTAATGAGATAATCATGTTGTTTTTGTCCTTTATTCTGTTAATTTGTCGTATTACATTGATTGTTTTTCATAAGTTGTACTAACCTTAAATTCCTGAAATAAATCTCACTCAGGCTAGTCATGGTGGCTCACGCCTATAATTCTAGCACTTTTAGAGGTCGAGGCAGGAGGATTGCTTGAGGCCAGGAGTTCAAGACCAGCGTAAGCAACATAGCAAGACCCCCCTGTCTCTACAAAAAATAAATACAAAATCTCAGTTATAATAGGAATCCTTTTTTGTATATCACAATCATTTTTGTATGCTGCTAGGTGCTGGCATTCAGTTTGCTAGCATTTTATTCAAGATTTTGCATCCGTATTCATAAGGGAGACAGGTCTGTGGTTTTCTTTCTTGTGATGTTTTTGTCCTCTCTTGGTATCAGCGTAATATTGGCCTCATAGAAAGAGGTAGGAAGTATTTCCTCCTTTTTCACACTTTGGAAGGACTGGTGTTAGTTCGTCTTTAAACATTTGGTAGAATTCACCAGTGAAGCCATCTGGTCCTGGACTTTTCTGTCTAGAAAGATTTTATAAAATTACTAACTCAGTCTCTTTAATTGTTATTGTTCTATTCAGATTTTCCATTTTATCTTGAGTCAGTTTTAGCAGTTTCTGTGTTTCTAGGAATGCTCTTATTTCATCTTATTTGTCTAATTTGTTAGCATAGCATTGTTTTTGGTATTATTTTATAATCTTTTTTCTGAGCACCGCTTTTGCTGCATACTATTTTTGTATGCTGTGTTTTCATTTTCGTTCACCTATAAGGGAAAATTTAATCCACTGAAGTTACTTACAAGATTAGATAAATGACTGCACGCCCCAAAGAGCCTAGCTTTTCCTAAACCAGTATTTCTATAACCACTTCTTGTAGAGCAGTTAAGTTTGGTACATTTACACTATAGAAGACAGGCTTATATAAAAGATTGAAGAAAATGTATACGTATTGATTTGGAAAAGTTTCCATAGTAAGATAAATGACAAAAGCAAGTTGTTCAACAGTTATGTAGAGTAAAACCTTGCTCTGGTTTTTGAAGGCTGTGTTATATATATTCTTGTGGAGTCACAGAAATTTCTAAAATGATATATAAAAAATTGACTAATGGTGTCTTTATTGGGAGTGAGAGTAGGTGATGAGAGATTGTACTTTGAAATAGAGTCTCATGAGCAGATATTACTTGTTTTTGTTATATTTTCTAAATAACTTAACCACACAAGTCAGATATAAAAATAGTTTTATTTAAAAAAAAAAAAGCAAAGGGGACAAACAGTGAATTGCCCATCCCAGTACTATTAGAGGCATAAACACAATAGCTAGGTTTGGCGAGAGCCCTTCCAGACACTTTAATAACTTCTGTAATAACGAAAAGAGTTCATAAACAGTAAAGTTATTTTCCCTGTGTTCCTTTCTTGAACTAGCTCATATAACTTCCAGTGTTACATCCCTCCAGCTGTTTCAGCACAATTTCAGTAGACATTTCTTTTTGTAGCAAAAGGAAAAAGGGGTTAACCTATTTCTGAATAGAAACATCCTTGCTAATTTTCGCCTGTTTTTTATAAGAGGATTTAAGAATGTTGCTCTCAGAGCATTTTGATGTGCTTCTCTCACTACGAAAGAGTTGAGAGACTCATCGGCTGACAGGCTCCATTAGAAAGGGTGTAAGGGCCTGGGTAAACATATCAGATTCCCTGTGAAGAAGACTTTGGGTTTATATAAATTGATCTATAAATTGGAGCATAGGACGGGCACCAAAGAACTGCCATTGAATGATATTTGCTGCCATACCAGAAAGCCTTTTAATACAAATATTACTGAACACTTCATACCTACCAAGCACTATTTTAAGTGCTTTACATGCATCAACTTATTTCGTCTTTACAACAACCCCATAAACTGGGCACTATTGTTATCTTTGTTTTTTCAGGTGAGGAAGCTGAACTGACTTTGGTGACATATATTCCCCAAGATCTGACAGCTGATGAGTGACAGAGCACGTATTCAAACCCAGGTCTGTACGGCTCTAGTCTCCTTGTTCTTTCTTAGACATTGCACTAACTACTTCTGGAGAGAATCAGAACGTAGATAAAGGATTGTGAGATTTAGCAAATAAAAATACAGGAAGCCAAGTTAAATTTGAAGTTCAGACAAATAACAAAAATGTAGTATAAATATGTGTCATGCAATATTTGGGACATACTTATACTGAAAAATGCCAATTGTTTATCTGAAATTCAAATTTAATTGAGTGTTCTATATTTTTAAATCTCACACAGACACTAGCCAAATTTCTTGGGGTTGGAGAATAATGTGGGATATTGGGATAAAAATTGGATTTTGTTGGCTGATGTCTACTACTTGCCCTGTTCTCTGCAGTTTTTTTTTTTTTTTTTTTTTGCAAAGAGAATAACACATATAAAGAACAATAGCAAAATGGAAAAAATATTATACTGTTTATTGAAAGTGGAACAGGCATCCTATATTCTCACCATTCTCCCCACCTCCCCACTTCCCTCTTTGAACCAAAAAAAAAAAAAAAAAAAAAATTAAAACAGAGCTTCACATTCTCCCTGAATTGGAGAACAAAGCTCAAGACTGAGGTATAAAGGGCTCCTGCATTCTTCCTGTTTTCAAATCTTGGGACCCTTAATAAGCCACTCTTGCAAGTAGGAGGGAAGTGGGCTTTAGGCCGGGTCAGAGGGAAGAGGGCTGGCTGGGACTGAATGGGTACTGAGCCCCTAATATACCTGTGCCCCACTGGAGAGATGCCAGCTGTCCTAGCCCCAAGAGGCAAGTCTTGCACAGGTGACTTTGACAGAGGGAGGTAGAAAGCAGAATAGCTTTTCTGACACTTGGTGGCCCTGATCCCTCCATTGGCCAACCATATTCCTGTAAAGGTCTTGATATCTGACCAAACTGGCCATTTTTCTTTCTTTGGAGTAGCTGGGGTAAGAAAAGGAAGGTAGATGGGTAGAATAGGGGAAGAATATAGGGTATTGGGTAGAACAGGTGGCATTTCTCTCTGTAAAACTTGCCACATCTTATCTGGTAATAAAGTTAATCTCTTACAACAGCATCATTTTTTACACTTTACAAAATACCTTCACTTTATCCTGTAAATTGGCTATTGATTTGTACTTAAAATAAATTAGTCTCTAATGTGGCAACTTTCCCACCAACACTTTAAAATGCTTGCCTTCTGGAATTAGCACCCTGTTAACCTGACCGTCTCTAAATGTTTTCTATCTTCAAAAATGATAATTGAATACCATTGCCAGCCATAATTATTTAGACAGCACTTTGCACATTAATATCTACTCAATTATCATTCCCTGCAGCTATAATCTTAACCCAAAATAAAGCTTTAAAAGTTGTATTTTCTCTCTCTTTAAAATTGGTTCTTTTTGTTGTTGTTCTTTCCTAATTTTCACCTTTCTTTACTCCAAGTGAATTCTTTAAAATCTGAGAGGGAATTTGGTAAGACCTTCCCCTAGCCTTCATGGAATGGAGTGGTTCATTTCCAAAAGCATGAGTGAAATGGAGATCACTACATATATTAAAGACATATGCACAATGCAGCTTTGAGAATGAGAATTCTTGGAAGGAAGGGGTGAAGGCTTTCCTTCCACCAAGATCAGAACTTGCTCTCTCACCTTGATATGGTTTGACTGTGTCCCCACCCAAATCCTCATCTTGAATTGTAGCTCCCATAATCCCCACATGTTGTGGGAGGGACCCAGTGGAAGGTAATTGAATCACGGAGGCCAGTTGTTCCCATGCTGTTCTCATGATGGTGACTAAGTCTCATGAGATCTGATGGTTTTATAAAGGGCAGCTCCCCTGTACAGGCTCTCTTGCTTGCGACCGTGTAAGATGTGACTTTGCTCCTCCTTTACCTTCTGCCATGATTGTGAGGCCTCCCCAGTCATATGAAACTATGAGTCTATTAAACCTCTTTTTCTTTCTAAATTACACAGTCTCAGGTATGTCTTTATTAGCAGCATGAGAACAGACTAATACACATCTGCTACTCCTATAGTCAGGAAAATAATCACTGATACGCAATAATTAACAGAGGTTGTGGAGCTTGCAAAACACAGAAGGGGCCAGAGGCCTGAGACTTATTAGGAAGAAGTAGCTTGGCCACAGGAGTATGTTGTGGGACAGGAGCAGAGAAAGAGGTGCAAATGATAGAATGAAAATACTTAATTAAAAAGACTGTTAAAAATGAGAACACATGGACGCAGGAAGGGGAACATCACACATCGGGGCCTGTTGTGGGGTGGGGGGAGGGGGAGGGATAGCATTTGGAGATATACCTAATGTTAAATGACAAGTTAATGGGTACAGCACACCAACATGGCACATGTGTACATATGTAACTAACCTGCACATTGTGCACATGTAGCCTAAAACTTAAAGTATAATAATAATGATAATTTTAAAAAAAGACTGTTAAAAAAGGGAGTAGGCAGAGAATGAGAGATCATACAGGGACTTTTCTGTGACGAGTGAGAGAACACGGTAACTGGACCCAAACCTACCTTTTTCAGTTTCCTCCCACCCAACTCTGTAACTGGTGCAGTTTCCTAAACCTTTCATTAAAATTTCATTGTAGGCCGGGCACCGTGGCTCACTCCTGTAATCCCAGCACTTTGGGAGGCTGAGGTGGGTGGATCACCTGAGGTCAGAAGTTCGAGACTAGCCTGGCCAACATGGCAAAACCCTGTCTCTACTAAAAAGACAAAACAAAACAAACACAAAAATTACCCAGGTATGGCAGGGCTTACCTGTAGTCCCAGCTACTCAGGAGGCTGAGGCAGGAGGATTGCTTGAACCCAGGAGGCGGAGGTTGCAGTGAACTGAGGTTGTGCCCCTGCACTCCAGCTTGGGTGATGGAGTGAGACTCTGTTTCAAAAATAAATAAATAAATAAATTTAATTGAAGTTCATTGTAAACAAGGAGTATTTGGTTTGAAGAAGATGGATGAGAAATACTTGCAACCAACCAGAGGCAATCCTTTTCTGTTTGTGTGGAAGCAATATGCCTTAATGTTGGGATGGTCAGGCTGTCTCTTGGGAAACTTATGCAAGAGTTTTCTGTAGGATTGTGGTGCCCAGTACGGTAGTCACTAGCCACGTGCGGCTATTCTTATTCTGCGCTTGAAATGTGCACAACATGGTCCAAAATGTGATGTGCTGTAATTATGTAATACACACTCAATTTTCAAGATTTACCTCAAAGAAAAGAATGTAAAGTATCTCATTAATAATTTTTATATGGATTACATGTTCAAATGTTAATGTTTTTGATATCCTAGGTTAAGTATTGTTAACATTAATTTCACCAGCTTCCTTTAACTTTTAGAAATGTGGCTCCTGGAAAATTTCAAGTTACATGTGTGCTCACATGTGTGGCTTGCTTTAGATTTCGGCTGCACAACACTGCTCCAGGGTATATGCCCAGATGTGAAATTCTTAGGTCATGTTTCATTTTAGTCAAGGTTGCCATAGGTGATAGATGACATACACTCCAATTGTCTTCAATTGAATTGAAGCAGTTCAGTGCAGGAACTATTTACAAGCATGACACAGGGTTGAGAACAACGAACAGGATGGTGAAGCATCCTAGGGTTCAAAGCAGCATGAGCTGTCAGCACCCTAAGACCGGAAGGAACAGTTCCCAGGACGTAGAGTGAGAACTGAGGAAGAGGGCTGTCAGACTGAAGTTGTGGTGGTTAGGAGAAGAACATAGCCACCAGCAAACTGCGCAGGCAAGGGAGCATGGAGCTGGGAGATGAATAAGTTGCCCTCACTCTCCTTCTGCCTTCAGATCTGCAGCCACAGTCAGCCAAATCCAGATATACGCATGAAGGCAGTTTGTGATGCACTGTGTGTGAGTCAGCCTCCCAGGCACAGAACAGTGGGAAGACAAGTGGAGAAGGGGTCCAGAAAGGCAAATGGAAAATAGCCAGCATATAAGGAGTGTACACTATCAACTTTGCTCCACAGTGTCAACTTGTGTTCCAAAGTGGTTGAACCAGTTTTACTGCCATTAGCATGGATAAGAGCACCTGTAGCTACTTAAAGTAGAAAAAAAAAAAAAAAAAAAGCACCTGTAGCTACACGTTGTTATCAGCATTTGGTATTGATTGAAGGCTATTTCTTTTAACTTTTTTCAATTCAGTGGATATAAAATAGCATATAGTTGACATTTCAATTTGCATTTCTCTGATTACTGATGATATTGAGTGCCTTCTCATACACATATTAGGGACCAGATCTTCCTCTTTAATGAAATATCTGTTCATGTCTCTTGCCTATTTTTCAATTGGATGTATTCTCTTTTCCTAATTGATTTGTTAGCATCCTTTACGTATAGCGCACATCAATCCTTTATTATTTATATGTTTCTTTCCATTTGTGGCTTTCGTTTTCACTTTATTGAAGTTTTTCTCAACAGAAGATCTTGGTTTTATTACAATAGGATTTGTTGCTCTTTTTCTTTATAGCTATGCTTTCAGTGTGTTATTTAATAATACTATATTAATTCCGAGGTCATAATGTGTTTTTTTCTAATACAAGTTGAATAGTGATAAATATAAAAACATATGGATAAGCAAGAGATGAAAAGAAAAGTTACCTATGGTCCCATTAACAGAAATAACCACTGGCATAATTTTTCTAAGTTCTAATTTCACATAAAAAATGATGTGGCATCCAAATAAGCCTCATGAAAAATCATCCATAGTTAAAATCACAGCCTTCCTAATAATCTCCTGCTAAAATTTCTAACCCTATAATAGAAATATTATCTATTAAATATTTTCTAGACTCTCTTACTTATGAAAATCTCTTCCTTTTGTTACTTGTTTTTCTTTTTCTCTAGTGGTAACTTAAATTTCCACTGCAAGTATGTCTCATTCTTTAGACAGAAAGAAGAAATGTTTGAGCTAAAGATGAGTCCAATAGAGAGAGTCAAATGTTGAGGTATGGCTTCAAGGAATCAGATAACAAAAGAGTCATCTGGAAAGCACCATATGGAGACACAGGCCAGGCCTTCTGCCCAACTCCCACACAGTTATCCAAAAGTAAGCTTGACATCATCTTGTTTATAGCAAAATGAAATATTTCTTTTTGCTGTTGAAGAAAATCTGTAAAGATCTTGACTACTCTAACTTGATTATGCAAATGTAATTTCACACTTTTTATTTTTTTTTTTTTGAGATGGAGTTTCACTCTTGTTGCCCAGGCTGGAGTGCAATGGTGTGATCTCAGCTCACCACAACCTCCACCTCCTAGGTTCAAGTGATTCTCCTGCCTCAGCCTCCCGAGTAGCTGGGATTACAGACATGTGCCACCATGCCCCGTAGAGACGGGGTTTGACCGTGTTGGTCAGGCTGGTCTCAAACTCCCGACCTCAGGAGATCCGCCTGCTTCGGCCTCCCAAAGTGCTGGGATTACAGGCGTGAGCCACCGCGCCTGCCAATTTCACACTCTTAACTACTGAAGTTGAAATGTGCACAATATGTGCCTCTCAGTGAGGCCGTATTTTATGAAATAGGTGTTTCAGTTATTTATTGCTACATAACAAGTTACTCCAAAATTTAGTGACTGAAAACAATTGTATTACTATCTGTAATAGTTTCTATGAGCCAGGAATTCAGTTAGTGCCCAGGTGAGGAGTCTGGCTCAAGGTCTCCCATACAGTTGCAGGTAGATGTATGAATGGGAATAGTGGATGGCTGAGGCAGCTGAGAGCTGACAGCTGGCATCTGTCTTCCTTCGTGTGTTCCCACGGCTTCCCATGTGTGAGCTAGTTTGGGCTTTTTCACAGCGTGATGATCTCAGGGCGGTTGGACCACTGTTTTATGGTAGTCAAAAGCTTCAAGAGTGAGTGTTCCAGTGACCAAAAGGAAAGTTGTGTGCCTTTAATCCTTCAACACCAGAAGTCATGTAGTTTCATTTCCACAATTAAACAGTTGCAGAAGCCTACATGTTTTCAAGGGGAAGGGACAGAGACTCTACTCCACAAAGAGCTGAGTATAAAAGAAATTGAGGATGTATTTTAAAACTACCAGAGTCTGCCCTCTAACCACAAATGATTTACATTCCTCCCACATGCAAAATACACTTACCTCCTCACAAGGCCCCCTCTCCCCAAGAAGTTTCATTCTGTTACAGCATTGGGCTTGGACTTTAGGTCTAGGATCTCATCATCTATATCAGGTCTGGGTGCAGATGAGGATCCTTAGATATGGTTCTTCTAAATCTAATCAGTGTTCTGCAGAGACAAGTTACTCACCCATAACATGCCAACATATGATGGTGGGACAGGCATAAGATAACCACATTAAGTACTTCCATTCACAAATGGAGCAAAAATGTGCACAGGATCCAGCAACCACACCAGCGCCCTGCCCTGCTGCTGCTGTGAGTGTTAGCACGGGTACCAGCAACACCCCCACCAGTGTTGCTTCCCAGAGTTGTGTGTGCACCCTGGTATGGCTTCTGGCATGTGCGAGTGAGCACAAATCCCACTGTCACCACACTGACGATGTGCTTCAGGTGGAAGCCCCTCATCAGAGTGTTGTGGCCGATGGACTGGGAACACCACAGCTCCTCTAGTGCAGCAGGTTCTTAACCTCATGGGGCCAGAGAACAAAACCAGGGGCCTGGTACAAACCACCCAAAGTTAGAGCACGCAGCCCGGGAGTGCTGGGCTGAGTCTTGGCCTGCTAAAATCTTCCAGAAATGAAGCCAGTTGACTGAACTCACTTTATACCACAATCAAACTCCCAAGGGCATCAGAGAAGATAAGAGAAAAAACTTCATCCAAAGGACAGCAACTTCAAAGACTGAAGGGGCATCATCCTTCAATCTGAAGGATGAGAAAGAATCTGTACAAGAACACTGACAACTCAAAAGGCCAGAGGTGTTTTCTCACCTCCAAACAACCACACTAGTTGCCCAGCAATGGTTCTGAACCAGGCTGAAATGACTGAAATGACAGATATAGAACTCAGAATATGAATGAAAATAAAGATCATTGACATCCAGGAGAAAGTTGAAACCCAATCCAAGGAATCTAAGGAATACAATAAAATAATACAAGAGACAAAAGACAAAATGGCCATTTTAAGAAAGAACCAGACTGATCTGTTAGAGCTGAAAAACTCACTTCAAAAATTTCGTAATGCAATTGAAAGTATTAATAGCAGAACAGAACAAGAACAAGCTGAGGAAGAAATCTCAGAGCTCAAAGGCTGATTCTCCTAAGTAACTCAATCAGACAAAAATAAAAAAGAATAAAGAAGAATAAACAAACCTCCAAAAATTATGGGATTATGTAAAGAGACCAAATCTGTGACTTGGCATCCCTGAAAGACAGGAACAGAAAGCAAGCAACTTAGAAAATACACTGAGGAGATTGTCCAAGAAAATTTCCCCAACCTTGCTAGAGAGGCCAAAATTGAAATTCAGGAAATGCATAGAACCCCTGTGAGATACTATACAAGACAACCACCCCCAAGACACAATCATCAGATTCTCCAAGGTCAAAATGAAAGAAAAAAAATTTTACAGCCAGATAGAGATAAGGGGCGGGTAATCTATAAAGGAAACTCCACTGGGCTAACAGTGGACCTTTTAGCAGAAACCCTACAAGCCAGAAGAGATTGGGGACCTATATTCAACATCCTTAAAGAAAAGAAATCCCAACCAAGAATTTTCATATCCAGCCAAACAAAGCTTCATAAGTGAAGGAGAAAAAAGATCCTTTTTAGACAAGCTAATGCTGAAGGAATTTGTTACCACCAGACCCGCCTTACAAGAGGTCCTGAAGGAAATGCCAAATAAGAAGAGGAAAGACCATTGCTGGATGCTACAAAAACACACTTAAATACATAGACCATTGACACTATAAAGCAACTACACAATCAAGTCTGCATAATAACCAGCTAACAATATGATGACATGATCAAATATGCAAATATCAATATTGACCTTAAATGTAAATGTCCTAAATGCCTCAATTAGAAGGCACAGGGTGGCAAGTTAGATAAAAAATCAAAGCCCAACTATATACTGTCATCAAGAGACCCATCTCACAAGCAATGACACCATAGACTCACAGTCAAGGGATGGAGAAAAATCTACCAAGCAAATGGAAAACAGAAAAAAAGCAGAGGTTGCTATTCTAATTTCAGACAAAACAGGTTTTAACCCAACAATGATTAAAAACAAACAAAAAAAGAAGGACATTACATAATGGTAAAAGGTTCAATTCAACAAGAAGACCTAACTATCTTAATTATATATGCACCCAACACAGGAGAACCTAGATTCATAAAGCAAGTTCTTAAAGACCTGTCAATAGATTTAGATAACCAAACAATACTAGTGGGAGACTTCAACACCCCACTGACATATTAGACAGATCACTGGGGCAGAAAACTAACAAAGTATTCAGGACCTGCACTCGACACTTGACCAAATGGACCTGACAGACATCTACAGAACTCTCCATCCCAAAACAACTGAATATACACTCTTCTCATTGGTACATACTCTAAAATTGACCACACAGTTGGCCATAAAACAATTCTCAGCAAATTCAAAAAATCAAAATCATAGCAACCACATTCTTGGGCTGCAGCACAATAAAAATAGAAATTAACATTGAGAAAATTGCTGAAAACCATACAATTGCATGGAAATTACAACCTGTTCCTGAATGACTTTGGGTAAGTGATAAAATTAAGGCAGAAATCAATAAATTATTTGAAAGTAATGAGAACAAAGCTACAACATAACAATATCTCTGGGACACAGCTAAAGCCATGTTAAGAGGAAAGCTTATAGTGCTAAATGCCTACCTCAAAAAGTTAAAAGGATTTCAAATTAACAACCTAATATCACACCTTTAAAAAAAAAAAAAAAAAAGCAAGAGGAAACCAACCCCAAAGCTAGCAGAAGGCAAGAAATAACTAAAATGAGGACTGAAGTGAATGAAATTGAGATATGAAAAAACATACAGAAAATCAACAATTCTAGGAGTTGATTTTTGAAAGAATAAATAAGATTGATAGACCACCAGCTACACTAATAAAGAAAAAAAGAGAAGACCCAAATAAGCACAATCAGCAATGACAAAAAGGACATTACCACTGACTCCACAGAAATACAAAAAACCCTCAGACACTATTATGAACATCTCCATGCACACAAACTAGAAAACTTAGAAGAAATGAATAAATTCCTGAAAACATGCAACATACCAAGATTGGACCAGGAAGAAATTGAAACCCTGAACAGACCACTAACGAGTTCCAAAATTGAATTAGTAATAATAATAATAAAAAAAAACCTACCAACCAGAAAAAGCCGAGGACCAGAGAGATTCACAGCTGAATTCTACTGGGTGTGTAAAGAATTGCTGGTACCAATTCTTCAGAAACTATTCCAAAAAGTAGAGGAAGAGGGACTGTTTCCTCACTGATTCTATGAGGCCAGCATCATCCAGATATCAAAACCTGGCAGAGACACAACAAAAAAAAACAAAAAAACTTTAAGCCAATATCTTTGATGAATACAGATACAAAAATTCTCAACAAAATACTAGCAAACTGAATCCAGCAGCACATCAAAAAGCTAACTCGTCAAAATCAAGTAGGCTTTATGCCTGGAATGCAAGGTTGGTTTAACAGGTGCAACTCAATAAATGTGATTCATCACGTAAATGGAACTAAAAACAAAAAACATATGATCATCTCAATAGATACAGGAAAAGCTTTTGATAAAATTCAACATACTATTATGTTAAAAACCTTCAACAAACCAGGCATCAGAGGAATATACCTCAAAATAATAAGAGCCATGTATGACAACTCACAGTTAACATCATACCAAATAGGCAAAACCGGGACTCATTTCCTCTGAGAACCAGAAAAAGCAAGGATGCCCACTGTCATCACTCCTATTCAACATAGTAGCAGAAGTCCTAACCAGAAAAATAGGGCAATGGAAAGAAATAAAAGCCACCCAAATAGGAAGAGAGAAAGTCAAACTATGTCTATTTGCAAATGATGTGATTTTATACCTAGAAACCCCATAGTCTATGTCTAAAAGCTCCTTGACCTGATAACCAACTTTGGCAAAGTTTCAGCATACAAAATCAATGTACAAAAATCAGTAGCATTTCTATACACCAACTATTTCAAAGCTGAGAGCCAAAGCAAGAACACAATCCCATTCACAATCACCACAGAGAAAAAATAAAATACCTAGGAATACAGCTAAATAGGAAGGTGAAAGATCTCTACAATGAGAATTACAAAACACTGCTCAAAGAAATGAGGTGACACAAACAGGGATAAACATTCCATGCTCATGGATAGGAAGAATTAATATTGTTAAAACATCCATATTGCCCAAAGCAATTTGCAGATTTAATGCTATTCCTATGAAACTACCAATGACATTTTTCACAGAATTAGAAAATCTATTCTAAAATTTATCTGGAATAAAAAAGAAAAGCTTAAATAGCCAATGCTAGGAAAAAAGAACAAAGTTGGAGGCTTTACATTACCCAACTTGAAATTATACTACAAGGCTACAGTAACCAAAACAGCATGGTACTAGTACAAAAACAGATACATAGACCAATGGGACAGAATAGAGAGTTCAGAGATAAAGTCACATACCTACAACCATCAGATCTTTGGCAAGGTGAACAAAAACAAGCAATGGGGAAAGCATTTTCTATTCAGTGAATGGTTGTGGGATAACCAGCTAGCCAGATGCAAAAGATTGAAACTGGGTCCCTTCATTTCACCATATACAAAAATCAACTTAAGATAGATTAAAGATTTAAATGGAATACCTAAAACTTTAAAACCTCTAGAAGAAAACATAGGAAATATGATTTTGGACATAGGCCCTGGCAAAGATTTTATGACGAAGATGTCAAAAGCAATTGCAAGAAAAATAAAAATTGACAAATGTGATCTAACTAAACTAAAGAGCTTCTTTACAACAAAAGAAACTATCAATAGGGTAAACAGATAACCTACAGAATGGGAGAAAACATTTGTAAACTGTAGCCAATCAAAAAATAACAGATGCTGCTGAGGTTGCAGAGAAGAGACTGCTTATATAGTGCCAGTGGGAATGTAAATTAGTTCAGCCAACATGGAAAGCAGTTTGGTGATTTAAAAAAAAAAAATGTGAAACAGAACTACCATTTGACCAGCAATGCCATTATTGGGTATATATCCAAAGGGATATGAATAATTCTACTATAAAGACACATTCACATGTATGTTCATCACAGCACCATTTATAATAGTGAAGACATGGAATCAATCTAAATTTCCAACAACAGTAGACTGGATAAAAAAGGTGTGGTACATACACACAATGGAATACTACACAGTCATAAAAAAGAAAAAGATCATGCCCTTTAAAGCAACATGGATGGAGCTGGAGGTCATTATTCTAAGCCAACTAACACAGGAACAGGGAACCAAATACTAAACGTTCTCACTTATAAGTCGGAGCTAAATATTGAGTACACATGTACACAAATAAGGGAATAAGAAACACTGGGGCCTACTTGAGGGTGGAGGGTAAGTAGAGGGCGAGGATCAAAAAACTACCTATCAGGTACTATACTTATTGCCTGGGTGATGAAATAATCTGTACACCAAAGTCCAGTGACACACAATTTACCTGTAAAACCTACACATGTATGCTGAACCCAAAATAAATATTTAAAAAAACAAAAAACGCAAAAATGGGGCAAACTGAAATCTGTAGCATTTCTAAATTCCAGCCAGGCACATGTTTCCAGCTTATTGAGTAGGACTCAGTCCTACTCCCTGGGAGTCATTCTCCACTCCTCTTGGCTTTGCCCACTGGGCTCTTTGTTCTACTAAGTTTTCTTTCCTTTTCCATAGGATGTGACTTATGTTTTCAGCCTGCTTCCTACCCTTAAAAGGTTAGGGAGCCAAGTACCTCTTATCTTTTTGTACTGTCTCTGTCCCTTTCATTCCAAGATGATGTAAGTCCTTTAAAAACGTTGTGCGTTTCCTATGTATCAATGTACAAAACCATTCCATTAGATAGATGACACCACACCCACAAATTTCCCCTAGAAATGTGTTTACTGATTTGGGGCTTCCTCTGAGGTAATGGTAGGATAATTTCCCTAAAAATTTTAGAAAGTCTATCTTTTAACAAAAGGGATTTGAAAGTCATCCCCATAAGATCTTTAGAACAGTATTTGTCTACCTGAAGAAGTCTCTAAGACACCACTTAAATTTTTCTGAGATGCTAACAAAGAGTTTCATAGTCATACTCTTAGCTTCATCTTTACTCTCAGACCGCATTTTGCTAACAGCACCCTCTATTTCATCTTTTCCCTGAGGTCTTTTGTTTCAAAATCTACCAAAAATCTGAAGTGCTTATTCTTTGGTTAATCTCTATCCTTTTACATTTTACTACAGGAAGCTAGCAGCCAGATTTAACCTTTGACATACTGCCCAACAGTCTTCCTCACCAAGTTTATTGAATACATTTTCTATCTTCCACATTACCTCAGGGCACAGTGTTGCTGAAGTTTTCACTTCTTTATAACAAAGGTCTGCTTTCCTCCAGCTTCTAACTCTCTCCTTCTCTCATTTAACTCTTCACTGACAGCCTCCTCAAGCCCTGTCAGGCTTCTGCTAAGATTCCCCTTGAGGCTCTTTCAATGTCTCCTTCCCCCACCCAGTCCCAAAGGCAGAACCAAGGCAGCAGCCCACTTCCAGGTAAAAAATTCTGTTCCTATTATCTCTTGATGTGCAATAAATCACCACCAAAACAAGTGGCTTACAACGGCAACAATTATTTTAATTTTTCTCATAGACCCTGTGGGTCAGGAATTAGAAAAAGGTCAGCTGGGCATTTCTGGCTGAGTATCACATGCAGTTATAGTCAGATGGTGATTAGCCTCGGAAAGCAGGGTATGAAGCATGAAGCAGTTGGGGCTGGTTGGATTTCTCTCTCTCTCTCTCTCTCCACTAGTTTCAGGATTTCTCTGTGTGGTCTCTCTCTGTGGGCTAGTTTAGACTTCCTCACACCATGGTGGTCTCATGGTGTTTGGACTGCTTACATAACAGCTAAAATCCTCAAAAATAAATGTTTCAGTGAGCAAGGTGGAGGTTGCATCACCTTCTGTAATCCAGTATCAAAAGTCATATAACTTTTACTATATCCTTTTTTTTTTTTTTTTGAGATGGAGTCTCTCTCTGTCACCCAGGCTAGAGTGCAATGGCGTGATCTCAGCTCACTGCAACCTCCGCCTCCTGGGTTCAAGCGGTTCTCCTGCCTCAGCCTTCTGAGTAGCTGGGATTACAGGCACCCACCACCACACCCCGCTAATTTTTGTATTTTTAGTAGAGACGGGATTTCACCATATTGGTCAGGCTGGTCTCGAAATCCTGACCTCAGGTGATCCTCCCGCCTTGGCCTCCCAAAGTGCTGAGATTACAGGCATGAGCCACCGTGCCCAGCCTTATATTCTGTTGATTGAAGCAGTCATGCAAGCCTTCCCAGTTTCAGGGGAAGGAACACAGACTCTACCACTTTATAGAAGAAATGTCAAAGAATTTGTGGACCTATGTAAAAACTGCCACAAACAAGCATTTGTTGGGTACCTGCTATGGGGGAAGCATCCATAAATGAATCGGGTAAAACCTTCCTCGAGGTGCTGACTCCTCCTTGAGGACCTTAGTTAGGAAGATAAAGAGGTAAAGCAGAACACTGCAATAGAGAAATATAAGTATTTTAAGAGAGGCGTAAAAATGCTGTGGGAAAACAGAGTGGGGAGAAAGTAATACCACAACAAATACAGTTTGGGAGGTATCTTGGAGGAGATAACATTTTAGCTGACCTGTGAAGGGCCAGCAAGAATTCTCCACCCAGGTGGAGACCAAAATTCATTGCAAGATAGAAATAGCGTAGAGGTGTGAAACCCCTTAGTGGTCTTTTTTTCTGGTTGATTGATGATGACGTTTACCAAGATGAGAAATGCAGGAAAAATTGCAATGAGTCTCGCTCAAGACTTGTTGGCATTTTCAGGTTTTCATAAGATATCTGGGGGTGGCAGAGATCAATGGGATCCCTGGGTCCCCCAGCAAACAACCTGTTGGTAGGCTCCCTCTTTATCCTTTTCTTCAACAGTTTCTTAATTGCTCCTGGAGAAGAGTCAATAGCTCCAGGGGGAGGGCCTTCCTCCACTTGAGCTGCCTCAGGTGCTTGCTTCCAGCTGCTCTAGCAGTTGCAGTCCATGTTATGAATGGATACTGTAGAAATATGTCCTTAGTATGACTTCCAAGCTCACCTGAGATGCTCAACCCAGCCTGAGAAACACACATTTTACCCTAGAGTAGCTGGAAATATGTGCCCCAGGGAAACAATAGGTCCAACCTGTGCACTTGACCATCTAATTTACTGCCTTGTCATGACTTGTCCTGTGTCTTGTTAGATCAACTGCTCCAGGGTTTGCAATTGATCTCTAGCGATCTCTTCAAGATCAACTTCTCCAGAGTTTGCAAACTGGTGGCATGCAGGTTGAAACTGGCTTGTAGCAAACGTTTATTTAAAGATGCAATTAGTTGACGACATTAAAAAATCAGGAGATTTTACTTAAAGTGTCTGAATTTCAGCTTCTTTTGAAAAATAACTTTTACCACCAGGCATAAATTTCCATGTGACAATAGTCAACTATTGCTTAGTCGTAACTGTGCCCCCAATTTCTCAGGTATTGGGAAGAATAAGGGGAAACATTCTCATCCCCCACTGCTAAATTAATAAAGATAACTTGGAGGACCATTTGAAAACATATATTTAAATTTGAAATTTACAAGATTTGACCTGGCAATTATATGTCAAAGTAAAGTCAAAGTTATAGAAATACTCAAATGTGAGCCTGAAGTTGATAAGTTAAAATAAGCCAAGCACAGAAGGACAAATACCGCATGATCGCACTCATATGTGGAATCTAAAAAAGTTGATCTCTTAAAAGTAGAAAGTAGAAGAGTAGTTACCAGAGGCTGGGAAGGATAAGGGAAAAAGAAGAATGGATGGAGATTGGTCAACAGACACAAAGTTACAGTTAGATAGGAGGTATAAGTTCTGCTCTTCTATTGCAGAGTGGGGTGACTAGAGTTAACAGTAATGTGTGTATATTTCAAAATAGCTAGAAGAGGGGATTTTGAATGTTCTTACCACAAAGAAATGACAAGTGTTTGAGGTGATGGATATGCTAATTACCCAAATTTGATTGGTATACAATCTATACATATGTAAAAACATCACACTGTACCCTGTAAATATGTGCCGATAAATTATTATGTGCCAATAGAAACAAAATAAAACTTTAAAAAAAACATAACAGCATAGTGCTGGCATAAAAACATGTAATCAGTGGAACAGAACAAAGAGCCTAGAGATAAATCCACACATTTATGGTTAATTTTCAACAAAGGTGCCAAGAACACAATAGACCACATCTTCAATAAATGGTGTTGGGAAAACGGTATGTCCACATTTCAAATAATGAAATTAGGCCCTCCTCTCACACCATATACAAAAATCAACTCAAAATGGAATAAAGACTTAAATATAAGATCTGAAACTGTAAAACTACTAAAAGAAAATATAGGGGAACAGCTCTATGATATTGGCCCGGGCAATAATTTTTTGAATATGAACCTAAAACCATAGGCAACAAAAGCAAAAGTTTACACATGGGACTACATCAAACTAAAAAACTTCTGCCCAGAAAAGGAAACAATTGACAAAGCGAAGAGATGCCTATAGAATGGGAGAAAATATTTGTGAACCATACATCTGATAAGGGGTTAATTTTCAAAATAAATAAGGAGCTCAAACAACTCAATAGGAAGAAAACAAACAACAAAATTTAAAAATGGGCAAATGGCCTGAATAGGCTGGGTGCGGCGGCTCACGCCTGTAATCCCAGCACTTTGGGAGAACAAGGCAGGTGGTTCACGAGGTCAGGAGTTCGAGACCAGCCTGGCCAACATGATGAAATCCCGTCTGCACTAAAGATACAAAAGATTAGCAGGGCATGGTGGTGCAAGCCTGTAATCCCAGCTACTCAGGAGGCTGAGGCATGAGAATCGCTTGAACCCAGGAGGCGGAGGTTGCAGTGAGCCAAGATCACACCATTGCACTCCAGCCTGGGTGACTGGGCGAGACTCCATCTCAAAAAAAAAAAAAAAAAATAGACATTACTCAGAAGAAGATTTACAAATTTCCAACTGGCATATGAAAAAAAAAGCCAATTCTCTAATCATCAGGGAAATGCAAATTAAAACCACAATCATATATCACTTCATATCTGTTACAATGATTATCATAAAAGAGATGAAAGGTAACATCCTGGTGAGGATGTAGGAGAAAGGAAACCCTTGTACGCTATTGGTGGGAATGTAAATTAGTACCCCCATTATGGAAAATAGTGTGGAGGTTCTTCAAAAAATTAAAAATAGAACTACCATATGATCTAGGACCCCTCCCCGCCACCGACTAGTTATATATCTAAAGGACATGGAATTCGTATCTTGAAGAGATGTCTGTACTCTCATGTTCATTGTAGCACTGTTCACAATAGCCAAGATATGGAATCAACCTGTGTCCATCAACAGATAAATGGATGAAGAAATTGTGGTACATACACACAATGGAATATTATTCAGCCTTTAAAAAGAAATAAATCCTGTCATTTGCAGCCACAAGGATGAACCTGGAGGACGTTACATTAAGTGAAATAAGCCAGACACAGAAAGACAAATACTACACGATCTCACTTATTTGTGGAATTTAAAACAGTTGAACTCATAGAAGCGGAGGATAGAATGGTGTTTACCAGGGGCTAGTGGTGGAGGCATGGTGGAGATTGGAGAGATGTTAGTCAAAGAATACAAAATGTCAGTTAGGCAGGAGGAATACATTCAAGAGATCTATTGAATATAGATGCATATACATAGTTTACTATAGTAGCTATATTGAACTACAACATAATACAATGCAATGTATTGTATTCTTGAAAACTGCTGAGTAGATTTTATTTTTTATTAGAAGATTTTAATGTGTTTAGTATCACAAAATTTATTAAAATGTTTCTACAGAATTAACACAAAGAAGTCATTAGTAAATTTCGTACTGGGAAAAATAAATCTGCTTATGGCTACCACAGTGGCAGAAGAAGGTCTGGATATTAAAGAATGTAATATTGTTATGCATTATGGTCTCGTCACCAGTGAAATAGCCATGGTCCAGGTACATTCAAATACCTCTACTTACTATGTTAATTTTTATTTGTGTGTTCCTATTTTAATTGCTTTCTTTTAGTTAAACAGCACGAAACATCCCTTTAGTTTTAAAAACAAAGCCATTTTCCTGTTAAAAGAGCATTTTTTAAATTTTATTTTTTTCTTCTTTTTTTAAATTATACTTTAAGTTCAGGGATACATGTGCAGAACGTGCAGGTTTGTTACATAGGTATACGTGTGCCATGGTGGTTTGCTGCACCTGTCAATCTGTCAACTGCATTAGGTATTTCTCCCAGTGCTACCCCCACCAGCCCCCGCCCCACTACAGGCCCCAGTATGTGATGTTCCCCTCTCTGTGTCCATGCGTTCTCATTGTTCAGCTCCCACTTATGAGGGAGAACATGTGTTTGGTTTTCTGTTCCTGTGTTAGTTTGCTGAGAATGATGGTTTCCAGCTTCATCCATGTCCCCATAGAGAACATGAACTCATTCTTTTTTATGGCTACACAGTATTCCATGGTGTATATGTACCACATTTTCTTTTTCCAGTCTATCATTGATGGACATGATCTCATTCTTTTTTATGGCTGCATAGTATTCCATGGTGTATATGTACCACATTTTCTTTTTCCAGTCTATCACTGATGGACATTTGGGTTGGTTCCAAGTCTTTGCCACTGTGAACAGCACTGCAACAAACATACGTGTGCATGTGTTTTTATAGTAGAATGATTTACAATCCTTTGGGTATATACCCAGTAATGGGATTGCTGGGTCACATGGAGATTTTAAGTGTCCTCACTGCAAAAAATAAAATGTAAGTATGTGAGGTAATGTACATGTTAATTAGCTTTATTTAGCTATTCCATTATGTATACATATTTCAAAACATAAATACTGTACATGATAAATACAAACAATTTTTATTTGTCAATCTTAAAAAATTAAATACTTGGGTTTTGGACAAAAAAATACTTAAATGTGAATACAACATTGGGTTACATTGTGATATTATTTGTAATTAAGAAAAATGAAAACAACCTACACTTCTCTTTTTTTTAAATTTTTTTTGTAAAGTAAGAGCAAGTTTATTAAGAAAGTAAATGAATTGGCCAGGCGCTGTGGCTCACGTCTGTAATCCCAGCACTTTGGGAGGCCGAGGCAAGCGGATCATGAGGTCAGGAGTTCGAGACCAGCCTGACCAACATGGTGAAACCCCATCTCTACTAAAAATACAAAAATTAGCCAGGCGTGGTGGCGCCTGCCTGTAATCCCAGCTACTCGGGAGGCGGAGGCAGGAGAATCACTTGAACCCAGGAGGTGGAGGTTGCAGTGAGCCGAGATTGCGCCATTGCACTCCAGCCTGGGTGACAGAGCAAGACTTCATCAAAAAAAAAAAAAAAAGTCAATGAATTATAAAATGCCTACTCCATAGGCAGAGTAGCCACAACCTACATTTCTATCTACAAGGAACCGGAAAAATCAATTAAGATGTATATGTCAATTCCGTTAAATATTATGTAGCCATGGGGGGAAGAGGAAGGGGGCAGGTGAGGTGGTTGGTATTAACTGACAATTAAAGGTTCCTAAAATCCATTAAACATTTTTAAAAGCAAATCATGGGATAATATGTATAGTATTATCTGATTTGAGCTAAAATAAAAACTGTACTAGCAAACAGTATAGCAAATGGCAAAAAGCAGAGGGCCTTGGGTTTAGACAGCTTGGTGCTGTTGAGCTCCCCAAATATCACTGGACAACCCATTTATAAAGCAAAGTTACATTTATTAGAACCCTATGCAGTAAAGGAGAATCTGTCTTGACAGAGTCTTAGTCATGTCTCAGAGCCCAGAGTCAGAAGCAGCATAGTTACAGGACCCTATAGGGTCTGGGCTCAAATGATCTAAGGCATTTTTCCAAGATAAGATTGACTTGGATTGGGCAGTTTGTAATCCAATCATTCAGGACTGGTGGGCACAGGAAGGCAGGAGTGGTGAAGTGAGGCTTGATGGGTAGACTGTTGTTTGGCAAACACTTTAATGTCTTCAATAAATCGATCCACAGAAATGTCCTGATGAAATAATAAAGTTACTCATTGGTTTACAGTCTCATCCGAGGGGAAAGTTGTTTAGAAGAACAACCAGAGTCATGCTGACATAGGTGGCCCCGATCTTCTCTTCCCTGCAGCAAAGCTCCAACGACACAGATGGACTGGGTTCTCCGTGCAAACCCCAGCTCCACCATTTTCTAGCTGCGTGAATTTGGGCAATTTATTTAAAGTTTCTTTACATGTAAATTATGATCGATGATAGTAGTAGCAACCTTAGAAGGTTGTGGTGAAGATTCAATGATTCCAGTACCGAGGATATAGAAAGCTCTCAGGAGATGTTAACAATTTTGATCACATCTGGATATATATGAATAGGAAAAGGGCTCAAAAAGGGTTTCACAACATTGGCACTATAGCCATTTGGGGTCAGATAATGCTGCATTGTGGGGGCTGTCCTGTGCATTGCAGGATGCTTTGTAGCTTCTCTGGCCTCTACCCACTGGAAGCCCAAAGCACCACCTCACAAAGTTGTGACAATCGAAAGTATCTCTGGGGCTGGCCAGGTGGCTCACACCCATAATCCCAGCACTTTGGGAGGCGGATATGGGAGACCAGGAGTTCAAGACCAGCCTGGGTAACATAGGGAGACCCTGTCTCTACAGAAAAAAGAAAAAAAATTCTCTAGATATTCTCACATATCCTCTCTTATAAGCCACTGGATAAAAAGGCAACCATTGCGTGGGAGCAGAGAGTGATTTTAGAGAGCATCATTGACATGAGCGTAAATAGCTTATCACCCATACTGCATTGCCTTTTATTGCCGGAGTGCTTGTCCTGTCTGCCCAGCTAAATTGTAGGCTACCCACTGGCAGACTCACCTTTGCTTGTTATGCGGGCACCAGTGATGTGTAGAAAATAGGAGCCAGAGAAGTATTTGTTGGGACAGAAGTTCAGTAGGTGCTTCCAGACAGGAAAAAAAGGTTGTGGCAGCCAGACCCATACATGAGTCTTGGTAAAAATAAAGGTTAAACCCATTCACTTCAGAGATGATTTCAATCAGACATTAACATTTGAAGATGCTTCTTAGCCAAAAATGTTCTGCTTTCGGGCCCCAGATGTGCTCCAGAGAGCTCAGAATGACTGCAAATGACTAGAAAAGGCTGTGGGCCAAGGAAACCTGAGTTTCCAACAGAAACCATCTAAAAGAGCTTCCATATGGCAGTTTTGCATTGTTGCTCACCCAATTGTGGCTGTCAGTTTCTATCGGGGCCTGAGAGTGATGTCAAGCAGCCTGTTTCCAAAGGTCCTAACGACCTGGCACCTACTCGCAGGCCTTCCAGCAAAGTAAGCCACATCTAGTTCCTACTATTGCTTTTTGATGGCCTTTAGGTATTTAGAAATGGCACAGTTTTGCTTGAACTGTGGATGGGAAGGGGATCACTGGATCCTTTAAAAATGGCTTGCAGTGGGAGAACTGTTCCAGAGACCAGCATCCACACACTGCAGCCAGAGGGACCTTCCTGAAACATGGTCTGATCTAAAAAGGGTATCAACACATTGTTTAACATGGCATCAAGAAAATAAACCCAGTCCCAGAATTGCTTGCTGTGGAGATAGAGGATTATGTTTGTCCACCGATATCAGCTAACCTAGAATACACTCATAGAGGCAGAAAGGAGAGTGGTTGTTGCCAGGGGGTAGGGAAGGGAGAAATGGGGCATTGTTGCTTAATGGGCACAGTTTCAGTTTTGGAAGATAAGTTCTGGAACTGGGTGGTGGTTATGGTTGTATAACAATGTGAATGTACTTAATGCCACTGAACTGTACACTTAAGAATGATTAAAATGGTAAATTCTATATTATGTATATTTTGACCACAATAAAAAGAAGAAAAAAAAGCAAAGAAATAGATACCTGCTTGTAGAAGATAAGACTGGAAAGCCACTAAAATAGCTTACTTATCAAGACCAGCAGCTCACTCAGCAAGCCTCACTTTATGGCCCTCACTGTGCCCACAAGTGAAAGCTTTTGGGTAATCAACTTTACCTAGCTTTATCCAAGGCTCTGCTTGTGAGACACACCTTTAAAACGCCCAGCTTAGACCCTCAAACTATAAATATCCTCCCTTCCTTTCCCCATTTTGAGATTCTACCAAGATTCTGCCACAATGGTGTTCTTCTTTACTGCAGTAAGTCCAACAAACTTAACTTTGCTGGATCAACAGGATTTTTTTTTCCAGTGATTTTTTGGGGGAGGTTGACAGTTAACAGATAGTGGATTTTTCTGCTTAAAATTATTCTGAGGGAGCTCATCCCTCCGAATGCTGATCACCAATATCTGAGGTTGCCAATGGGCAGCTGATACAGCCTCCAGACGTGTTTTCTTTGGCTTACAAAGTGTATTTTTAAAAAATTGAATTTGCTGCCAAATTTTACATTTGAGTTTTAAGGATGAATTTCTTGCTTCTCTGGAAATTTCAGAACCAAATTCCTTTTGCATCTTTGGCTCAGATGTTTGGGTCAGGTCATTCAATACCTTCTCCTGAGCAAAGCTGAACTGTTGAATCTGTCTGGACTCCTGGTGTGCCCATCATACTGTCAGACGTGGTCATGGGGACACATCCCTCAGAGGCGCTTCTTCTAATAACAAAGGTCTTGCAAGCCAAGCAAGAGGTGGAGGACGTCGCTACTCTGGAGTCAGGTGGAGTCGGCTCAATCTTGCCTCCACCAGTTACCTCTAACATGACCTTAGACAGATCCCTTAGCCTCTATGGGGCTCAATTTCTCATGTATAAAATGGGAATAGCTGTGGCTGATGGAAAGATTTAGTGAGTTACTGTTCATCCTGACATACAGCGAGCGTGCAGCAGGTGGAAGCCATCATGACTATGGTAATTATTTTCACGACTTACATCGAGGCTTTTATGTCTGTGAAATCTTCCTCTTTTTCCATCCATCTTTGAAAGGAAACAGTTTCAGTCCCAGATTCACATCACAAAGTGTGACTCTGAGCTTTGAGGACCCTGTCTGTTACCATGGCAACGTCTCTAACCAAAGGAAAAAGTGGGGAGCAAATACCAGAGCTTGGGAAAAACCTTTATCTTGGGCATCTTTAAACTACTTTTAAAACTGTCAAATTAATTGTTCCAGCATTCTTTACGGAGAGCATTTTTGGATGAGGTCTCTATTAAATGTATACACTGTTAAACACATAGGCACTAAAACATGTTCACTCAATGGGGAATGGTGACGTAGGAGAGAAAATATGGTACTTATGATTCTTTTTTTAAAAAAAATATTGTTATCACAAATTTTTTAACAGAGAGAAAATTACAAAGACAAAAATCAGATAATGTACACCCAGGCACTTACCACCTGGTTTGAGCACATCTTAACACTTACTCGTGTTTGCTTCAGATCTTTTTGCTGTTTATGTTAAAAACAACAACACGTTACAGAAACAGCTGAGCCATCTTGGGCATCCTCCCTGATCTCATGCCTACCCTCCTTCCCCAGAAGAGAACCCCGTCCAGAAATTGGTGCATTGCATTCCCAGGCTTGATTCTGTCCTTTTAAAATATACACATGCGGCCGGGTGCGGTGGCTCATGCCTGTAATTCCAGCATTTTGGGAGGCCGAGGCAGGCAGATCACGTGAGGTAAGGAGTTCGAGACCAGCCTGGTGGCCAACATGGTGAAACCCCATTCTCTACTAAAAATACAAAAATTAGCTGGGTGTGATGGTGCATGCCTATAATCCCAGCTGCTTGGGAGGCTGAGGCACGAGAATGACTTGGACCTGGGAGGCGGAGGTTGAAGTGAGCTGAGATCCTCGTGCCACTGCACTCCAGCCTGGGTGACAGAGCGAGACCCTATCTCAAAACAAACAAGCAAACAAACAAACGCATGCAGCTATAAACAACATGCTGTATTCTCTTGTGTGTGTTTAAACTTCAAATAAATGGCATGCTGTATACTTCCTTGCACTGTTTGCTTTTTACCTTTAATGTTGCTCTAGTTGGATTATTTTAAGTGCTATACAGTAGCCCAGTACTTCAGATTCTTAGTATCCACTACTTTTGACTCACGGCAGAACTGTATCAACCTTCGGGAAAAAATGAGCACATTTTCTCTTTCTAGGGCTCCTCACCTTCTACAATACGAAATCCACATTAAGCCTGGTCCTCCAAGATCCAGTCTGTTTCTCTCTCCACCAACCAGCTGCTGACTGTTTCTCAGGCATGTCATTAACTGAGAATCTTGTCTCCCCAGATAACAAGTATTCATCCCTTAAGACCCACCTGAAAAATCACTTTCTTGGGGAACCACTTCCTTTAGACTAAGTAAGGTCACATTTCCGTGGCTTCTCATAGCACTTTCCACAAGCCCTGGTTATAATTCTTAACTCAGAGCACTGGTATCTGTCTGCCCCCTCACCCATGCACACTCCTCAGAGTTTCTTAAGTGTGGCTTCTTAAACACATCATTGACCTTGGACACACATTATGGCAGGTGCTCAAAAAATGACTGTTGAATTTTAGAAAATCATTGTGCATAGCATTTGGGGGGAAAGAGTGGGTTCTCCAAGTGTAGAGGGGAAAAGAGTATTGAGCCTCCTTTTTCTTAAGCTCGCTGCTGATGGTTGCCCCTGTCTCCTCACCTTCCCATCATCCAAAGGCTGAAGTTGATTCCAGGGCCTGAGGTTTTTCCCTGCTGTGCTTCCAAAAACTCCAAGGGTCCTCCTACCCTTGTGAGCAAGATCCTGTCAGTGATCAACAGCCCCATCTCAGTGTGAGGTTTGGAGATGTGTCCTACCCATCCCTCTGGGGAGTAGGAAGAACTTGTAAAGGATGAGGTCCTTAGAGCACAGTGTGGAATTTATGCAGGGGATGAGGCTGGGGCAGGGGCACGTTCAGATGATGGAGACCCCCAGGTTTTCCACTGAACATAAAATCAAACTCAAATTCCATTCTGTGCCCTGTAAGACCTCACATGACCCAGTCCCTGCCTGGGTTTCTAGCCTCCTCTCCCACTGCTCTCTCCCAACCTGCCAGGCCTACTTTGAGCTCACCAGGCCCCTTTCGTCTTTGGGGCCTTTGTATATTCTCAGTTTAGACACCCACCCCCCCAACCCCCCAACCCACCTCACCTAGTTATACATTCACCAGAAACATCAGGTCCCTGAATGTGGCACACTCTCAAAGGCCTTGATGCCGTCTCTTCACAACCTGTCTCCTAGGTTTCAATTGTCCGTTTAGGTGTCTGATTACAGTTTAATGTCCTTCTCCCCCCATTAGGATGTAAGCTCTTCCATGAGAGAGAAGTTTGGGTCTGTCAGTTCACTGCTGTATCCCTAATGCCTAGCATAGTGCTCAGTACCTAGTGGATGTTCACAAATATTTGGTGGATGAGTGGATGGAAAAAATGGATGGATGGATGGATGGATGGATGGATGGATGGATGGGTGGATGGATGGATGGGTGGGTGCGTGGACAGGTGGAAGGGTGGACAGTGAAAATGCCAGACTTTTACTGAAGGATGAAGCACTAGTTGTAATATGGGGAAATGGTTTTAAAGAGAAAAGTCTCTCTTGCCTTCAAACTTTAAACTCATCAGAAAGCGAGCTTGACTGCAGTCTCTCTGGGTCTAACCAGGGAGATTCTTGTGCCTCTGTTGGTCTGCAGTTGGGTCTTTGGCTTTACAACTCCGCCACCTAGTGGCTAACGTGTGTGCTCTGCAAGGGAAGAGATGAGCCACCTAGCAAGAGTGGTGTCGGGGGATCAAGGGCTTTGAAAGAGTCCTTCTTGCTGCTCCAATCTCCACCACCCAGTCTGCACCAAGGGCCTTTAATCCTCATAGTTATCACATCTTGCTGGAATGCACTTATTAACATGGGAACATGTTCCTTTAAAAAAAGTAAGTGGAGTTTAGGAAATTGTCATCCTCTAAATTACTCATGATTAACCTACGACAATAATTTGAGTGTTGACTTAAGGATTTTTGTATATGGCATCCATTAGTACCCCAAGGGGTACTAAGTGTAAGAGCTGAGCGTGTCACCTTCGAGCCAAAATCGTTTATTATTGGCATGTTCATCTTTTTTTTTTTTTTTTTTTGAGACGGAGTCTTGCTCTATCGCCCAGGCTGGAGTGCAGTGGTTCCATCTCTGCTCACAGCAAGCTCCGCCTCCAGGGTTCGCGCCATTCTCCTGCCTCAGCCTCCAGAGTAGCTGGGACTACAGGCGCCCGCCACCACGCCCGGCTAATTTTTGTATTTTTAGTAGAAACGGGATTTCACAGTGTTAGCCAGGATGGTCTGGATGTCCTGACCTCTTGATCCGCCCGCCTCGGCCTCCCAAAGTGCTGGGATTACAGGCGTGAGCCACCGCGCCCGGCCCATCATTTTTTAAATATGCAAATAGGTTACCCCTGGTTTGTTTGCTAGATAACAAGCTGCATTGCCATGGCCATCTCCTTCCATCTGTCTCACAGCATCTCCTCTCTGCCATCTGGGTAATGAGAAGATAGAGGAATGAGGCAGGCAGACAGAATCGAGGAGTTGGAGAACGATGCAGGATTTAGAATCAAGGAGGCCCAGGTGTGGATTCCAGCACATCACTTCTCTCTCTCTCTCTTTTTTTTTTTATTTTTTTTGAGATGGAGTCTCGCTCTGTCGCCCAGGCTGGAGTGCAGTGGTGTAATCTCAACTCACGGCAACCTCCGCCTCCCGGGTTCAAGAGATTCTCCTGCCTCAGCCTCCCGAGTAGCTGGGATTACAGGCGCCCACCACCACGCCTGGCTAATTTTTGTATTTTTAGTAGAGATGGGGTTTCACCATGTTGGCTAGGATGGTCTTAATCTCTTGACCTCGTGACCCACCTGCCTCGGCCTCCCAAAGTGGTGGGATTACAGGCGTCAGCCACCGCGCCCGGCCACACCATCACTTCTTGTTACCTTAGGCAGATCACTTAACTTTGCTGAGATTAATTTTTTCATCTATAAAATGAGGACCAATAGCATCAGATTTAATGCTGTTGTCATCCCAGTTTTACAGATGAGGAAATGACTCAAAGTAGGGAAGTCATTTCCACATCTGTGGTTGGATAGGAAGAAGGTACCAGAACCAGTGCTCACACTCTGGCCTCACCACTGCCCAAGGTTGAGACCTTTGTGCTCTGTGATGCTGAACAATGAGGGCATCACATGAATAAATGGCTCGTGCCTCACTTTAGAGACAACAAACTCTTCTCACCTGTCTTAATGTTAGCCCCAGCCCCAATCACTGACTCCTGCATCCTCCTGGCCTCCCAGGTGAACCTGGCAGCTCGAGGTTGTTTTAATTTTATCCTATAATTGGCATCAGTTCAATGAGAGGTGAAAGAATCTCTCCCTTTTCCAATTAGGCAAAAAAAAAAAAATCTGCTAAGTACTTTGAGATCTCCAGATGGAAGAACCTCTTGGAATACCACATACATTTCATTAAGAATCCATGCATGAATGCTGGATTCTTTGCCTTATTATAATTTGTTGGCCACACAAAACTAAAGTGAGCAGCTCTATTCTGTGATTTCTCATTCATAAGACCCAGATATTTCGGATCCTATTTATCTTACCTCCATGTCTTCATTCCATTTTCTGCTATTTCTGGCATTCGCCCTGTCTCTTTATTTGAAGTCGCTCATAGTACATTTTAAATCATTTTAATCAGCAATGAAATGTGGGGGTGTACTGTTTTCCAGCCCAGTTGCCCTTTTTGGTAAACATATTAGAATGAAAGTAGAAATAGTGTTCAAATTGATATTATCTGCTCTCCACACACAAGTTATAAACATGCTGTTTCTGGTATACCTTCCAGATAACGTGCTTTCTGCCTGCAGTGGTTCCTGGGCATGCTCACTGACCTGCGCATTCATCTATGCTTTCATCCATTCATCAAATACTTATGAGGGCCTCCTATGCACTTAGCTATGGAACAGATCCTGGGGACCTCGTGGTGAGTAAGACCCAGAGGCAGCACAGAGTAGCATGGCTTTAGAATCAGACAAATGCAGGGTTTTCACCTCGGCTTTAACACTTTCCAGCTGTGTGACCTCAGCAAGTTGCTTAAGGTGTCTGAGGCTCGATTTCCTCATCTGTAGAGTTGAGATTGGTTGCTTACGTTTACGGGTAATCTGCGCCTGATGAATAACTTGACCTGTGTAACTTCAGCACAGCCTCTGTCTTCAAGGAGCTCAGATATAGTGAGGATCACAGGCATGCACTGCATCGAATGCTTTTATGGGGTGAGCATGTACAGAGTACTGTGAGGATGTGAAGTACAAGGCAACTAACTCCACTTGAGGGGCTAGGGAAGGGCTCAAGAGGAGAAGGCGTCATGAGAAAGATAAGCTCACCAGGAAGGGAAGAGAAAATGGCATTGAAAGTAGATGGGACAGCATTCTAAGCAAAGGGACAGAATCATGAAAGCACATGGTATTTCAGAAATAAAATGTGTATTATTATTGCAATGTAGATTTGTGGGAGAAATGGTAGGGAATGAGACTGGGTGAAAGATTAGAATCAAGTAATTAGCCGGGCATGGTGGCACATGCCTGTAATCCCAGCTACTCAGGAGGCTGAGGCACGAGAATTGCTTGAACCCCGGAGGCGGAGGTTGCAGTGAGCTGAGATCGTGCCGGTGTACTCCAGCCTGGGCAACAGAGAGAGACTCTGTCTCAAAAAAAAAAAAAAAATCAAGTAAAAGGGCTTTCAAATCATACAAAGCATGCTGCATTATAGATCAAGGGGTAAAAAGTATCTGGGGCTCTCTCCTCTTGACCCTTACCCCACTCCCAAAACTCTAATGGGAATCCTAATATGAATTATTTTCCCATCAAAGGAGAAAGTCTGGGCATCATTAAGTAGCAAGTTTCTTCTAATTCCAATCAAGAGGTATTAGGTTTCCTATTTGTATCTTGCATATGTCTTCTCCTTTCTCCATATAAGTGTCCTTAATAGACTTTTTGTATTATGTTGTAATTATGTAATATTTCATATGCAGCAATGTCAGACAATAATATCATAAGCTCATACCTACCACCCAGCTTAATCAGATCTTAACATTTTGTCATATTTGCTTCATACTTTTTTAAAGTAAAACATTATAGATTCAGTTATGACCCCCAGTGAACCACATCTAATCCTATACCCTTTCCTGCTTTCCAGGGTCAGTCACTGCTCGTAGTCACTAGTGAGTCACCACTCACTACTGGAGTCTCCCACTCCAGAACTGGGATTTTATCCATTTTGAGATGTGTGTCCCAAGATGCACATCTACTAACTTGTGCAATTAGTATTGCACAATTTACACTATTGTTTTGCATATTTCACACTATAAAATTAAATAAATTCAAGAAGTATAATTCTTTCATTTTTAACAATTTTTTAAAACAGCAACTTTTCTCTGTGTTCTGCTCTTTTAATAAAATTTTCTATCTTCTTCCATTCCTTCTGATAAGTGAGAGACAAGAAATTATGTTTCTATTTTTTTGTGGTAACTTTTCCATTGTTTAATTACACAATTAACTTGTTTTTTTTTTTTTAACAATGTCAACAGTTAATTGATATTTTTATCTTTCTCCTGGCCATAGCAAAGCCTTCTATATTAGCCAGAGTATAATCAGGAGACAGGAGGTATGTAATAATTTGAAAAGAAGACATTTACTATAAAGAAGAATTAACTACTCCTGGGAATTGGAATAAGGAGAGACTGGCTAACAGAAGGTAGAAATCTATAAGGAACGTTTGTGGTGTTCCTTCGGTTTTTTATTAAATTTTATTTTAGGTTCGGGGCACATGTGCAGGTTTGTTATTTGGGTAAACTTGTGTCACAGAGGTTTGTTGTACAGATTATTTTGTCACGTGGGTACTAAGCCCAGTACCCAGTGGTTATTTTTTCTGCTCCTCTCCCTCCTCCCACCCTTCACCCTCAAGGAGGCCCCAATGTCTGTTGTTCCCTTCTTCGTGTCCATGTGTTCTCATTATTTCGCTCCCACTTATAAGTGAGAACATACAGTATTTGGTTTTCTGTTCCTGCATTAGTTTGCTAAGGATAGTGGCCTCCAGCTCCAACCATGTTCCCACAAAACGCATAATCTTGTTCTTTTTAATGGCTGCATAGTATTCCATGGTATGTATGTTCCACATTTTCTTTATTCATTCTATCACTGATGGGCATTTAGGTTGATCCCATGTCTTTGCTATTTGAATAATGCTGCAATGAACATTCGTGTGCATGTATCTTTATGGTAGAATGACTTATGGTCCTCTGGGTATATACCCAGTAATGGGATTGCTGAGTTGAATGGTAGTTCTGCCTTTAGCTGTCTGAGGAATCACCATGCTGCTTTCTGCAATGGTTGAACTAATTTACACTCCTGCCAACAGTGTATGTGTTCTTTTTTCTCCACTACCTCACTAGCATCTGTTTTTTTTTTTTTTTTTTGATAATAATAGCAATTCTGACTGGTGTGAGATGGTATCTTACTGTGGTTTTGATTTGCATTTCTCTAATCATCGGTGATGTAGAGCTTTTTTTCATGTGCTTGTTGGCCGCGCATATGTCTGCTTTTGAAAAGTGTCTGCTTATGTCCTTTGCCCACTTTTTAATGGGGTTGTTTGGGTTTTTATCTTCTAAATTTGTTTAAGTTCCTTATAAATGCTGGATGTTAGACCTTGTAAAGAATATTTGAATCACAGATATAAAGAGCAGCCACCAGCCCTGGGGTACAGGTGGAGCACCCAGAAAAGTAACACACCTGGAAGTGACCCGCCACCCACAGACAGGACCAGGCTTCACTGGAGAGGTGACAGAAAAGGGAGGATCTGCATCTGCAGGGCCTATTGACGATGAATCCCCCGGTGGGATGGTGCACAGAGAACACCCCATACGGGATGCCAGGGAAGCCGCCCACAGGGCTGCCTCTAGAAGCACTTGCTGGAAAAGAGCCCTTTGTTTTTTCAGTGCCCTTCCAGTGTCATCTGCCAATGAAGCTTAATGTCGTGCCAGCTGGCAGAGGAGGATAATTCCAGTATCATAAACAAGACAGGGACAGGTGGATTTGGGAGCTCGGAGGTAATAGATTGATAACTGGCAAAACACTGTGGCAGAGTTTACCAGATACACACATACATACATACACACACATACAAACATGCACACATGACTTCCATATACTCGCATGCACACACACACACACACACACACACACACACAAGCTCACATATACTCACATGCACACACACTTTATTTGGAAGTTTAGTTTTGATTTGGAAATTTAGTTTTACCTTTTTAACATTAAAATGTTAACATTTTAATGTTAAAATGATTTCTGATGTCAATGCTTGATTTGATTTGCCAATATCTTTTGTCAGTGTTAACATTTGTCAACATTGTTCCTTCCATGCCTTCTCTCTGTGTTCACTTCTCTTCCTGCTGAAGTGCACCCTTTAATAATTCATTTAATGCAGGTCTGTAAGGGGCTTATTTTCTATATGTTAGTAATTGTCTTGCTTTGCCCTCCTTTCTGAATTTTAATTAAGTTTAATTTAGAAACAAAGGTTGGATTATTATTCCTCAAAAGTTTACAAATATCGCTTTTACCTTTTTCAAATACATTCTTGCCAATAAGAAGTCAGCCATCAGAAAAATTGCTATTCTTCTATGAGTAGTCTATCTTTTTTCTCCAGCAGCTCTGTAGTTACTTTTTAGCCTTGATATTTTCGAGTTGCATTACAACATGGTTGGATTTGGTTTTGGTTCTTTTTTTCAGGATCCTAAGTGCTCTTTTTCTCTTCTTTTTGTAGAGATGGAGTTTTGCTGTGTTGCCCAGGCTGGTCTTGAACTCCTGAGCTCAAGTAATTCACCTGCCTTGGCCTCCCAAAGTGCTAGGATTATAGGTGGCCAGGGGCCACTGCACCCAGGCCCTGAGTGCTCTTTTGATCTATGGACTCATATCTTCTTTTCTGGAAAGTTCCTGCTCTGGACTCAATTGTGTCTACAAAATTGTATCCCTCAAAATTCATATGCTGAAGTCCTAACCCCCATTGAAGCTATATTTGGAGATAGGACTTTTAGGAGCTAATTGAGGTCAAATGAAGTCATAAGGGCCGGGTCCTAATTTGATGGGTTTGGTGGAGTAATAAGAAGAAGAAGAGAGAGATCTCTGTCTCTCCACTTGCACATCCCGAGGAAAGATTTTTTGAGCACACAGCAAGAAGGTGGCAGAGTCTGCAAGCCAGGAAGAGAGGTCTCACCAGGAATTGAGTTGGCTGGCACCTTGGTCTTGGACTTCTCAGCCTCCTAAACTGTGAGAAAATAAATATCTGTTATTTAAGCCACTTAGTCTATTACATTTTGCTACGACAGTTTGAGCTCAGAGAGTCCCCACTAATTATTTCTCCCAACATCACTCGTCTTCATTCCCTCCACTCTCTCCACTCTTGGAAGGCCAAGTCAGGGTCCCTCCACCCATCCTCCATGTCTTTTTACTGCTTTTTTCCAAATATTTTTTACACTCTGCTTTCTGTGCTGTGTCTTTGTTGCGGTTTTCAGTACCAATTTCCAATTCGAAACACTCTCCAATCAAATGTTTCCTGCCTTATGTTTTATCCCAATGTTTTCCCCAAAATAATGTCTTCTTTTCATAGTTAGATTATTGTTATTTCTTAATTTATTGTACTTTTAGCTCTCTGAATATTCTATACATCCTTATTTTAAAGTCTTCTGCAGAGTTTTGAGTAATCGCTGTTTCCAGATTAAACTCTGATCCCAGTATCAGTTTCGGCGGTTGTCTTTCTGGGCATTAGATCTCTTCATGGGTTTCAGATTTATGGGTTGCAGCCTCCTTTTAAATGGAACTCTTCCCCCTCTTCTTTCTGTTCTCACCTCTCCTTTCCTTTCTTCTGAGTTCTCCTTTCCTGTGAGTTCATACTTCCTTATCTCTGCTAGTTCTGCATTTGTGGCCACTTGAATCTCCAGGACTTCAAAAGGCAGCTTAGAATTCTTCCCCACAACAATACTGATGGAGACCCAGATCTAGCCACAGAGCCTGGGGGAACTGGCTCAGCCTCTGAACCTGTGACTGGTTCCACTGGTTCGTGTGCTTCTCCCTCTGCCTCAAGCTCCCCATGGATCCCACCCAGAGAATAGCGGCAGGGTCTTCAATTCCCATCATCACAAGAGCATGGGGCGACATCCAGGCCCCCCAGCAACAAGCAAGGAGCCTGGCTTTGTCTCATTCTCTGAACAATTGTAGTCACTCTACCGAGCAGGAATTGAATTCTCAGCCATTTCTTCTTGGGCATGGCCTGCACCCCGTCAGCACCACTTACTATTTGAAATTTATGTTCCATTTCTGGCCCATGGAGATGTTTTTAAAAAATAGGTGAGCCATCTAGGTTATATTGTTTTATTTTAATCTTACCTGTTATTGTTATTTACATAATGCAGCATTTCTTAACTTGAGGTCCTAGACTTTCCTAAACCCCAAACATCAGACCTTCAAGAGGTTTGCATAGGAATAATTGATTGTCTGGAACAAGATGCCGCAGATGGATATTTAATTTGGCACACTTTCTGAAGGGCTAGATGGACCTAGAGTCTAGAAAATCGTCATATCCCTTTAACTCTACCCACTTCTGTAAATAGAGTCTAAGCAGATCATCTCAGCTAGGGAAAAAGTCTGATTCAAGGATGTGCCTCAAAGCATTATTTTTAAATGTGGGGTGCGGGGGGGACAACCAAAAGTAGGAGTAAACTCAGAGTGATAGAATAGAATACTGTACAGCCATTTAAAATATTCTTTTTTTTCTTTTTATTTATTTATTTATTTATTTATTTATTTATTTATTTATTTATTTATTATACTTTAAGTTTTAGGGTACATGTGCACAATGTGCAGGTTAGTTACATATGTATACATGTGCCATGCTGGTGTGCTGCACCCACTAACTCATCATCTAGCATTAGGTATATCTCCCAATGCTAACCCTTTAATATTCTTTAAAATAACTTTGTAATAACAGGAATGAGTGTTCATGACATGATGTTAAAGTAAAAAAACTAGAGGCCGGGCGCGGTGGCTCATGCCCGTGATCCCAGCACTTTGGGAGGCTGAGGCAGGCGGATCACAAGATCAGGAGTTCGGGACCAGCCTGGCCAACATGGCAAAACCCCATCTCTACTAAAAATACAAAAAAATTAGCCAGGTGTGGTGGCGGGTGCCTGTGATCCCGGCTACTTGGGAGGCTGAGGCAGGAGAATCGCTTGAACCCAGGAGGGGGGGTTGCAGTGGGCCAAGATTGTGCCACTACACTCCAGTCTGGGGGACAAGAATGAGACTTTGTCTCAAAAAAAAAAGCCAGGAACCACAACTGTGTGCTATGTGTAATATGTAACCAAATACGTATAATAGTGTAAACAGTACACACGTGTATGGAATACTAAGCCTAAATGTTTTTTTCTGTATCTTTGGGGTTGAGGGTAATTTCTGTTTTCTTCTTTATTCTTTTTAGTGTTTTGCATGATTTCTGTACCTGAGCTACTTAGGTTTTGCCATGAGGAAAGCAAAAACAAAGTTTTTTTAAATGATCACAGTTAATACGTGGGAGTCCTGACCATGTACTAGAAGCTGCCTTTGCTGTTTCCATGAACAAGAACTAAAAAGTGGGCTGGCTGAGGGGCTGGATTCCAGACCCTGACGAAGCCCATAGCCTGATTGTTTGGGTCCTGCTGCTCCCAGAAGGATCTCGGGGGTCAGAACTGCTGCTGGCCCTGACTCCCTGGTGTTCTGGTGCCTCTCAGATTCTCTTCTCAGTACTGACCCTCTGACCAAAGCCCTGGCTCCCGCCTGCTTGTTTGACTCTTCTCCTCAGTTTTCCCTTGAACTTGGGAAGAGCACACCAGGTGCCAGACACCAAGCTCAAAGCTGCACAGACCTTTTTTGTCATCCTCAGAACACCCTTATGAAGTATGTATTCAGTTTTACAAGTGGGGAAACTGAAGCCCAGAGAAATTAAAGCAACTGGCCCAAGGCCACAGAAGGGAGAAATGACTGACCTCAGCTCTCTTCAGTCCCCAAGTCCATTTTCCTTCCACCTGGCTCCATGGTTTTCAGTGGTCACAGAACTGAGGTCACTGCATTCTCCAGCCTTTCTTCAGGCAGCCCAGCTGTCTCCGCCCTGGTCAACCCCTGTCCTGTGAGTCCCTCCGCCATCTTCTCATTTGCCATACTCCAGACTCCTCCCATTCCCATCACCTCCCCTTTACTGAGGTCCCCAGGTGTCTTGCATCCCCAGTGAGGGCAGATGATGACTGTGAAGGTGTTTGAGGCATTGTAACTTTCAACAGAATAAAATAGGAATGAGATAGGAAGGTGTGGCAAAGTGACAGTGTTTGTTTTACACAGTTGTTTTAAAGCCCAGGAAAGGGATTCCTAAAGTTGACACAACTTGCTTGATCCACAGAGATCAAATTTCAAGTGATAAAAACGCTGTATGGCTGTGACTTCGAAATTGGGTTCAGAGTTTCAACCTTTTCCCCATCAGCGTGAAAACAAAAGGTACTTTCATCGTGCTGGAGAAGATGTGGGAGAACTTGACATTGGATCAGCACTGTCTGAAAACTCCAGAAGCCTGAGACAGCACACAGAAAGCTCCACGGAAGCACCCCCTGGGAGTTGTGGCAGGGATTCTTGCCCAGCAGGGCTTGCCTGGGGACCACTGAGTGGGAGCGATGGGAGGAACTCAAGCTTCCTGCACTGACCCAGGCAAAATGAAGCCCCCTCTGTTTGTTGGTATTATATCACATAGAAATACTTAATATACACGAGACATGCAAATTTCATTTGAGGGGCTCTGAAGAAAACTCCTGAAGAAGGAGAGTCCCAACGGAGGACAGATTTTCACATGTGGAGGTGTATCCACTGCTGTGTCCAGCTGGCTCATACCAGCTCACAAGAGCAAACTGTATACCACCTCCAGACTCCTCCCATCACTTTCAAGGCATCACTTTCAAGCCCTGTGTTCAGCAACTTCACACGGGTAGCTTGCGGTCAGTCGTGGTGGGGATATTCACACCATGGAAATTGGCAAATGCAATAAAGCAGGACTATTTTTCATCTCAAATGCCCACATCCCCCAAGGTCCTGTCATCTGTCAACTTTGCCTTGTAGACATCTGTAGCTCCCCAAATCCTCGCTAAGCTAATGACTCCCAGATGTACCTATCTCCAACCTAAGCCTCTCTCCTGAGCTCCAGATACAACCTCAGGCTGCCTTTTGGATATCTCTTTTCTAGATAACAGACCCTTCTTCTGATGCCTATCTTGGTGAATGACACTATTTTCTTAATGCCAGATCCCTGGAGTGAACCTGGGCCCCTTTCACTTTATGGATTGTGGTCAGCCATGAGGTCCTGCTGAGTCCACCTCCACAACACCTTTAGCCTCCAGCCCGTTCCCCCATAACTGCCTTGATCCAGTTCCTCCCTGGGTCTCATCTGCTAATTGTGAAAACCTCCTTCTCTCCATCTCCATCCCATTATAAAAATGGTTTAGGGATAAATGGTTACTTTTCTACTCTTAACTTCTCCAGTTGGTCACCATAGCTTTCAGAGCAATGCGCAAGACATACAATATTCAGAGTCCTCCATGATCTGTGCCCTGCCTGCTTCTTCAATGTCACCTCCTTTCAAGGACCACTTACCCACGGGCAGTGACTCAGCAGTGGAAAACAATGCCGTTCCCGGATCTACACTGGTGGGCCAAGCATCTGCATGCTTGCACAGAGCTGTCATGCCCATTGTCCCTCCAGTGGCCTTATGCTCATCGCGCAATATCCAACTCAGGCATCCCTTTCTTGAACCACCCTTTCTCTGAACCACCCTCAAGCCCTCAAGAAAATTCTGCCATGGCTTCTTTTATGCTCCCAATGGCATTGTGGACCCACTATTTGGATGCTCAATTTGGAAGGATCAGACTATTTGGACAGATCTGTCTATGGCTGCCAGGGGCTCTTCAAAGGCTGGGCCATGGTATGCATCTTGGCTTTCCTATTGCACAGCCCAGGACCCAGCACCTGGCCCTCAATGATAGATTGCCCAATGAGGAATGAGTGGATTTCCAAGATCATCCACCTAGTGATTTCCTGTATGTAAAGCCTTGCCCAGGAATTTTTCCACTGAGTATCCTTACTTGTTGTGAGGAGAATGGGGAGCACCCATCCTGAGAACTGGTACATGACAGTCAGCTCCTGCAAGGCACAGTGATTCTACTCCCTAAGAATACTAGCCAGGAGGCTGGGTGTGGTGGCTCACACCTGTAATCCCAGCACTTTGGGAGGCTGAGACGGGTGAATCACTTGAGGTCAGGAGTTCGAGACCAGCTTGGCCAACATGGTGAAACACCGTCTCTACTAAAAATACAAAAATTAGCCAGGCATGGTGATGGGCACCTGTAATCCCAGCTACTCAGGAGGCTGAGGCAGGAGAATCGCTTGAACCAGGAAGTGGAGGTTGCAAAGAGCCAAGATCAAGCCACTGCTCTCCAGCGCAGGTGACAAGAGCAAAACTCCATCTCAAAAAAAAATTAAATTAAAAAAAAAATACTATCCAGGGAAGAGGAGAATTTAAGACTCCTGCAGATAAATGCAAGGGAAAACCCTAAAGATGCTCAAAGCCTTTGCTGTAGCAAATGTGTCACTTCTGACACTTTTTCCCTTTAATCACTGCCTTCAGCTGCTGCTATGTGTGCGAGATATTCATCAAGATGCTTTTCATGAGCCCTCATCAATCAGAAACTGTGCAAGCATAAATATACACACATACATATTTTCGGCAGTACTAATAAATTACGTCCATTACTGAACATATATAATGTGTACAAATATGGTTAAAATACAAAGAAATGGAAGTTCTAATTGATTCGTTGCTCACTGCAACGGGCCATCTCCTGCAGCCCCCGAGTTACAAGTGCCCATTTTGGAAGGCACTGAACTATGATGCCAGGACAGCGAACACACCCAGCTGCTCACAATTAGGAATGGGTGCCATAACTATGTCCCTCAACACCACCCCCAGACGGGACGCGCATTGTGCAGAGCACAGATGTGATTCAGTCCTCGCTGTGTGTCCCTGGGCAAATGGCTTCCCTTTTCTGAGCCCCCGTTTTTCTATCTGCGAAATCTCATAATAATCATTCCCTGGTATAGCCGCCAGGAGAATTGGAATCTTCCTGGCTCTATGTACAGTACAAACAATCACCCACACACACAAGGTGCAAAAAAACCCCGTATCTAGTCCCAGAATATGATGGAGGCGTTTAGAATGATTAATATATGTATGAAAAGTTTATAAAAACATTAAAAAGGGCCTAAGGAACATTTGCTTAAAGCACACCAGTTACCAAATGGCACAAAACTCATGAGAGCAGCACAGCTGCACATGGAGGAAGGAACGAAGAGCTTGTGAAATATGTTTAAAGTAGGGGAATTGTTTATTCAAATTTTTCTCTTTTGCTGTTATATAGTTGTATTTTCTTATTTATTTATTTGAGACAGAGTTTTGCTCTTGTTGCCCAGGCTGGAATGCAGTGGTGTGATCTCGGCTCACCACAACCTCCGCCTCCCAGGTTCAAGCGATTCTCCTACCTCAGCCTCCTGAGTAGCTGGGATTACAAGCGTGCACCACCACACCCGGCTAATTTTGTATTTTTAGTAGAGACAAGGTTCTCCATTTTGGTCAGGCTGGTCTCAAACTCCCAACCTCAGGTGATTGGCCCGCCTCAGCCTCCCAGAGTGCTGGGATGACAGGCGTGAGACACCGCACCCAAACTGTATTTTCTTTTTTAAAGAAACCTCAGAGAAAATCAAGACTCATGGGGAAGGGAATAAAAGTCAAGGGTGACCTGGGCTTTGAGAGTGACTGTTTGTGTTGTGGGATTGTCCCCTGTGGCCTGGGGATACAGAGGGGATGAGGACTGATGAATACTGTGTCTAAGGAACTGCCCGCCTAGTGCAGAGGGTAGAAATGAACACAAAGCTTTCAAGCCGTGCTGAGAGCTGTAAGGGAAATAAACAGGCCATGGAGTGGAGAGTGCAGTAGGGTCAGCTGCAGCTGCATTGTCTCTGGGGAGGTGACATTTGGAGTAAGATCTGAAGGATGCAAGGGAGCCAGCTGTGGAAAACCCAGGGTCAGAGAATTCCAGGCAGAGGAGCCTCAAGTGCCAAGGCCCCAGGCAAGAAGGAGCTGGGCGTGCTTGGGACCACCCCTGTGCACCTCCGCCAGGCATCATACTGCAAGAGGGCCCTGCACATGTTGGGCCATGCTGGCCACATGGACTCCAGGCTAAATTCCTTGCACATTGCCCTTAACCTCTTTAGGGGACAAGAGGACAAGAGCGGCAGAAGCCATCATGGTGATGGTGGTGACCCCACTCTTAGCACTGGGTCCTGCAGGCAGGGGGCCTTGATCAATAGCTGCATTTCTTGCCAGGTGGCTGAGAAACCTCAGGCCAGAACCTATGTGAACATATCAGTGACTTGGTCACTAGTGGCCAAATTAAACAGCTGGGCTTTGGGATGGTAAAGACACTGTAGACTCAGACTTGGAATGCCCTGGAATACCCCAGATGCTCAGCCCCTGACCTCACACAGGCCTTAGCTCCTTTGTGGCCTTGTCAGAGGCTGCCTGACCCCATCCCTTCTCCCTGGCTTTTTTTCCTAGCCCTTCCCAGCACCTGCTGTTTGCCATGCTTACCGGTGCTGGCTGCCTGTCACCTGCAACTGGATTGAGAACTCTATGGGACAGGAATATAGATTTTCCTGCAGTTTTCCCTACTCCTAGAAGAATGTCTGGCCCATTGCAGAACAAATAAAATTTCCAGTTTGCAAAAGCCTCTGTAGCAGTTTTATGCCTCTATGTGATTACTGAAAGAGAACAACAAAAGAAACTTTCATGTGAAGTCAAAAACAGTGTGCATCTACTGAGCAATTTTTTAAAGGAAAAGGGAGTGGAGTGCCCGTCCTATGCCAGCCCCGTGCCTTGTCAAGTCTCACCCTCAGAATGTCTCTGCAATGGGGCATTTCTATCCACATGTGTGCAAGGATATTTCAAAGTTATCAACTGATGTGCTTTCTCTGCGCTCAGTAAAATGTTCCCTCATGCCCTGAGGGCTATGCTGCCCAGTCTCCATCTGACAGCTCTGAGGAAGTACCCCCGCCTTGGGTGGTGGAGGTCACTGTGCAATCAGAGAACCAAAGTCTCACATTTATGTCTTTTAAGCTCAAAGCCAGTGACAAGTATAAAGCAGAAAAATTTTGATGCACACTTGGAAATCAAATTTCTCAGCTGCCCAGACTACAGAAGACATTGCACGGGCTAGAGGCTGGAGGAAGAGGGTAGAGCTGAGCCAGCTGCCAGGACTGGGGCCCCATCTCTCAACAAGTGCGTGGATCCTCACAGGAGCCATTTCAGGGGTGCACAGGGACCAGTCTCCATTTGAGGAAACCAACTCTGCCTATTACGTTTACTGAGGGTTCCCCAGTCTTCTCAGCCCTGTCTGGGGAGGCCCATTCTCTAAGCCCTTCAGGATAAATGGTGGACCCTAAACTGTGGGGAAAAAAGCACAGGAGGGAGAATGCAGAATGAGTTCACGATCTCCTAGAGGTGGAATATTGTTCTTTCGTTTTGCATGGTTTACAGATCAGAAAAACCAGACTCAGAAAAGTTAAATGGCTTGTACAGGTGATACAGCGAGTGATGGAAAAAGACTTAGAACTCAGGTATCTTTGACCCCAAGATTTCTGAGATTTCCACCTCACTCAGCTGCCTGTATCAAGAGGTGGCACAGATCAAATCCATTTCCTACCAATAGAAAGGGGCCGTCATGGCCCTTAGTGATATTTGAAGGGAAGCAGAAATGGAAGATTCACACAGGGATGTGCCGGTGGTTTCCACGTGACCACTAGAGGGCACCAGCGCCACACTGACCCACCCGTCCCGTTCTTCCAGGTGGGAAAGGGCTCCTTCCAACCAGGCTTTGAGAGTGAATGTTTGTGTTATGGGCTTGTCCCCTGCAAGCTGAGAGCTTGCTTTTTCCTGCCTTTATTTCTTTGTTCCAGTTCTAGTTCACTGTCCATCACACAGTAGATGTAAGAATAAGACTTGCTGGCAAAGTTTCAAGTCCCCATGGAGGGGGACACATATTAGACTCAAATCTCTCCAAATTTGATCTGGAACCGCCTCCCTCAGCACTACCTAAGGTGACCCTGGCCATGCAGAGTCTCAGGCCCCCAGCCCCATGGAACCAAAACTGGAGTGGGGCCCAGGAACCTGCATTTATACCAAGTGGGGAGGATTCTGAAGCCAAATAAACTTTGAGAACTGCTGCATTTCAGCACTCAAAGCACACGACACCTAAAGTCAAGTTACTGTAAGGACCCAGGAGAATGTTTGCCCGAAACTGCACAACCGTGTGTGGTGGGGACAGGATTCACCCCCAGGCCTGTGTGGTCCATGAGGCTGGTGGACCCAGGTGGGCTTTATGGGAGGTCTGGTGCCCCTGGGGGGCATACCCGTACACAGCACCCCTTGAAGAATGAGGTCCTCTTATTATATTTTACTGTCAGTTGCCTCAAAGAACCATGACCGCAGGACCCTATGAATTAGGTTTTTGTGAGGGAATTTTCCTTGGCACTTTTCCAGTCAAACTTCCAAGGTCTCTGGGTTAGAAATTAAATTAGGTTCTCTTTGGAATCAGAAACAAAGGCAAATTGGAAACTGTTCAATGACTCCCTTTCACTTAGAAAATTTCCCAGGCCCTTAGTGCTTGGCTGCCCAGTGTTCAGAGATCCCCTTTCTAGAACATTCCAATTAAGCCATTACCATTTCTGCAGTGTTATGAAAGCAGAGGCATGGACCTTGTCATTTACAGAAAAACAGTAGGTAAGTATGTTCTGAGTTTCAGATTTACTCTGAATACTTAGAAGCTAAGGAAAGGGAGAGCCTCAATCATAAAAAAAAATAAAAAAAGAATGAGAGGGGAAGAGAGAGAAGGAAAGAAGAAATGGAGATCCATGAACAAAGGACTGAAGGAGGTGTGGGCGCAACTCTACAGAGTGGGAACCATTTGGAACAAGAGCCCTGCAGAGGGTTGCTGTGGATTCTGGAGCTGTACCTCCAAGCTCTTGGGACACGTGAGCACATGTGACACAGAGAAGGTCACGCCCATGGTTGTTACAGAAACAGGTGGTCTTGAGATGAACACACTGCCATCCCCACAGAGAAACAACCCACACCTGCCCGCCTGCCATCTTGCTCCTGGGCTCTGAACCAGCTCAGAGGGCAAATATAGAAAAGAGAGAAGGGTTGTCTTTGGTATTTTGGGGTGGTTCAGGCATTTTACTGGACTATTTTTTTGCTCATTGTTAGAATGCTTCAAGGAAACAGGATACGTTGAAGAAAGTGGAATGTTCAGGGAGTGGAAAATTCCCTTGAAAACTCGCCAGATATCGAAGGGCAGTCAGAGAGAGGGGGAATCAGATTGGGTTTCATGGAATCTGGTGGGTATAAATTATAGAGATGCAGATTTGAATTCTACAAAATTGAGTTTAACCAAAATTATCAAGCATCTCTATAATCTCCTCTCCAGGGGCTGGGCCCATCCCTGATGACAGGGAGATGGTTTGAAGGGCTATGTTGATAGACCATTTTAATAGTTATGGACTTACTTTAATGATAATGGAAGAATAATATAATTACACTTCTAACCTTTCACTTACAGTGCTGACACAAAGTTTATTTTTCAATAAATTTATATTTCAAATTCATTGATTAAAAGAAACATTTTGTAAGTAATATTCAAAATGGTACATAGTGCAAAAATAGTGAGGGCAGTAGGATATTGATGAAGTTTGGGAAACACTGAGCTACTGGTGTTGATTAGTCAGTATAGGCTGCTGCTATAACAAACAAGTCCCTCATCTCAGTGGTTGTGAGGGTCTGTTACATCAATAGCCTCCAAAAGCCACACCTCCCCATATTGAACTTTCACATAGCCCTCTTTCCTTGAATTAAGCTGGTCCTTTGACTTGCCTTAGCCCATAGAATGCAATGGAAGTGATGCTGTGTCCTTTCTTCCTTAAGAAGTCTTGGCAGCTTCCACTTTTGCACTCTTGGGAGACTCCATAGAAGTCTGGGTATGCTGGTAGAGAGGCCAGTGAAGGGTCCCATGGAGAAACCACAGGGAGGGAGAGAGGTCCTGTAACTACATGAAAAGAGGGAGAAGGCCAGTGTTCCAGTGTCCCAACTGGACCCAGCCCCCAGCCAACCCACCAGCTGATGATTAACCAGCAGCAGCAAGACCAGCAGGGGAACTGCCCAGCTAAGCCCAGCCTACATGCAGAATTGTGTGTGTTTAAAAATGGTTGGTTGAAGCCACTAAGCTTTGATATGGCTTGTTATACAATATAGACATTAATAATTAAAAGGTGTCTTGCTGTGATAAATATAGTATTATGGCATAATAAAGATTGATTTCTCACTCATGGTATACCTCAATATGGGCTAAGTGAAATGTTGCTCTGTTCCATGCAGTCACTCAGGGATTCAGTATCCCTCCACACAGTGGCTCTACCATCTTCTAGGATGGAAGGTGCTCACCCAGATTCTCTACACCTGACCACAGGTCAAAGGAGAGGGACAGTGTAGACAATTGTGTGGGAGGTTTAGGGGCCTAGTCTGAAAATGGCCTGCAATTTGGTGGGATAAGAACTCAATTCCATGGCCTTACCTAACTGCAAGGGGGCTGGGAAATGTAATTGACCCAAATGTGGCCAGGATAAAGAGGAGAAACACAGATTTGGGGAGCCCTCCATCTCTCTACACATGTGATTAGAAGACAAAACAAACGAATGAAAGCCTGTAATATAACTCAATTAGTGTTGTCTAGAGTATGAACAAATGGCTTTAGGGATACTGTCAAAAGAGCAATTATTTTTGCATGGAGCCTAATATGGTTTGAATGTAGATGTCCCTCCAAAATTTACATGTCAGAACTTAATTTTCCAGGTGATGGTATTAAGAGGTAGGGCAAAGTGATTAGGCCATGAGGATTCTGCCCTCATGAATGGGATTCATGTTCTTACACAGAGGCTTCAGAGTGCTGCCTCCCACTTCCACCCTTCCACCACATGAGACAGAGATTTTGTCCCCTCCAGAGGGTAGAACAACAAAGGACCATTGTGGGGATTTTTATTTGTTTGTTTGTTTGTTTTTGAGATAGAGTCTCATTCTGTCACCCAGGCTGGAGTGCAGTGGCATGATCTCAGCTCACTGCAACCTCCGCCTCCTGGGTTCAAGCAATTCTCCTGCCTCAGCCTCCTGAGTAGCTGGGACTACAGGCATGCAAAGCACCATTTTATAAGGAGAGATACCTCACCAGACACCAAATCTGCAGGCACCTTATCTTGGACTCCCCAGTCTCCAGCAGTGTGAGAAATAAATTTCCATTGTACATTAATTGCCCAGTTCTAGGCATTTTGTTATAGCAGCAAAAACAGACTAAGATGGGGCTGACAGTCAGTCAGAAAAATATATGCAGTAGTGGTAGTATTTGACCTGGGCTTTAAAGGGTAAGTAGGAATTTGCCAGTCAGGAAGGGAAGGTGAATCTAGGCAGAGGGTAGGGGGTCATGAAAGAACACAGTATTTGAAGAAAGTAATAAAGAAAACAGAACCACAAAAATGACTAGGGCTAAGTTTGGATGACCTGGTTTGTGCCTCTGAATTGGGCTGCTCCAGAGGGACCCCTGGGTCTTGTAGTTACATAAACCTCTAAGCTTAAGGCATTTTGAGCTGGATTCAGCCATTTGTAAACCAAAGAACCCTGATGAATAACCCTTCCAAATATGACCATGGAATTCTTTATTTCTGAGTAAATAACATCTACCACACTACCCAAGGACAGTCCCCCAAAAGTGTAGTGGAGAACAACTAGATAACATAATTACATCAAGCATTCTTCACAAAATTTTTATTTATATATATATATATAAAACATATAATATGCATGTATTATACATAGTATATATGTAATATACTATATGTATAATGTATGCATATAATATGTGTGTATATAATATATATATTACATATATATGAGTGATATGGGTGCTTTAATTTCAACCTCATCTCAGGATGGAAATTTACAATTAGATGTCAAAGGGACCAGATGAAAAGCTCTAGAAGGTCATTGTGGGGCAATGGATTGGGGTGTTATCGCAGCCCAAAATCAATCCTCAGATTTTCAGGCTTAAAAAAATGTTGTTTTTAATCATTTTACTCAAAGGAGATCTAATCAACAAAACCAATTCTACTAATGCTTGACTTATAACAAAATGCCACTTATAATTAAACAATTGATACCAATTATTCTGACACATTTATCTATTTTCATCTTTATTTTTAAATTTTACTTTATTTTGATTTCCATCTTTTAAGTTCAGGGATACATGTGCAGGATGTGCAGGGTTGTTACATAGGTAAACGTGTGCCATGGTGGTTTGCTGCACCTGTCAAACCATCACCTAGGTATTAAGCCCAGCATGCATTACCTGTTCTTCCTGATCCTCTTCCTCCTTCCACCCCCCCACTATCCAACAGTGTGTGTTTTTCCCTCCCTACTGTGTCCATGTGTTCTCATCATTCAGCTCTGATGTATAAGTGAGAACGTGGGGTATTTGGTTTTCCGTTCCTGCGTTAGTTTGCTGAGGATAATGGCTGCCAGCTCCATCCATGTCCCTGCAAAGGACTTGATCTCATTCCTTTTTTATGGCTGCATAGTATTCCATGGTGTATATGTACCACATTTTCTTAATCCAGTCTATCCCTGATGGGCATTTGGGTTGATTCCATGTCTTTGCTATTGTGACTAGTGCTGCAATGGACACGGCATACACATATCTTTATAATAGATATATTATATTCCTTTGGGTATATACCCAGTAATGGGATTGTGGGCTCAAATGGTATTTCTGCCTCTAGGTCTTTGAGGAATCACCATACTGTCTTCCACAATGGCTGAATTAATTTACGCTTCCACCAACAGTGTAAAAGTGTTCCTTTTTCTCCACAACCTCACCAGCATATGTTATTTTTTTGACTTTTTAATAATAGCCATTCTGATGGCTGTAAGATGGTATTTCTTTTTCTTTTCTTTTTTTTTTCTGTTCTTTTTTTTTTTTTTTTTTTTGAGACAGAGTCTCGCTCTGTCAGCCAGGCTGGAGTGCAGTGGCACTGTGGTCTTGGCTCACTGCAACCCCTGCATCCTGGGTTCAAGCAATTCTCCTGCCTCAGCCTCCTGAGTAGCTGGGATTACAGGCATGTGCCACCACACCTGGCTAATTTTTGTATTTTTAGTAGAAATGGGGTTTCACCATGTTGGAGAGGCTGGTCTCAAACTCCTGACCTCAGGTGATCTGCCCTCCTCGGCCTCCTAAAGTGCTGAGACTACAGGTGTGACCATGTTTCAAACTTCTAGAATTTGCTAAAATAATAATCAATGCGAGTTAGAATGTTTTACAAAACAAATATTTTGTTTGTCAGAAAGAAATATGGCACTTGTAGCCAGAACCACAAAATGTCAGTGCTCTGTCCACTGAAAATCCCACTTCTACATCCTGGTTAACACGGTGAAACCCTGTCTCTACCAAAAATACAAAAAATTAGCCGGGCATGGTGGTGGGTGCCTGTAGTCCCAGCTACTCGGGAGGCTGAGGCAGGAGAATGGCATGAACCCGGGAGGTGGAGCTTGCAGTGCACTCCAGCCTGGGCGACAGAGCGAGACTCCATCAAAAAAAAGAAGGAAGGAAACAAGGAAAGGAGGAAAGAAAGGAAGGAAGGAAGAAAGAAAGGAAGGAAGGAAGGAAGGAAGAAAGAAAAGAAAGAAAGGAAGAAAAGAAAGAGAAAGAAAGAAAGGAAAGAAAGAAAGGAAAGAAAGAAAATCCCACTTCTAGGACGCAATACAAAGATGCAAGCAAGTTAACAGTGTTTAAAAACAAGAGGGGGGTGTGCTGGGCATGGTGGCTCACACCTGTAATTCCAGCACTTTTGGGAGCCGAGGCGGTTGGATCAGCTGAGGTCAGGAGTTCGAGAGCAGCCTGGCAAACATGGTGAAACCCCGTCTCTACTAAAAAAATACAAAAATTAGCTGGGCGTGGTTGTGCACACCTGTAATTCCAGCTACCTGGGAGGCTGAGGCAGGAGAATTGCTTGAACCTGGGACGCAGAGGTTAGGGTGAGATGAGATCTCACCAGCTCACTCCAGCCTGGGTGACAAGAGTGAAACTGCGTATCAAAAAAATGAAACTAAAAAGGTCAACAAAGAAAACTTTTCATACCAAAGTTAAATAGAAAATATCAAACACGACAAAAACCAATGATTGCATTGATTCTGCAATAAAGACTAAACAAATGGCTGGGCGTCGTGGCTCACGCCTGTAATCCTAGCACTTTGGGGGGCCGAGCCAGGTGGGTTGCCTGAGCTCAGAAGTTCGAGACCAGCCTGGGCAACATGATGAAACCCCGTCTCTACTAAAAATACAGAAAATTAGCTGGGCGTGGTGGTGCGTGCCTGTAACTCAGGAGGCTGAGGCAGGAGAACTGCATGAACCCAGGAGGCAGAAGTTGCAGTGACCCTAGATCGCACCATTGCATTCCAGCCTGGGTGACAGAGTGAGACTGTTTCAAAAAAAAAAAAAAAAAAAGAAAGACTACACGAGAAATATAAATATGCCTTAGAATAAGGCACACACACAAAAAAGATATTAAGAAGTGTTGGACCAGGTGTGATGGCTCATGACTGAAATCCCAGCACTTTGGGGAGGCTAAGACAGGTGGATCACTTCAGTCCAGGAGTTTGAGACCAGCCTAGGGCAACATGGCTACCCCATCTCTACTAAAAATACAAAAATTAGCCAGGTGTAGTGGGTCACACCTGTGGTCCCAGCTACTCGGAAGGCTGAAGGGGGAGGATTGCTTCAGCCTGGGAGGTGGAGGCTGCAGTGAACCATGCACTCCAGCCTGGGTGACACAGTGAGACCCTGTCTCAAAAACAAAACAAAAAGTTATTATAAATGCCACGAATTTATATGAAGTTCTTGAAATTCTGAGTTCTGCTAATATTATTTGTGGGATTAAAAATATTCATATTTAAAAGCAACACACCAATAGAGGCAAGCAAACCATGTTTTGCACAAAACAACTATCAATGGTGATGGCACATAGATCTCCCCTTTCAGAACCCTGAGATTCTCAGTGCCCTTACGCTAAGGGCTTCCTGCAGACAAGGTAACTTTCAGAATCACATGGAGGAGATCAGAGCCTGGAAGGAAACTTGAGAATTTTTTATTTCAACCTTGTTCATTCTATACAGAGAGAAAACCGAAATTCAGAGAGTTCTGATTTCTCAAGGCACACTACTAGTCAATAAACACACAGAGCCAGAAGCTAGATCTAACTCAGTGTGCTTTTAAAGCTTTAAAAATTCCTCTCTGCTAGCAAAGCTTACAACCTGACAATAACATAATATATACACACAAATACAGTTATTTCCAAAATAGATTTGGAGGGGGGCAGACCCTGTATTTTCACAATTTATGATTTTTTTTTTTTTTTTTGAGACAGAGTCTCGCTCTGTCGCCCAGGCTGGAGTGCAGTGCCTCGATCTCGGCTCACTGCAAGCTCTGCCTCCCAGGTTCACGCCATTCTCCTGCCTCAGCCTCCCAAGTAGCTGGGACTACAGGTACCCGCCACCACGCCCGGCTATTTTTTTTATATTTTTTAGTAGAGACAGGGTTTCACCATGTTAGCCAGGATGGTCTCGATCTCCTGACCTCGTGATCCACCCGCCTCGGCCTCCCAAAGTGCTGGGATCACAGGCGTGAGCCACCACACCTGGCATCTGTGATTTATTTTTAAGAACTGTAAAATATGTCTCCAGTATTCATAACAGGATGTCATTAACCAATCCCCGTAGTGGGTTGGACGTCTAGGTTGTTTCCAACTACTTGCTTTTATAATTATCCATTATAATGGTGAAAAATTGGAAGCAACCTAAATGTCCAACAATACAGACATTAATTCTCTATAAAGTGACTATCAAATACCGATACAAAAGACATTAAAGATCCAGAAGTGTTGCTAATTGAGCAAAAATACTTTAAAGACCATTTCAGGTCAGATGCAGTGGCTCACATCTGTAATCCCAGCACCTTGAGAGGCTGAGGCGGGCAGATCACTTGAGGCCAGGAGTTTGAGACCAGCCTGGCCAACATAACGAAACCACATATCTACTAAAAATATAAAAATTAGCTGTGCATGGTGGTACATGACCGTAATCCCGGCTATTAGGGTGGCTGATGCATGAGAATTGCTTGAACCCAGGAGGCAGAGGTTGCAGTGAGCCAAGATCATGCCACTGCACTCCAGCCTGGGCAACAGAGTGTGACCCTGTCTCCAAAAAAAAAAAAAAAAAAAGTTAAAGACCATTTTGTCCAGTATAAAGTCTTTCAAAATATATACTCAAGCAGAGAGAAGTTTAGAAATGTCATCAATTATAATTTCAGGAAAGAATTCTAAGATGACTTTTTCTGGTTATCTGCATTTTTTTTTCCTTTTTATTTTTTTGGAAGAGAGTCTTGCTCTGTCACCCAGGCTGGGGTGCAGTGATACGATCAGGGCTCACCGCAGCCTCGACCTCCCAGACTCAAGCGATCCTTCTACCTCGTTCTCCTGAGTAGCTGGGACTACAGGTGCATGCCACCAGGCCTGGCTAATTTTTGTATTCTTGTATTTTTTGTAGAGATGGGGTTTTGCCATGTTGCCCAAGCTGGTCTCAAGCGATCCACCCACCTCGGCCTCCCAGAGTGCTGGGATTACAAGTGTGAGCCATGTGTGCCAGGCCTACGTTTTCTTTTCTATAATGACCATGACCATGGATTTCATGTACCAACATTTTTCTAACAATAATATTTACAAAGCGTACTATGAAAAATGTTCAGAGAAAAAGAAGAATAGAAAATTGTAAAAATCATATATCACTAGTTTTTTTGTTTGTTTTAAGGCAAGGAAGAAACAAAGTAGATTGTTCAGGAAAATAGTTACTTCCACTTTGTATTTTTCTGGGGAACTCATTAGGAACTCTAAAAAGTTCCAGGAGTAGAATCACGGGGTCAAAGTACCCTGGCTTTAACTTCTGGTTCAGAGAATCCTAACTACTGACATTGTCACCAGCAAGGTCTTTGACTACATGAGCAACTCTCACCTTAAAGCATTTCTCATCTGACATCAGCTGCTCGGCTTTCTGCTGACACGTTGACTCCAGGAGGCTACTTGAGTTCTATGTGTTTGGCTGGCCTCCGGTGGCCCCATTATTATTTTCTGCCACGTAAAGGACAGTCACCTGCACACAGATCTCATCACTCATGATATGCTGCAGCTGGAATCAAACAAAGGCACGCTGTTAGTGAACACAGAAAACATTTCTCCATTATACGGTCAACTTTCCTTTGACTGATCCAGTCATTCAACTCAAAAAAGGTTTTGGTTTTTTTTGGCTGGCAATTTTAGAAAATTAATCACACAAACCACGGTATCATTGTCTTGGAGAATAATCAAGCCAAGATTTTCAACCATATCAGTGGTCCATTGTACAGCTTACAAGGCCGGGCGCGGTGGTTCATGCCTGTAATCCCAGCACTTTGGGAGGCCAAGGTGGGTGGATCACGAGGTCAGGAGATCGAGACCATCCTGGCTAACATGGTGAAACCCTGTCTCTACTAAAAATACAAAAATTAGCCAGATGTTGTGGCTGGCGCCTGTAGTCCCAGTTACTCGGGAGGCTGAGACAGGAGACTGGCATGAACCCGGGAGGCAGAGCTTGCAGTGAGCAGAGTTCACGCCACTGCACTCCAGCCTGGGCGACAGAGCAAGACTCTGTCTCAAAAAAAAAAAAAAAAAGAACTCAGGTTAATGTACCGTTTATTTAAAATTCTAAGGATCTTTAAATAATATTTTTATTGCATTTTAAAATCATTTACAATTTGCTTTCACACATATTCTCTCTCTTTTGATCCTCACAACTGCCCTGGGAAGCAGGTTGGGGAGAGAGTTGGGGCCTGTTAGAAGACAAATTTACACAATGCATAAGAGAGCTCACTGTGAGCTGGGGTGAGGAAGGGAGCTTGGAGAATCATGAATGCATGATTGTCTATATTCCCAGCCCAACTACAAAGCCTGAAACTCATTAGGTACTTAAATAGCTGCTGAATTATTGCCTAGGGGTGCTCAGCTGAAGAAGCAGGGTTGGGACTAACAGTCAAGCTCCTGACTCCTAGCCCAATACTTTTCCAAACACACTACCTATTTTTCCGTATCTGATAGAAAGTATAGTGCTTAAGTTGTACATAATGTTAACGCACTTTCAATACAGGCCAATCATGACTGACTGACTATAAGTAGCTTTTGTGACAGTTTTAGGAAACTAATGACTAGAAAGTTGAACCTTTCAGAGTTCCCATTCTCATGTCTATTTCTATTTTGAAATAAAACTCCTTCCAAATGAAACTTTATGCATGAAAATGACAGAGAAGTGAAAAATAGATACAAGAAGAAAGCAAAACGTTAATTTAAATAACAATTTGTCCATTTTACTTTAAAATTGTCATAACCACCAAGCCATTCTATTTTTAGGAAGCTACATTCTTTTTGACACGTTAGGTACTATGATAACTATTTATTCTTAACTTCAAGTCCTAAATGACCAGTATGTGTATTAGTAGATAACTGGACACAGAGCAAGGTCAGAAGGGTGACTGAGTGTGGCAGAAAGGGCAGTATCTCCAGCAACTGCAGATGGATAAGTGACAATGAGTCCAGATAATGGATTCTGATACAACCATTAAAATAATGCTTATGACTACTTGATAACATAGGGAAAAGCTTAAGATACAGTGTTTTAGACAGAAAAAAGGCAAGATGGAAAAAATATATGGGAAGCATGACTTCAATCATGCATACAGATGCTTCCACTTTAAACTTTTTTTTTTTTTTGAGACAGAGTCTTGCTCTGTCAGCCAGGCCGGAGTGCAGTGGCATTGTGATCTCAGCTCACTGCAGCCTCGACTTCCTGGGCTCAAGCAATCCTCTCACCTCAGCCTCCTAAGTAGCTGGGACTACAGGCATGTGCCACCACGCCCAGCTAATTTTTTGTATTTTTAGTAGAGATGGGGTTTTGCCATGTTGCCTAGTCTGGTCTCAAACTCCTGAGCTCAAGTGATGTGTCTGCCTCAGCCTCCCAAAGTTCTGGGATTACAGGCGTGAGCCAACGCCTCTACTTTATACTTTCTTGTTGAAGTAGACTGTATTACTGATTCTCCACCCACACTCTCTTTTTGGATATCCGGCCCCTCCTCAAGTCTTTGGAAAGGGCAGTACTATAAATCGAGGGACAACTAGGGAACTCCCACCCCCACTGCTAGGCAGATCAGATTCTCTATCCTGCTAACTGGAAATGATACAGAGTGTTCGATAGATTTTTTGCAGAGGATCATACGTATGGAAAGATCCAGTAACACTGGGACCAGGGGTACTGCCAGGGCAAGCCAAAGCCTCAGAGGCTGGAGAAGCCTGGACCACCTGCAGAGCAAAGCACAAGTATGGAGCAGAAGTCCAGAGTGAAGGCACACAGGAGAGAAAAATAACCTCCCAGCCCAGTCCTCCCATGCTGTGGTCATATTTTGAGTTCTGTACTTAGATGTCTGTGAGATTGCCTATTGTATTCTTAATACAAATCCCTCTCAAGCCAGCCTAGGATAGGTTAAGATAAATGTAATGACTTGACTTGGCTGGAGTGCCGTGGTGCGATCACGGCTCACTGCTTCCTCAACTTCCTGGGCTCAGGTGATCCTCCCATTTCAGCCTCCCGAGTAGCTGGGTCTACAGGCATGAGCCACCATGCCCAGCTAATTTTTTTGTATTTTTCCTTATCAAAATATTATATTTTTCAGAAGAAATCTTATATATAATACGTTGAAAATCACTGATTGCTTTTCCTTCGTCTTTTTTTCTGTGAATGTATAGGTGTTTGAGTCTCTTGTATTTCTTCTTTTACACAGGATATGGGCTGTTTGAAAACTATTTCATTTTCCTCGTCATCATCATTCATTTCAGACACTCACATTTTCATCTCCCCAAAAATGTTGATGTACAAACCGGTGTGGGGCCCTGGGTATCCACAGTCTTTTCAGGAGTGTCAGGAGTGCCTAAAACCTTTTTCTTCTTAAGTAAAACCTGGCCTTTTGTAGACGTCCGAAAATTTGATTTTGAAGTACTTTCCATTTTCTGTAAAATCAAAGAAGGAAAATCATAATTCTATTTTAAGCTAATTTCTTCTGGAGTAATCTTTCTTTCTTTTTAAATGGCCCCTCCATCCGCAGCTTTTGCGAAATGCCGATTCTGATTATACCGTCTCACTGATGGATATGATGGCTGTTTAAATGGAATATTACGGTCTTTAAAGATTTCTTTCTGTACTTTTTCAGGTGGCATAAAATGACACTCCAACAAACAGGTAGTTGTTCATTGTTTCAGCAACTATCTCGGCAACAGACTCAGACTCAAACTCCACAAATGCATAGCCTTTGCTATTTCCAGTCCTTTTATTTCGGGATAGTCTGAACCTTGTAACGGTGCCACCTTGGGAGAAATAGGAAAGGATCCCGGTTTCGTTAAGTAGGTTAGGTAGGTGGCGCACACAGACTACTCCAGAAGTAAGTTGTTTTTTTCCACAGAGTTGTGCGCTTGCGAACCTGCGCCCCCTCCTTCTGAAACCCGGGATCTTCCTGCGGGTTCAGCAACAGGATTGGCCCAGCCGGGCCGGAAAAGGCCGCCATGCCAAAAGCGGCGACACCAAGTCCACGCTGCGCTCCCGGAAACGCCCCCTTTTTTGTATTTTTAATACAAACAAGGTTTCACCATGTTGCCCAGGCTGGTCTAGATAACTCCTGGACTCAAGCGATCTGCCTGCTCTGGACTTCCAAAGTGCTGGGATTATAGGTGTGAGCCACCGCACCCAGCTTTGACTTTGAAATATGTTGTACATCCAGTCAGCAGTAAACTCTGGGGAACACCAAAGATGAGGAGAAAGAGAGAAGAGCTACCTCCAATTAAAGGAGTTAAGAAGAGATGCTTGAACTTATTTATTTTTTTTAAGACAGTCTTGCTCCGTCGCCCAGGCTGGAGTGCGGTGGCGCCATCTCGGCTCACTGCAAGCTCCGCCTCCCGGGTTCACGCCATTCTCCTGCCTCAGCCTCCCGAGTAGCCAGGATTACAGGCGCCCGCCACCACGCCCGGCTGGCTAATTTTTTGTGTTTTTAGTAGAGACGGGGTTTCAATGTGTGTTGGCCAGGATGGTCTCCATCTCCTGACCTCGTGATCCGCCTGCCTCAGCCTCCCAAAGTGCTAGGATTACAGGCCTGAGCCACCACGCCCGGCCTCAACTTGTGTTTTAAAAAGTCACTGCAGGCTGGGCACAGTGGCTCATGCCTGTAGTCACAGCACTTTGGGAGGCCGAAGTGGGTGAACCTCTTGAGCCTAGAAGTTTGAGACCAGCCTGGGCAACATGGCAAAACCCCATTTGTACAAAAGATACGATGAATTAGCCGGGCACAATGGCACCTGTGGTCCCAGTTACTCGGGAGGCTGAGGTGGGAGGTCGAGGCTGCAGTGAGCTGAGATCCACCACTCCACTCCAGCCTAGGCGACAGAGTGAGACTTTGTCTTTAAAAAGAAAGAAAGAAAAAAAAAATCACTGTTTTGGGGTTTTCTGGATGAAACCTCTGTTTCCATTAAAAAAAAAAAAAGAGGGGAGACAGTATGTATTATTGATTCAAAATCATAACCAGATGCTCAGAGTAAGTAATTGTATCCATTATTTCAAAAACTAACCTCAGGATTATTAAAAGTTAGTTTTATTGGATTTTTTTAAGCTGTGCTGATTCACTCAGGCCTGTCACTTCCAAGCCCACGTTTTACTACATTGTAACCCTATTGGGAAGGAAAACTGCAACTAAGATTATGATCCATCCTGAGATGAAAAGTTTCACACATATACACCACACATACCCCCACCACAGTATGATGGCACAGTGACCCAACCTTAAGCAAAAGGGTACCACTGCTAGCAAACGCATTTTTTTCTTTATTTCTTCTAATTTGTTTTCCTTTATTTCTCTAAAAGCAGCAAATGTATTTAACATTTTATTGAGATTCTCAGCCGCTGCCATTTGGTTTGTATAGAAAATTGTTTACAAAGTAACTTTTTTCCATTTTTGATATTTTAATGAGAATTATGTTCTTCAGTTTTAAAGCCCTGTCCTCTTCCAAAGAAAGATTAATTGCTAACTACCAGGTAATGATTATTTAGGAAAATAACAAAAGCAAAAACAGCTTTTAAACACTTGTGAAATAGGGGTAAGGGTCCAAAGTCAAGACCTTCTGGGCCCAATGGAGGTGCTGGGCTGCCTCGGGACACGATCAGCACTTCCCCATCCACAACATCCTCAACAGCTGGGAGCCCTGCGCGGACCCCGGGAGGCTTCCTGTTCCACAAGCTCCGCTCTCTTTTTCCTCTCTACCCTTGCTATTGGGCCTCCCCTCCAAATCTGCCTAACAAAGGCAGCAGGATCTTTAATACTGTTCAGCTTTGTCAATGGAGACAGGATACTCCAGAAAGTTGAGAGGTTCCCTGGTCCAGCCTGGGGGAGGAAAAAATATGCAATGTAGCATGGATGGTTTCACTTTCTTGTCCACTCAGACACATGCTCATACTTATTAAATGATGTATCAGATGCTTCAAAAGTCCAGACGTGTAGTTGTACAAAAGTTGCTTGTAAAAAAGAAGTTGCAAAATGATAAAAAAATTTCTGCAGCATTTCAGGCTCCTGATGACAAAGCTGGTTCTGATAAGTAGTTATTTTGACAAGCACAGCAGCTTCCGCTATAAGTCCTGTGTTCAGAGGGTTTCATTTAGGCCACAGGAAGTTGGAATCCAGGTTTAAAAGACTCTGCTGATAAAATGTGGTATATACATCAATGGGCTTCTACTCAGTAATGAAAGGAGCAAACTACCAAAACATTTTATATATCATGGACCAACCTCAAAAACATTAGCTAAGTAAAAAAGCCAGACACGAGACCGCATATTGTATAATTCCATTGATTTCAAATGTCCAAGAAAGGCAAATTTATAGAGACAGAAATGGGCTGATTTACCTCAAGAGGCAGGGATTCAAGCTCTCTAGACTACATGTGATATATACATGAGAAAAAAAAAAAAGGAAAAGAAAAGAAATTTAAATATAAATAAATGAAAATAATACTGCTCCCAGATTATAAAGAAAATCACATTCTTTTTATAATAATTTGGAAGATAAAATATACAGAAAAATCTTTGACACTCAAAACATTCTGGTTTGTTGTTTTTTATACTTTTTTATGCATATAAACATTTTTAAAAGTAGAATCACAATTCATAGTCTTTTGTCACTTATGATGTTTTGGGCATATTTCTATGGTGGTAAATATATCCTTGGCATCATCATGATAATAGCTGGATGTATATTAAGTTAATCATTGCCACCCCAGAGGTAAATTTTCTTATATGTACATTTTAATTCACTCAAGCAAGCATTTTTGGACTGAATTCATAGAAGTAGAATTTCTGGAGGAAAATAACATAAAACAATTTTAGGGTTTTTAATAGACATTTTCAAATTATCCTGCAGGAAAATTGGTTCAGTTTATACTCCCACCAACAAGGACAGAGCTCCAGTTTCCCCCTTCCATTTGTCCTCCTTGCTGGTCTTTAAGCAGAAAATCTCACTGTTTTCATTACATTTCTTTGGTTTTAGTACTTTTGAACCTTTTTAATATGCTTATTGGCCATTTTTCTTCTTGTGGGAAGTGCCTGTTTCTCTATTGCCTATTTTCTGACCAAGCTCTAAAGTTACATTTCACTTAATTTTTATCCTGCTGATTGAAAGCATTTTAACTTAGTGATTTTAATGTAAACTGGAGCAGGGCAGACTGTAATTATCTAGATCTTGCTCTGTCACCCAGGCTGGAGTGCAGTGGCATGATCATAGCTACCACTGCCTGGAACTCCTGAGCTCAAGCGATTTTCCTACCTCAGCCTCCCAAGTAGCTAGGACTACAGTGTGTGCCACCATCCCAACTAATTTTTAAATTTTTTTGTAGAGATGTGAATTCGCTATGCTGCCTAGGCTGGTCTTGAACTCCTGACTTCAAGTAATCCTCCCACCTTCGCTTGCCAAAGTGCTGGGATTATAGGCGTGAACTACTGCTCCCAGCTGAGAGCTCACTTTTGTTTGCTAGTGGTGTTCTTAGTATCTTTTCATATTTGAGGTTTTGGTGGTAGTGCTGAAGTATTGTACTCACCATCCAAGGTTTACAGGACTTTTGTTTTACTATGGAACAGATGGAATTGTTTAGTTCTGCATCTTTGCAAATATACAAAATGTGCCTACCAGGACTCTGCTTTATATCCATTGAAAGCAAGAAGTAATACAGTAAAACTTTGCCTGGCTAGAGGCTTTGAAAGAATGGACTATTCTGATTTAATTGTATTAACTTGGAAGTATGAAGGTGAAAAAAATTAAAAACTTAAATTTCCTGTTGAATGCAATTTGAAAATATAGCCATTGATTCCACTTTTATTCTCCAGTAAGTCTGGACATTCTGATATACCTGGTGTTTTATTATAGAACTCCTAGTGTGCCTGAAGATCATTTTCTACAACTTTAAGTGTAAGAGGATGTAAATGGTATTGTATGAGATCAGGCTGGATGAGAACTGATACTTGTAAATACACTTTTTAGACTAAATCTCTGATTGTCACTTGTTTTCTTATTTAACTCATAAAAATAAAACACATTGGGTTGAGGGTGGGAGTAGGAAGGAGACTTATGTCTTTCAATTGCATGTCATTGTTTCATATCAAGACAGAACATACAGTATCCCTGGCTTAGGACCAACAGAAGGAAACACATTTTGCTATCTGCTGTATGCCAGAGGTCCTTGGACACCTGGAAGGATTACTGCAGTACAGATTGCTAAGCCCTACCCCGGAATTTCTGATTCATGAGGTCCAGGGTGGGGCCTGAGAATTTGCACTTATAAAAAATTCTCAGGTACTGCTGATGCTGCTAGTCCAGAGACTACATCTTTGAGTACCACTCTTGTCTACTAACTGTAAATTGTAGAACTCTAGAAAAAAGCTTAGTTTGGTCTGGGATAAGAAGCACACAGGTTATGGAGCAAATCATGAACGATTCAACCCTTGATCCCAGGCTACTTTGGAATTCAGGTAACAAGCAATACACACAGAAGGGGCACAAGTTTTCAGCAACGGTCACCCCTGGATGTGTCAGCTTACCACTACAACAGACTAAGTCACAGATGAAGGGGGCTGGCTTTGGGACTGGGGGAGCCACTGTCAAGTCACAGGACACCTGCCCAGGCAGGCTTGGAAAGGGAGGAGGGATCTGTTTAGAGGTCAAGGGGTGCCTGGGGCTCTCAGGACAGGATGGACTTGCCTGACCCGATCGGCTGGCAGTTGGAGAGAAAGCAGAGAGAAAACACGAGTGAGAAAAGCAAGCAGAGAGCTGGTGAGGCAAGCGCAGAGCAAGGGCGTGCTGTGCCTGCTGCAGCAGCTGTGGGAGGGCCAGCGGGGACAGGGTGCAGGTGCGGGTGTGGCAAGGTTCCTGGAAAAGAGGGGCTGGAAGGGAAAGGGGAGGAAGGTGGAGGGAGGAACCGGAGCCTCACAGGTAGTGTTTGGGGGCTGTGGCCGCCCTCCCCACCCCACACACCCTGGCGTCTCCCACGGCACCCAGGCAGTGCACCCATAGTTCAGACCAATGCTCAGCCCCCTCGGGCTTCCCTCTTCTCTGGTCACCCTGTCTTCCAACCCACTGGCCCAGGGCCACCTCTCACCTTGGGGAGCCCCAAGCAACAGCCACCAGGCCTGATAGAGAAGGAACACTGCTTGAATCAGGATGGTGAAGCCAAAAGGGATAGATGGCTGGAATGAGCGCCAGAGGCCCCTCGGGGGGCTCTGAAAGCCCAGGACCCTCTGAAGGGATCCTGGGGGAGGCAGAGAGGGCAGGCAGCCAGATGCCACTGGCCATAGACTTATAAGTCTAAGAGGGGAGCCTCAGCTGGTTGGGGGGCTGCAGGTTGCACAGGGCAGGCCGGGCCCTTCCTGCTGGGAAAAGCAGAAGAGGGAGAGTCCATGGCAGAGGAGGCAGGCAGGCTGGCTAGGCGGAGCTCAGCTGGGCCAGCAGGCACTGTGGTCCCCTTGGCTGAATAGCATAGGCGACCCCTAGGAGCAACAGGCCAAGGTGCATGAGCCTGCTGGCTGGCGGTAGTGTTTTAGCGGGGGTAGGGACCCCGCCTTGAGTCACATACTTCACACACTAGTACTGTCAGGCTACTGTCAATGTTCACTTAGGGCCCAAGGGCTCTTAAGTCACTTGTGGTGAAAGCTTCCAGGCCTGGGACTCAACTTCAGGGCACTTGGCTCCCCTCTGGCCCAGGGCAGGTCCAGCAATGCTGTCTAAGAGCCAAGGCCTAGAATCAGTGACCACAAGAGCCCATTTGGTGCTGTACCCCATTGTGGCCAAGAGGTACCTAAGCTGCAAGACAAAGTCCCTTTTACCTTTCCCTCTGCTTTTCTCAAGCAGAAGAAGTCTCTCACCACAGCCACCATAGCTGGAATGTGCTGGGTGTCATCTGACACCAGCATGTCTCAGAGTCTTACTCCAGGCCCATAGCATACTACCTGGGTATCACTGTTGGCTATTCAGGGCCCAAGGGCTCTTGAGTCAGTAAGGTGATGAATCCTGCCAGGACTGGGTTCTTTCCTTTAAGGCAGCAGATTCCCTTCTGGCCCAGGGTGTATCTAGAAATGTAATTCAGGAGCTAGGTCCTGGAATATGGGCCTCTCGACTCTGACTGGTGCTCTATCCTACTGTGGCTGAGCTGGTATCCGAGATGTAAGACAAAGTCCTCTTTACTCTTCCCCCTCCTCTCCTCAAGCAAAAGGAAGAAGTCACTTTTGTTGCCGCAAGCTGCACTGCCTGAGGTTGGGGGAGGGGTGGTGCAAGCACTCCCTTGGCTGCCCAGGCTGGTGTCTCACTAGGTCGTGTGCCCCCTGAGTCCACTGGCTCTGAGCCCAGCATGCCATTAGGACTTGCCTAGGAGTTGAAGTCCTTATGGTCTAGACTGCCTTTCAAGTTTATTTCGGGCCCCAGAGCATAATAGGCTGCCAGGCCAAGGATTGTCAAAACACAAGCCTCAAGCCTTCTAACTACGGGGATGGGTGAGCCCCTCCGGGTAGGGCTGGTCTCAATGCTCCCTCCATGGGCAGGTGTCACATGAGCTCCACCTGGTTTTGCTTTCCGCTGTGATAGGGCAGCACTGGGTTCAACGCAAAGTCCCACAGTTGCTGCATTCTCCCTCCCCCAAGTGCGTAGATTCTCTCTGAGCACCACAGCCGCCCCTGCTGGGGGATGGGGGAGGCGCGACATTGCTGTTTCAAGACTGTCCTTCCCACCCTCTTCAGTGCCTCTTTCTGTGATATGAAGTTAAAGCCAGGTGCTGTGAGTCCTCACCTGATTTTTGGTTCTTATGAGGATGGTTTTCTGGTGTAGACAGTTGTCAAATTTGATTTTCCTGCAGGGAGAATGATTGATAGAGACTACCATTTAGCCATCTTGCTCTGCCCCTCCTCCCTCACTTAATTACCTGCTAAGAGCCCTACTTCCAAATACAATCATATAGGGGGTTAGGGCTCCAACATACGAATTTTGGGGAGACACAATTCAGTCTATAGCATTTGGACTTGGGGAGAGGGAGAAAGAGAACCTTCACAGGAAGGTCACAGTGTAAGCAACAGAATGGAGGTGGGAAAGTTCAGCTCATGAATAGAAAAAATTGATCCAATTTGGTGGGCCCACGGGGAGATGTAGTGGTGTGGTGAGAGTTGGGCCACATCAGAAAGAACCTTGAATGCCAGGCTGAGGTTGGAAACATTTCCTTCTCTGTAGAAGGTGCCATGAGGTGGTGGGGAGGGTAACATGATGAAAAGGATATTTGGGAGGATGGATCTGGCATCAGTGATGGGTAGAGGTAAGGAGTGAACAAAGCTGGAGGCCAGAAAACTGGACACATGGTCCAGAGTTGAGGCTTAGTCTGTTCAAAGGCAGTTTCCACACTGCGTTCCAATGTGGATCAAAGCATGCAGCGGGTAGATGACTTGGAAAAACAAAACCATTCTCTTCCCATTACCAAAAGTTTCCCAGCTGAGTTCATCAACAGAGTCCCACAAATCAGATAGTTGACCAGTCCCAAACCCCTGTCCCTAAAGGCTGTGACCCAGAGGGAGCCCTTGTCCAGCTGTAGCCCGGGAACACTGCAGCCTGAACAGGACTGCACCTGTTCCCTCCCAGGAGCCTACTCTCTGTCTGGCCTGGCTTTGACTTCAAATGTCCTCAACTTTGGCTTCAAAATCTGTTGGGTCAGATTCATGAAAGCTCTGGCCTTCTTTGGTTTAGGGATTTTAAAATAGTTTTTTCAAGCAGGCAGTAGATCAACTCTGCTTAATTACCTCTAAGAACTGGCTACAACTCACAGAAAGCTGTTGTGTTCATAGTTACAGTTTGATTGCACAGAAAGGATACAGATTAAAATCAGCCAGGGGAAGAGAGGCATAGGGCTGAATCCAGGAGGGCACCAGGCATAGGGTGTCCATTATCCCCTCCCTATCCAGTCAGAGGGCATTACCCTCCTGGCTTTGCTATGTGCCAATACACATGGAATATTCCCAGCCAGTGAGGCTCCTCTCAAGCCTCAGTATTCAGGGTTTTTACTGGAACTTCATCATAGAGGCATGCTTGATTGTCCACGCAGCTGCTCTCAGCTTCCGGTCTCCAGTCCTTCCAGGGGTGAACTAAAGCCCGGACTCTAAATCACAAAGTCCATTTTCCTGGCCTGGCTAGTCTCCACCCTAAATCTCATTATTAGACAATCCATCATGACCCAAGATCCGCAGGCAAAGATAGTCCTATCAGGTATTACGTGTTGATGGTTACTTCGCAGGAGTCTAGGAGAAAGGCCAGACCTCTTTTTGGTCAAGGTTAATTTTTTTTTTTTTTTTTTTTTTTTTTTTTTTTACTATACAACATGCCATCGTTCTGTTATTTTTTCTGTTTCATCTTCAAAATAACCCTAATTGGTGGGTAAGGATGTTTATTGTTATAAACAAGATCTCAAAAGGGAAGACACTTGTGCAAGGTTGCACAGTCGATCTTTGACTCACGGTACAAGACTCTTTCCACTGTCTGAGAGTTCTGATTCCTGAGAAGACGGAAACAAGGTGTGTATATGTGTGTGTGCACGTGTGTGTTGGTGTGTGTAAATGTTTATCTAATCAGTATGTGTGGATATATGTATATCTCTCTGTGTGTATACATGTGAATGTCTGTGTGTCTATATGCATGTTTGTGTATGTGTGTGTGCATACAGTGGTACACACCTGTAATGCCAGCTACTCAAGAGGCAGATGGGAAGATCACTTGAACCCAGGAGTTTGAGAGAGAGAAAATTTCAATGATCTTTTTCTTGCAGTTAGAAGGAAAAACCTGGGGCTGGGCATAAAGAGACATAAAGCACACCATAAAGAGCCAGGGAAATATCTAATGAAAACCGAGTGACCAAGAACTGATTAGTTCATCTATAAAGAAATATAGCACTTTAGCAGCAGAATAAAACTGGAAGATAATTTCCTCTAGAACGCTGATAATCTTTGTGAGAAAACTATTGGTCACATACGTTAATTGACAAAACTCACAGGGCCTTGTGCAACAGAACTGGAGAGTAAAACCATCTTTTTTAAACTCGCTATGCTACAAGTGGCATTCAACTCTTTCTCAACCGAGATTTCACAAACCTAACTCCAGCTTCCGGATGGTGAGGGAAAGTGTGATGAGATTTTACAATCAATTGTGCCTGTCTCTGAGCCCATCCTCTCCTACTGAAGAGAAGGAAAATGAAGCTAGCGCTTTACAGCCCTGCCTGACAAAAGTCACAAGATAAGCAAATAATTATTATTTAAAGCCAGAGAGTCCTATAATTTATTCATGAATGCCACACATTCTATATTAGGTCTTCCATTTCAATTTACTTGTATTCTTTGAAGCAAATTTATAAGATTCAAATGATTCAGAAAATGCTCCCAAACGAGTAGAAGAAAACACTTTCACCATATGAAGTACCATGCTACACAATATGGTGTGGTGGTGAAGTCTGCAGGCTCTAAAACCAGAAAACACAGGTTCAAGTCCTGGCTCTACCACCTTGGGAAAGTTACATGGTCTCTCTGTGCCTCAATTTCCCATTCTAAAATGTGGGGATGACAAAAATAGTGTCTATTTCACAGAGTTGTTTTGAGGAAAATAATAAATGTAAAGCTCTTTGGACAGCAGTTTGTGCTGTGTACATGTTTGGTATTGTTATTTTAACATTTCAGATTATAAACACCCACCCTGTTATTCAGATGACAAGCATCCCTAAGCTGATAGCATGATAAGGAGCTTTTGGGCTTCTTAATTTCCATCAGCTTTGTGAGGGAAAAAAGAGCACATGAAGAAGAGCAACTGAAGCAGGTGTGAGAAGGAAACTTGGCTTAAGCTCGAGGGTCTTGGTTTTATTGGGCTTCTGTCTTCTAAAACTTTCCTAAGCTTCATTGATAAGAAGATGTTTACTATCGATCTAGCTAAAAAGGACCAATAGACCCCACAAGACACTGAGTTAGAGATAAAAGTAGAAGGGTAATAAATGCAGTATGGAAAACTACACAACCAGAAAAATAATCAACTACCAGTACCCAAAACATGGCTAAATCTCACAGGATTATGTTGAATGAAAGAAGCCAGCCACAAACAAGCAAATACTGAATGACTTTATTTATATGAAGTTCAAAAACAGGCAAAACTAATCCATGGTGACAGAGGTCAGTACTGTAGTTAACTTTGAAGAGGACAGCAACTGAGAAGGGGCAAGAGGGAGCCCTCTGTGGTGATGGAAACATTCTATATCTTGAGCTGAGTGGTAGTTACATGATTGGGCACATATATAAATAGTATGGAGTTGGCCAGACATGGTGGCTTACACCTGTAATCCCAGCACTTTGGGAGGCCGAGGCAGGTGGATCACTTGAGGTCAGGAGTTTGAGAATAGCCTGGCCAACATGGTGAAACCCCATCTCTACTACAATACAAAAATTAGCTGGGCGTGGTGGCGGGCACCTGTAATCCCAGCTACTCGGGAGGCTGAGGCAGGAGAATCGCTTGAACCCAGGAGGCGGAGGCTGCAGTGAGCCAAGATCATGCCACTGCACTCCATCCTGGGTGACAGAGCGAGACTCTGCCTCAAAAAAAAAAAACAAAACAGCATGGAGTTGTAACTTAAGGTATATGCACCTCACTCTACGTAAGATACTGTCTTAGTCCATTTGTGCTGCTAATAACAAAATATCTGAGACTGGGTAATGGGTAAAAAACACAAATGTATTTCTCACAGTTCTGGTGGCTGGGAAGTCCAAGATCAAGGTGCCAGCAGGTTTGTAGTCTAGTGAGGGCTGCTCTCTGCTTCCAAGATGGCACCTTGAATGCTGAGTCCTCCAGAGGTGAGAAACGCTGTGTCCTAACATGGTGGAAAGGACAGAGAAACAAAAGAAGAAAACCAAGCTAGGTAGGTCCCTCAAGTCCTTTCATAAGGTCACTAATCTCACTCATGAGGGGGGTCTTCCCTCACAACTCAATCATCTCCTAAAGACGCCACCTCTTAATACTATCACATTGGGGCTTAAGTTCCAACATGAATTTTGGAGGAGACGCAATCATTCCAACCATAGCAAATATACTTTACTAAAAAGAAAAAAAAAAGGAAAATCTTGTCTCCAAACATAATATTTTAAGAGTTTATATATTTACAGCCCAATATCTGCTTGCTTACATACATATTTGTGACCATGAGTGTCATTCTTAGCTGAGAAAAGTTTCAGAAAATTAATTTTTTTCTCACATTATCTATTAATAACTTATTCAGATAAAACCAAATTTCTAACCTGGATTTTAGGTTGAGACAGAAACCCATAGTCATTTGTTGCAATGTGAGAATGACAGAGAGAGAGAGGTATTAAGAAAGGTATTAACTAGCAGAATCCAACTATAACAATAAATTTAAGGGCACAATTCTTTACTAATGACTCCCCCAGACAAACCGTTACTTGGATAGCAATGAATGAACTAAAAATGGAAGTGAGGAAAGTTTGCGTCCTTTTTGCAATGGATGGATGTTTATGAGACTATTAAGTGAAGAGGGTTCAGAAACAAGGGGCTAAATAGCATGCTAATTTGGGTTTGAATGGAGCAATGGGATGATCTTGGAAATGTAAGCATCCTGCTTAATGGGACTTGTCTACTTGCAATTCAATAAATCAATACACGTAAATTCAAAGAGACAAAAGACAAAGGAGCACTCAGAACAAAATTACAGCAATAGGGCCTGGCGCAGTGACTCACGCCTGTTATCCCAGCACTTCGGGAGGCTGAGGTGGGCGGATCACATGAGGTCAGGGGTTTCTGACCAGCCTGGCCCAAGTGGTGAAACCCCGTCTCTACTAAAAATACAACAATTAGCCAGGCGCGGTGGTGGGTGCCTATAGTACCAGCTACTTGGGAGGCTGGGGCAGGAGAATCACTTGAACCTGGGAGGCGGAGGTTGCGGTGAGCCGACATAGCGCCACTGCACTCCAGCCTGGGCGACAGAGCGAGACCCCATCTCAAAAAAAAAAAAAAAAAAATTTACAGGAATAAATTTAGCAAAGAGGCACCAAAGTTGACATAAGGGCCACTGTTCCACGTCTGACATTTGTAATTCTTGAGTCATGGGGATGGCGAGCCAAGGAACAGAGTCTTCTGACTAGAAGCTAAAACTAGCCTTTGGGGTGGGTTCAGAGGGCCTGTTCCGACTCAATATGTGAAAGCAGATGTTGCCTCGTCGAAAATATCGCGATTGCAAGGGCATTTTCAAAGACAGTGGTGCTCGGGGAGAGAATGCTGTGTGTTTAAAAAGAAAAGCAGATTAAAAGAATGGAAACCAGGAAGAAAAAGTGACAGAGGGTAGGGTGACCATATGTTCTGTTTGCAAGGGACAGCTAAGTTTATGTCTGCTGTCCCGGTACAATTATTTTAGTGCCCCCTTTCACTCTCCAAAGTGTCTGGATTTGGGTGATAAAGCATATGATCACCCTACCAAAGAGAGGAAATTAGCCAGAAGACTCATGTGCCTATTTTAAACGGTGTGAACTGATCCGCAGTCCCGCTCGTGCCGCTGCCCAGCTGAACGGGGTGCACCACCTCTGCCTCGCCATACGCCAGCCCTACCCGGGTCTCCAGGAAGGCTGGAGCGGAACCCTCGGCTCCCGCGCTGCTCTAGTGCCACCTGCAGGTTATGTGGGGGAACTGCTTCTCCTCATCCCGACCCTGGACAGACTTGGCCTTGGCCAAAAGACATTCAGAAGCCTGGGCTGGGGAGTGGGCTGGAGAGTGGGCTGGACCCGACAGTGAAGCCCACGTTACAGAATTAGACTGGCCCAGCTTAAACCAACCTCCTCTTCCTACCCACTCCTGTCCTGTCTCATTTTGTAGACGGGAAACTGAAGCCTAATTCAGATTTTTCATTAGGTAAGATTGTGAAGCATACAGCTGGAGCCTCCCAGGTGCCATTCCCCACATCTCTGTCTTTCCCCTAATACATTAGGATAGTGGGGAAGCAAGAGAGCTTAGGCTTACTATGCTCCTACTGTGTGCTGGGCACAGAGTGGGTGCTTTTCTCTCCAGCCTCCCGACTGATGGGAAATAGGTGATTATAAAACTGGGATACAGGATCAGAGTGGGCTAGTGATGTGCTCACAGTCTCTCAGCTGAAACTGGAACCCAGGGGTCTTTGACTCTAAAGCTAGTGCTCTTTTTGGGTCTGAAGCTTAAGCAATAGCTGCAAAATGCAAAGGGCACCATGAAAATCATTTCTCCAATGATCAATGATCAGTGATGTTGAGCTTCTTTCATATGTTTCTTGGTCACATGTAAGTCTTCTTTTAAGTGTCAGTTCATAACTTTTGCCGGCTTTTTAATAGGTTGTTTGTTTTTCTTGTAAATTTGTTTAAGTTCCTTGTAGATGCTGCGTATTAGACCTTTGTCAGATGCATAGTTTGCAAAAATTTTCTCCCATTCTGCAGGTTGTCTGTCTACTTTGATGATAGTTTCTTTTGCTGTGCAGAAGCACTTCAGTTTAATTAGATCCCATTTGTCAATTTTTGCTTTTGTTGCAATTGCTTTTGGCGTCTTCATCATGAAATCTTTGCGCATGCCTATGTCCCTAATGGTATCGCCTAGGTTTTCTTCCAGGGCTTTTATAGTTTTGAGTTTTACATTTAAGTCTTTAATCCATCTTGAGTTGATCTTTGTATATGCTATAAAGAAGGGGTCCAGTTTTAATTTTTTGCATATGGCTAGGCAGTTCTTCCAGCACCATTTACTAAACAGGAAATCCTGTCCTCTATTGCTTGTTTTTGTCAGGTTTGTTAAAGATCAGGTGGTTGCAGGTGTGTAGTCTTATTTCTGGCTTCTCTATTCTTTTCCATTGGTCTATGTGTCTGTTCTTATACCAGTACCAAGCTGTCTAGATTACTGTAGCTTTGCAGTGTAGTTTGAAGTCAGGTAGCGTGATGCCTCCAACTTTATGCTTTTGGCTTAGAACTGTCTTGGCTATTTGGGGATTTTTTTGTTGTCGTTCCATATGAATTTTAAAATAGTTTTTTTCTAATTCTGTGATGAATGGCAATGGTAGTTTAATGGGGATAGCATTAAATCTATAAATTGCTTTGGGCAGTATGGCCATTTTAATGATATTGGTTCTTCCTATCCATGAACATGAAATGTTTTTCTATTTGTTTGTGTCATCTCGGATTTATTTAAGTAGTGGGTTGTAGCTCTCCTTAAAGGAATACTTTACTTCCCTTGTTTACTGTATTCCTAGGTATTTTATTATTTTTGTGGCAATTGTGAATGGGAGTTCATTCATAATTTGACTCTCAGTTTGCCTGTTGTTGGTGTATAGCAATGCTAGCAATTTTTGCACATTGATTTTGTGTCCTGATACTTTGCTGAAGTTGCTTATCAACTTAAGAAGTTTTTGGGTGAGTCAATGGGGTTTTCTAGATATAGGATTATGTCATCTGCAGACAAAAATAGTTTGACTTTTTCTTTTCCTATTTGAATACACTTTATTTCTTTATCTTGCATGTGTTGTCCTGGCCAGAACATTCAATACTATGTTGAACAGCAATGGTGAGAGAGAGCATCTTTGTCTTGTGCTGGTTTTCAAGGGGAATGCTTCCAGTTTTTGCCCATTCAGTATGATACTTGCTGTGGGTTTCTCATATATGGCTCTTATTATTTTGAGGTATGTTCCTTCAATACCTAGTTTATTGAGAGTTTTTAACATGAAGGAATGTTTAATTTTATAGAAGGCCTTTTCTGCATCTATTGAGATAATCATGTTGTTTTTGTTTTTAGTTCTGTTTATGTAATGAATCACATTTATTGATTTGCATATGTTGAACCAAGCTTGTATCCCAGGAATGAAGCTGATTTAATTGTGGTGGATAAGCTTTTCGATGTGTTGCTTTTGGTTTGCTGGTATTTTGTTAAGGATTCTTGCATCAGTGTTCATCAAGGATATTGTTCTGAAGTTTTCTTTTTTTTGCTGTATCTCTGGCAGGTTTTAGTATCAGGATGATGTTAACCTCATAGAATGAGTTAGGGAGGAGTCCCTCCTTTTTAATTGTTTAGAATAGTTTTCCTGGAAATGGTACCAGCCCCTCTCTGTACCTTTGGTAGAATTCAGCTGTGAATCCATCTGGTCCTGGGCCTTTTTTTCAGTGGGTAGGCTATTTATTACTGTCTCAATTTCAGAGCTCATTATTGGTCTATTCATGGATTCAATTTCTTCCTGGTTCAGTCTTGGGAGGGTGTATATGTCCAGAAATTTATCCATTTCTTTTATATTTTCTAGTTTATGTGCATAGAGGTATTAATAGTGTTCTCTGATGGTTGTTTCTATTTCTGTGGAGTGAGTGGTGATATCTCTCTTAACATTTCTGATTGTGTTTATTTGAATCTTCTCTCTTTTCTTCTTTACTAGCCTAGCTAGCAGTCTATTTTATTAATTTTTTTAAAAAACCAGCTGCTGGATTCATTGATTTTTGAAGAGTAATTTTATGTCTTATCTCCTTCCGTTCAGCTCTCATCTTGGTTATTTCTTGTCTTCTGCTAGCTTTGGGGTTTATTTTCTCTTGCTTCTCTAGTTCTTTTAGGTGTGATGTTAGGTTGTTAACTTGAGAAATTTCTAGCTTTCTGATGTGGGCATTTAGTACTATACATTTTCGTCTTAGCACTGCTTTAGCTGTGTCTCAGAGATTCTAGTATGTTCTATCTTTGTTCTCATTAGTTGCAAAGAACTTTTTGATTTCTGTCTTAATTTCATTATTTACCCAAGAGTCTCTGGGAGCCTGTTGTTCAATTTCCATGTAGTTGTGTGGTTTTGAGTGAATGTCTTAATCTTGAGTTTTAATTTGATTGTGCCATTGTCTGAGAGACTTATAATTTTAGTTTTTTGCATTTGCTGAGGAGTGTTTTACTTTCGATTATGTGATCAATTTTAGAGTAAGTTCCATGTGGTGATGAGAAGAATATATATTCTGTTCTTTTTGGGTGGAGAGTTGTGTAGATATCTATCAGGTCACTTGATCCAGAGCTGAGTTCAGATCCTGAATATCTTTGTTAATTTTCTGTCTTGATGATCTAATATTGTCAGTAGAGTGTTAAAGTCTCCCACTATTATTGTGTCAGAGTCTAAGTCTCTTTGAAGGTCTCTACGAACTTGCTTTATGAATCTGGGTGCTCCTGTACTGGGTGCATATATATTACAACTAGTTAACTCTTTTTGTTGAATTGAACCCTTTACCATTATGTAATGTTCTCCTGTGTCTTTTTTTATTTTTGTTGGTTTTGAGTCTGTTTTGTCAGAAACTAGGATTGCAACTTCTGCTATTTTCTGTTTTCCATTTGCTTGGTAAATTTTCCTCCATTCCTTTATTTTGAGCCTATGCATGTCTTTGCATGTGAGATGGGTCTCTTGAAAATAGCATACTAATGGGTCTTGGTTCTTTATCCAGTTTGCCATTCTGTGTCTTTTAATTGGGGCATTTAGCCCATTTACATTTAAGGTTAGTATTTTATGTGTAGATTTGATCCTGTCATCGTGATGCTAGCTGGTTATTTTGCAGGCTTGTTTATGTAGTTGCTTCATAGTGTCACTGGCCTGTGTACTTCAGTGTGTTTTTGTAGTGGCTGGTAATGGTTTTTCCTTTCCATATTTAGTGCTTCCTTCAAGAGTCCTTGCAAGGCAGTTCTAATAGTAACAAATTCCCTCAGCATTTGCTCATCTGAAAAGGATCTTATTTCCCCTTTGCTTATGAAGCTTAGTTTGGCTGGATATGAAATTCTGGGTTGGAAATTATTTTCTTTAAGAGTATTAAATATTGGCTCCCAATCTCTTCTGGCTTGTTAGGGCTTCCACTGATAGATCCACTGTTAGTCTGATGGGCTTCCCTTTGTAGGTGACCTGGCCTTTTTCTCTGGCTGCCCTTAACATTTTTTCTTTCATTTCAACCTTGGAGAATCTGATGATTATGTGGCTTGGGATGATCTTCTCATGGAGTATCTTACTGAGGTTCTCTGCATTTCTTGAATTTGAATATTGGCCTCTCTTACTAGGTTGGGGAAGTTCTCCTGAATGATATCCTGAAGTATGTTTTCAATTTGGTTCCATTCTCTCTCTCTCTTTCAGGTACCCCAATCAGTTGTAGATTCAGTCTCTTTACATTATCCCATATTCCTCAGAGGTTTTGTTCATTCCTTTTCAGTCTTTTTTTCTCTATTCTTGTGTGCCTGTCTTAATTCAGAAAGCCAGTCTTCAAGCTCTGAGATTCTTTCCTCTGCTTGGTCTATTCTGCTATTAATATTTGTGATTGCATTGTGAAGTTTTTATAGTGTGTTTTTCAGCTCTAACAGGTCGACTGTGTTCCTCTCTAAACTGTTATTTTGGTTTTCAGCTCCTGTATTGTTTTATCTAATTCTTAGTTTCTTTGCATTGGGCTACAACATGCTCCTTTAGCTCAGCAAAATTCATTATTATCCACATTCTGAAGCCAACTTCTGTCATTTCAGCCATCTCAGCCTCAGCCCAGTTCTGAGACCTTGCTGGAGAGACACTGCTGTCATTTGGAGGAAAAGGGGCACTCTGGATTTTTGAGTTTTCAGCATGTTTGCATTGATTCCCATCTTTGTGGGCTTATCTACCTTCGTTCTTTGAGATTACTGACCTTTGGATGGGGATTTTGTGGTTTTGTTGTTGCTGTTGTTTTCTGCTTGTTTGTTCTTCTTTTAGTAGTCTGGCCACTCTCCCTAGGGCTGCTGCAGCTTGCTGAGGATCTGCTCCAGATCCTAGCTGCCTTGCTTCTTCCTGTACCTGGAGGTATCATGCATGAATGCTGCAAAGCAGCAAAGATGGCAGCCTGCCCCTTCTTCTAGAAGCTCCATGCCATTGGTGTACTGACTTATTGCTGGCCTGAACACACTTGTATGAGATGGCTGGGGACCCTGGTTGGGAAGTCTCACTGCGTCGAGAGGAATGGGATCAGGGACCCACTTGAATTAGCAGTATGGCTACTTTTTGGCAGAGAAGCTGTGCTGTATTGGGGATCCCTTCAGTCCCCAATCAGTTTGGGCTCCCCAAGGCCCACAGGCTAGACTGGCTGAGAAGCCCCACCAAGGTTGCTCCCTCACCTGCCCCTCAGGCACTCATCCCAGGAGTAATTAGAGCTCTATCGGCCCTGTAGAGCATGGGCAGGGTGGCCATAGGCCCTGGCTGGGAGGACCCAGATGGGAGGACCCGCCCCAGGAGGAGAAGTAGATCAGCGTCCTGCTTTAAAAAGCAGTCTGCCACACCTCCCCAAAACAGTCGCCTCTGCCCCTGCTGGCTTGGAGTCTCCAGAGCCCACAGTCTGGAACAGCCGAGTCATCCAATCAACCCAGGTGGTGGCCCTCTCCTCTCCCAGAGAGAGAGCAGAGCTCTGTCCCTAATAAGTGTGGGCAGAAGCAGCTGGAGGTCCTGCCCGGGAGGTCCTGCCCAGTGAGGAGAAATGGATCAGGGGCTCTGCTTAAAGAAGCAGTCTGGTCACAATCTGGGAAAGCCACTGTGATGCACTGCTGGGGGGACCCTTCCTCCTCCAGACTGTTTGGACTCTCCAAAGCCCACAGGCTGGAACAGCTGAGTCAACCTAGCAGTAGAAATGGTGCCTGCCCCTCCCCAGAGGGGCTCCGGCCCATCTCAGGCAGGCTTCACCCTGTTGCCATTGGCTGGGTGGAATTCCAAGTCAGTAGGTCTTATCTTGTGAGGTGCCATGGAAGGAGGACCCACAGAATGACATTGCTTGGCTTTCTGGATTCCACCCTCTTCCTAGGGGTTTGTGTGGACCTCCTGCCCTGCCTGAGTTGCAAACACGTTTGTTAGGGATCCTGGGGCCAGAGTATGTAAAGCTCCTCGGTCTCTGTGTATGCCCAAGCAGCTGCTCTGCCAAGACTCTACACAGCTCTGTGTGTTGGCCCCAAGACCCTGGTGGCATGGGCTCATGAGGGGATCTCCTGATCCATGGGTTGCAAAGATTCATGGGAAAAGCATGGTTTCCTGGGGTCACACATTCATTCACCACTTCCCTTGGCTGGGGTGGGGGTTTCCTTGGCTCCATATGGCTTCCAGGTGGGCCATCACCCATGGGTTGTTCTTCATGAGTTGAGTTGTTTCCCTGATCAGTCCCAATGTGACTACCTGAATATTTCAGTTGATGGTGCTGTATTCACTTGCCCCTTTTGTTTCTCTTTGTGAGTGCCACGGACTGCAGCTGCTTCTCAATCTTATTTTTTAATTGACATATAACAGATGTATGTATTTTCATCTCCACCAAATCTTTACTACTGGTCCCCTCCATTAGTGTCCTTGGTTAGTTACTTTATTACCTGTGCCTTGGAGTCAAAGCATTTCCATTTCCGAACCTCTGTTTTCTCAACTGTCAGATGGGTCTTGTAGCAGACACCAGAGCAGACACCACCTCAGTGCCTGCTGAAGCTCTGCTCTTCCAAGGGTGCCCTCTCCTGGCCACAGATGACTAGATGGGATGTGGCCACCTGATCTTTGATGAGCCTATCAGATTCTCTGATTAATCTTGAAACTAGGAGATACAAAATCTCCAGTGAGATTAGTAAGCCTGCAGCTGCCAGCCTGGGGCTTGAGGTCTGTTTTATCCATGTGCAATCTGGAAAGTTGGCAGTGGAAACTCATTTTCAGAGACAGGCTGGAGGAGAGAGCAGATTTGCAGGGAGGACATATAGCCCAGGGATAGAGAGAAAGAAGGGTGTGGCCCAGTGACTCTCCACTTCCCATGAGACAAAACCCAATTTCCTGCTTTTATTTTCCATGACACTCCCTCATAACCTACTGAGACACCACCTTTCCTTAGCTAATTTAAATAGGTGACTATTTTTTGCAAAACATATCAGTCTTGGCTGGAACAGAGAAAACAGTTTATGAGGTCTTTGCAATTTTTTTTTTTTTTGAGTTCGCTCACTGCAAACTCTACCTCCTGGGTTCATGCCATTCTCCTGCCTCAGTCTCCCGAGTAACTGGGACTACAGGCGCCTGCCACCACGCCCAGCTATTTTTTTGTATTTTTAGTAGAGACGGGGTTTCATCACGTTATCCAGGATGGTCTCGATCTCCTGACCTCGTGATCCGCCCATCTCAGCCTCCCAAAGTGCTGGGATTACAGGTCTTTGCAATAGTATTATATCATAACATAAAAATATGATTGTGAAATAAATTAGAGACAAAAATATTTTATGGAAGTATTGTACAATAAACATTATCCATGAAATGTATTCTTCCTAGTGTGTCCAGAATTGGTGGGTTCTTGGTCTCACTGACTTCAAGAACAAAGCCACAGTCACTCGCGGTGACTGTTACAGTTCTTAAAGGTGGCGTGTGCAGAGTTTGTTCCTTCTGATGTTCGGATGTGTTCAGAGCTTCTTCCTGCTGGTGGGTTCATCGTCTCGCTGGCTTCAGGTGTGAAGCTGCAGACCTTCGCGGTGAGTGTTACAGCTGTTAAGGCAGGGCATCTGGAGTTGTTCATTCCTCCCATCCAGAGTTGTTCATTCCTCCCGGTAGGTTTGTGGTCTTGCTGGCCTCAGGAGAGAAACTGCAGACCTTCGCCGTCAGTGTTACAGCTCATAAAAGCAGTGTGGACCCAAAGCATGAGCAGCAGCAAGATTTACTGCAAAGAGTGAAAGAACTAAACTTCCACACTGTGGAAAGGGACTCAGGATTGCCACTGCTGGTTTGGGCAGCCTGCTTTTATTCCCTTATCTGGCACCACCCACATCCTGCTGATTGGTCCATTTTATAGAGAGCTTATTGGTCTGTTTTACAGAGAGCTGACTGGTCCGTTTTGACAGGGTGCTGATTGGTGAGTTTACAATCCCTGAGCTAGACACAAAAGTTCTCCAAGTCCCCACTAGATTAGCTAGACACAGAGCACTGATTGGTGTATTTACAAACCTGGAGCTAGACACAGGGTGCTGATTGGTGCATTTACAAACCTTGAGCTAGACACAGAGTGCTGATTGGTGTATTTACAATCCCTTAGCTAGACATAAAGGTTCTCCAAGTCCCCACTAGACTCAGGAGCCCAGCTGGCTTCACCCAGTGGATCCTGCACTGAGGCTGCAGGCAGAGCTGCCTGCCAGTCCCACGCCGTGTGCCCACTCTTCTCAGCCCTTGGGCGGTGATGGGACCAGGTGCCATGGAGCAGGGGGAGGTGCTTGTCAGGGAGGCTCAGGCCACGCAGGAGCCCACGGAGGCGGGGGGAGGCTCGGGCATGGCAGGCCGCAGGTCCCGAGCCCTGCCCTGTGGGGAGGCAGCTGAGGCCCGGCAAGAATTCGAGTGCAGCGCTGGTGGGCCAGCACTGCTGGGGGATCCGGCGCACCCTCCGCAGCTGCTGGCCCGGGTGCTAAGCCCCTCACTGCCCAGGGCCAGCGGCGCCGGCTGGCTGCTCCCAGTGCAGGGCCCGCTGAGCCTACAGCCACCCGGAACCCTAGCTGGCTTGCAAGCGCTGCGCAGCCTGGTTCCTGCCCATGCCTCTCCCTCCACACCTCCCCACAGGCTGAGGGAGCTGGCTCCAGCCTCGGCCATCCCAGGAAGGGGCTCCCACAATACAGTGGCAGGCTGAAGGGCTCCTCAAGTGCGGCCAGAGTGGGCGCTGAGGCCAAGGAGGCGGGGAGAGCGAGCGAGGGCTGTGAGGGCTGTGAGGGCTGCCAGCACACTGTCACCTCTCACTAGCACACACTAGGTGCACATACTAGGCTCATTATTGTTCCTGCACAGCCTCCCCCATGCACAAATACTCTTTAGTGTTGTCACTTTACCTAGGATTCGATAGAAAGAGGGAGAAAGAGATTTACCTTGCCTGGCACACAATTGCTAACTTCAAATTTTATTACACATTCCCTTCTAAAAAGAGCCATGCTGTCAAAGAGCATTTTTCCCTTTGCCTGATCCTGAGCAGACCCCAGACTCATGACCTTTTCTCTCCCTCCAGGATTCCCAGCTCTGCTCCAAACTTGCACCTCGAATCCATCCAGGTACTCAGCAGAAAAAGGGCCCTCCTATGGTATAGCTTGGTCCCTGAGACCCTAGCAATGGCTACTGGTGTTGAGGAGGCATTGTGCTGGCTTCCATGACCCAGCATGTCTTCCAGAGAGGGTGAGGCTAGATGCAGCTCTGCCAAAAGGCCTGAAGGACAAGACAGCAGCTTCCATCAAGGACCAGGGACTAATTCAATCTCTTCTTGACAGATGCTTTGTGACACTGATAGGCCTGGCCTCTCTCATGTCTCCCCCCACACTGCCCTCTCTTTCACCTCCTTCGCCTGTCTTAAAGACTCTTGAAGATGTCACATCAGGCAAATGCCGAGTTGTCAGAGAAGGAGGTGGAGCCCTAACGGAACATTAAGACTAGTCAACGAAAACTGACAAAAGGGATGGAGATCTGAGGCCTGTTTTGTGAGGAGATGTATTCTGTCTCCAATAAAGGAAAGAAGTCTAGAAGGAAAGAGGGAGGGGAGAAGCGAAGAGAAATCCTTCTAATGTATCAGATGTGTCCTGACATGTCATACGTCTAGCTCTCCACAAAGCTCCAAGACAAATTACATATGCCTGATGAACAGGAAGTGGGCATGGCTGTGAGTTTTGAAACTAGGGGAAGCTGCCATCCTGCATCACAGTTAAACTAAAATTGTCCCTAAACGACTTTTGGTTGAACATGTTGGTTAAGTTAATTTCATGCTCATAGCCTACAGTTTTATAACACAGAATTCCAAATGATTACTCTATTGGCCCCAGGAACCATGATGCACATAAGCTTTTAATTTGCTCAATATCATTGCAGTTTGTCTTAAATAGATAAATCATCCGTATCCACTGATGACCTTAGATTTCACCATCACCCAAGTTTCAAGTTTGAAATTCTAAAAATACTGCCAAGCTGAAGACATTGGAAGGCTATATGTTGGAACAGGAAATTTACAATAAAAGAAATACAAATTGCCAGCAAACAAAGAAAAACATGTTCACAAAAATTGATAGTTAAGTAAATATAAGTTGAAAGGACAACAAAATATCATTTTTGTGCAGAAAACATTTGATAATCCTTACTTTGGAAAAGATGTGAGGAAATAGGGACCCACTGCTGCTGTAATTTTAAGTTAGTACAACCATTTTCAAACTACCTTGGCTCAATCTATTCAAATTGGAAATGTAGGTACGTTTTGATTCAGGTTTTGTACTGCCATGAATTTTCCTGCTGCTGTACTTGTATATGTTTGAATTCTGTGGAATGGTCAAAATACATGAGCTGGATCTACATAGAGTAACATCAAATGGCTTCAAAAATATAGTGTGCATGAAAAAAAGTCTTTTAAAAAACTGATAGCATAATTAAATTAATATAAATAAAAATTACTCTAAACAGCATTACATGCTTGGAGATATACATATATGGAAATGAAAAAAAGATGGCTAGAAAGTAATTACATCATATACAAGAGAGTGGATGTCTGTGGTGAGAATGATAAGTAAAAAACAATAATATAATCTTTTAAAAAATTAAGGAGAGGTGCCACAAGGATAATAACTATATGGCCTTAATAATTAAGGAGCATGATTGATTCATTCCAATACAGCTGAGGTCTGCAAAAAGAAAAATTAAAAGCAATAACCAAAAAAGCCCCTAATTATTCACATTAAAGTGTAGGCTCAATATGTTAACTGAGGCATTGGTTGTAATAGCAATAAATTAGAAACATTCTAAATGCTCATCAGTATTTATGTTTATTAATTTTAAAGATTAAATAAATTAGCTTACATCTATTCAAAAGTCTATAATGTAGCTTTGACAAACAATGAGATAATAATATATGAGCTAAATGAAATGTTCTTTAAGATGCATAAATTGTTAAAATGGTATGGTAGTACAAGAGAAAAGGCAAACTCAGATAACCTGAGGCATGTATTCCCTTCCTTCTTTCAGTAGCTTAGCAAAGCTACTGACCCAGCAAATTTGTGTTTACTTACTGAAAAAATGGGCTAATTTCAGTCAGTGGGCCAAAGACCCTCCTATGGTACAGCTTGGTCCCTGAGACCTTAACAATGGCTACTGGTGTTGAGCAGGCATCATACTGGCCCATGAACTAGGGTGTCTGCCAAAAGGGTGAGGCTGGATGCAGCTCTGCCAAGAGGCCTGCAGGACAGGACAACAGCTTCCATCAAGGAAGCAAGGCCATTTATTCAACAAGGAAGGTCCCATTGTTTCATGGTCACTTAGATGCTTCCTGCCCTTGTTTCTCTATAAATATGGTAGCATATTTTAGAAATGGGCTTCCTTTCTAAGGCATTCTGAGTCCATGTATGTCTGAATGAACCTATGTGTAATTGGAATCTCAGGAGAAGAGAGAAAAAATAGAGTAAATGTTCGAAAAGATGGCTGAGAATTTTCAAAAAATGATAAAAAGACATCAAACCACATCTTAAGAAACCCAAGCAGGATAAATTTTTCTACCACTCCCCTTCCCCCTAAAAAAAACTCACCTGAACATATCAAATTCAAACTGCTAAAAAACCTTGGCCAGGCACAGTGGCTCACGCCTGTAATCACAGCACTTTGGGAGGTATCGAGGTGGTCAGATCATTTGAGGTTAGGAGTTCAAGACCAACCTGGCCAACATGGTGAAACCCCGTCTCTATTAAAAATACAAAAATTAGCCAGGCACAGTGGTGCATGCCTGTAGTCCCAGCTACTTAGGAGGCTGAGGCAGAAGAATCGCTTGAATCTGAGAGGCAGAGGTTGCAGTGAGCCGAGATAGTGCCATTGCACTCCAGCCTGGGTGACAGAGCGAGACTCTGTCTCTAAAAAGAAAACAAACAAACAAACAACAACAACAACAAAAAGATAAAGAGAAAATCTTAAAGGCAGCAGGTGGTTGAGGAGTGGGACTATGTACAGAGTATCAAAGATAAGACGTATAGCAAACTTTTTCATCAGAAACTTTGCATGCCAGATGACATGACATTTTGAAAGTGACAAAAAAAAAAAAAGGAACTGTCAACCCAGAATTTCATTCCTAGAGAAAATATAAAAGAGAGAAGGCAGTCTGCTTTTTGCCATGATGGAGTAACACAGACAGAATATATGCTCCCATATTAAACAATTAGAAAAACAAGTAAAATATATGAAAAATAGTTTTCAGATATTGGATAACATGTAGCATGAAACAGTGATTCTTGAAGAAAGGAAAACAAACAAGATGAGTGCTGAGCAATTGTGTCAGCGTATTACAGGGAGGCAGGTTCCAGGTTATACAGCTGGGAGAGGGAACTCAAGGAAAGCCTCCAGATTTGCTGAGTTGAGAAGAGAAAGTACGGAGTTGAGGAAGGCCAAGCCTGCAAGATTTTGCATAGCAGACTACTAGAGAGAAGAGTTATGACCGAGAAAAAGTTCTGGAGTTCTACAGAGAGGTCTCTCACTTTTTTAGTTGAGTATTGATCTGTTCATGTGTGAGGAGAAACTAAGACTGGGAAGCAAATCGCCAGAAAGTCACAGGCTGAAAAATTCCCAGATCTTACACATGGCTGGAAGGAGTGCATTTTCCCAGCAGCCAAGGTGAATGTCACTGTAATACAAAAGTTATTCCCTGAAGTCTTCAGGCAAGTATTGCCTTATTTATGGGACTAAACCAGCTAGATTGAAGGCTGCCTTGTACCTGCTGTAAACAAAGCAAGCCTCCAAAGCATGCAACTAATTCCAAGCAACCTAATTAAATATCTGGCAAAGGGCCATACTATGTAAAGGAATAAACAAAATGCACCAGCCAAAAACATAAAATTTACAATATTCAATTAAAAATTACTAAGCATGCAAAGAAGTAGGAAGATATGATGAATTAGCAGGAGAAAACCAGTCAATAGAAAGAAACAGAGATAACACACATTATCTAATTAGCAGGCAAGGACATTAAAACAGCCATTCTAAATACCTAGCATATGTTCAAGATGACAAAGAATGAAATAAACATAATGAAAAAAGAACTGGAAAATTTTGAAAAGACCCAAATTGAAATTCTAAAGATGAAAAAATACAATACCTGAACTGAAAAATATACTGAATGAGATTAATATCAGATGATAATTTTGGGAAAAACAGATCAGTAAACAGGTAGACATGGCAATAGATAGTACCCTAGATAAAGAATAGAAAGAAGAAAAAATGAACAGAGGATCAGTGACCTCTAGGATAATATCAAGGAGTTGAACACACACATAAAAGGGTCCCAGGACTTGGGTTGCAGGACAGTGGGGGGAAGGGAGTGGAAAGAAGGACAGAAAAAAATATCTTTAAAGAAATAATGGCCAAAATTTTTCCCAGTTTGAAAACCCACAAATCTAAGAACCTAAAAGAACCCCAAGCAAAATAAATAAATAAAAAATAAAATCATATTGCTGAAAACCAACAACAAATAGAAAATTATTAAAGCAGCCATAACATTATATACAGAATATTATAGACATTGCATACACAAGAACAAAGATAAGAATGATAGCATACTTCTCATCAGAAACTATGCAAGCCCGAAAACAAAGAAGCAACATTTTTACTTATTGAGGGGAAAGAAAAAAGAAAACTATTAACCTAGAACACTACACTCAGAGAAAATATCTTTCAAAATGAATATAAAATCAAGAATTCTTCATACAAACTTTATCAGAATATTTGCTCAATAAGAAATGTTATGGGAAATTCCTCAGAAAAAAGAAAAGTTATATCAAATGGAAATTTAGAATTAAAAACACTAAAGATAATTAAGTATGTCAGTAAATATTTTTTCTTATTTTTTAACCTCTTTAAAATATAATTGCTTAAAACAAAATGAATAACAATTTATTATATGATTTATAACACATTGGAAATAACACAAAACATAAAGCACAGCATGAAATGATATTGAAGTGTGCGTTGTAAGTATGATCTTAACACAACACATGAAATGGTATAATGTTATTTGAAGGCAGGTTGGGATATGTTTAAGACATATATTATATGTCTTAGAACAATCACTTTAAAAAGTAATACAAAGAGGAAGTCTAATAATCCAACAGGGAGAAAAAATGGAATTTTACATATATATGTGTATATATGTAAATAAGTGTATGTGTGTGTGTATATATATACACACATATATATTTAATATATACACATATATAATACACTTATATACACACATATACACACATATATACATATATATATTTGTTTATGTATGTTAAGTCCACTAATCCAAAAGAAGACTAAAAAAGAAAAAAAAAGAAATGTTTTAATGGATTTAACAATTTTCAGAATAGCAAGAGAGTAGATTTAAACCAAACATTTCAATAATTACATTGATTATAAGTGGCCTACATAGGGAGTCCTATATAGGAACCCTATATAGGAACCAGGCCACAGAGCAGGAGGTGAGTGGCAGGTAAGCGAGCATTACCACCTGAGCGCCACCTCCTGTCAGATCAGCCACAGCATTAGCATCTCAAAGGTGCACGAACCCTTTTGTGAACTACACAGGCAGGGGATCTAGGTTGTGCGCACCTTCTTAGAATCTAATTAATGCCTGCACCTTCTTAGAATCTAATTAATGCCTGATGATCTGAGGTGCAACAGTTTTATCCTGAAACCATCCCTTGCCCCTTCCCATCTGTGAAAAAAAATGTCTTCCATAAAACCAGTTCCTGGTGCAAAAAGACTGGGGACTGTTAGCCTATATAATGTGATTAAAAGCCAAACTTCATCAGATTTGATTAACTATTAAGACACAATTATATGCTGTTTGCAAGAAACATACTGTTTTCAGAAATATGGATTTTATGTTTTCAACTTCTAATTCAGGTTCAGGAGCTATGTGTGAAGGTTTGTCACATGGGTAAATTGCATGTCACTGGGTTGTGGTGTACAAAGGATTGTGTCACCCAGGTGAAAAGCATAGTACCCGATGAGTAGTTTTTCAACCCTCATCCTCTTCCCACCCTCCACCCTCAAGCATCTACTGTTTACCGTTTTGTGTTCCTGTGTACTCAGTGTTTAGGTCCTACTTATAAGTGAGCACATGCAGTATTTGGTTTCTTATGTGAATTTGCTTAAAATAATGGCCTCCAGCTTCATCCATGTTGCTGCGAAACCCATGATTTGGGGATTTTTTTTTTCATCTTTTTTCTGGCCATGCAGTATTCCATGGTATATATGTACCACATTTTCTTTTCTTTTTTTTTTTTTTGAGATGGAGTTGCACTCTGTTGCCCAGTCTGGAGTGCAGTGGCATGATCTCCACTCTCTGCAAGCTCCGCCTCCTGGGTTCATGCCATTCTCCTGCCTCAGCCTCTTGAGTAGCTGGGACTACAGGCACCCGCCACCACACTCGGCTAATTTTTTTGTATTTTTAGTAGAGATGGGGTTTCACCATGTTAGCCAGGATGGTCTTGATCTCTTGACCTCGTGATCCACCCACTTTGGCCTCCCAAAGTGCTGGGATTACAGGCATGAGCCACCGTGCCCAGCCCACATTTTCTATATTCAGTCCACTGTTGATAGGCATCTAGGTTGATTCTATGTCTTTACTATTATAAATAGTGCTGCAAGGAACACATAACTACATGTCTTTTTGGTAGAATGTTTGTATTTCTTTGAGCGTACACCCAGCAGTGGAATTGCTGGATCAAATAGTAGCTCTGTTTTAAGTTATTTGAGAAATTTAAGTTTTAACTAAGGTTATAACTTAACCATGGGCACGTAAGGTATCTCAAAGAGATGGTAGGCAGTTTTCTTTTTTTTTTTTTTTTTTTTTTTTTTTTTACAAGATTTAGAATCTCTCCAAGGTAGTTTAAAGAAAGGAAAATTCAAGACAGGAAATTAGAAGCTATTCATGGGTGGAGGAGAGGGGAGTCTTAATAAATGGCAAAGTTACACAAATAACAAAACAGAAAGGAATCATTCCTGAAACCAGAAATTGAGCCCGTGCTGCCATTGCCAAAAGACAGAGCCTTAGCTACTGAGTTACAGCACTGAGCAGTTTCTATTACTCTTCCCAGAAGTCTAGAGCAGCCAATTTCAAGCTTGCAGAGGCTTTTAACTGCTCAAGATAATTTTTGGGGCTAACTATGACATGAACCCCAAAATTCCTGTCCTCTGGATGGCGGAGACCAAGAGAAAGTATCTCCACATGGTCACAAGGTTAAGCTCTTAAGGATACAAAACAAGACAGGGAAATTTTATCTGGTATTGGTTTCAGGGACCCGTAGCAAACTTGGTAACTGACCAGCTGCCAGGCTTAAAATGCGAGCTTATAGGAGCCGTAAACCCACGTTCTATCCAGTGATACCTCTCTTTCCATTATAGAGTGACACAGAAAGACAAATTCTTAGCACAAATTGCACCAGATATGCTACATTCTAAGGCTAGTCTCACAAATCCTCTTTTTTTCTATTAATCAAACTTTTGCAGAGGAGACAAACAGTGACGTTTAACATTCCCCCTACCCTCACCCTCCACCACACATACACACACAGAGAGAGAGAGAGAGGGAGAGAGACCAGAAGCTTGACTAGTAAGAATTTCTTAGGCCAGGCACGGTGGCTCATGCCTGTAATCCCAGCACTTTGGGAGGCCTAGGTGCGTGGATCAGTTTGAGACCAGCCTGACCAACACGGAGAAACCCTGTCTCTACTAAAAATACAAAATTAGCTGGGTGTGGTGGCACATGCCTGTAATCCCAGCTACTCGGGAGGCTGAGGCAGGAGAATCACTTGAACCCAGGAGGCGGAGGTTGGGGTGAGCCGAGATTGTGCCATTGCACTCCAGCCTGGGCAACAAGAGGGAAACTCCATCTTAAAAAAAAATAAATAAATAAGAATTTCTTACCCTTTATGCTGGCATACCAGGTTTCCGGGTCCCCTTTACAGTTTCCAGAAGAATGGAGCAGCTTTTGATGACCCTGCTCACTGTTCCATAACTGTGGGGGTCAAGCCACTTTACAAAAGAAAGTCACTCTGTTATGTTTTATGGAACCATAGGCAAAAGATTCTCAATTTTGCAAGATGCTGCTCAACAGGTTGCGTGTGGAACCAAATTAACGTTTTCCATCCCAGCTGAAGCAAAATACACATAACAAAACAGACACTAGTCACCTCGTTCAGCACCGAATATTGACCTGGCAAGGCTCAGACTTTCTCCTATTGGTCCCTGTTGTCTTTGATCCACTCCTGGTGGGGAGGGATGACCTCTGAATGGTAATTCAGTGGGTGGTCTCTGGGCAAGACGAAGAGCGAGTTACCCCGAGTCAGGCCTGTTGAGCTTCTCCAGGACTCACCAAATGTGACCAGATAAATAAGGAGGGTTCTCTGAGTTAGGCCTGCTGGACTTCCATCAGCAATTCTTTCAGAAATTGCCTCCACATATACAAACACACATAAAAACAAGACAGACAGAAGGTCTTCCAAGTCAAGATCCCTAACCAAGAACTCCAAGAGTATCCCTTCCAAGCTACCCACCTATTCTCTGAATGAGAGAAATCTCCTTCAAATCTTCCTGACTGAGGAGACATCTCCCAAAACAAAACTCTTCCTAATAATTAGGGAGAGCTGACCAAGAACCCAGAAGGAGCCAAACTGAGACAGACATCCCACAGTGGGGCTACGGAAGAACTCAGGCCCCAGAATAAGACAAACCAATCAGGAGAAGGAAGGAGGCATTGGCAGCACCTACAATACTCACCAAACCAAACACTATATAATGGAGCTAAAGCTATGGACACTCCATGACTGGGCTACACACAGAGACCCTGTGATATGCCTATAGTTATATCTCCCCAGGACTATTTCCTTATTGCAATTAAATCCATGCACATTGGCTCAGCAGTGCCCCACCAGTAGAGAGAGTACCAGAGTTAGCCCCTCATCCAACAGAACTAAGCAGCCACTTGGGCTGGTCTTTGGATCTGTTGTGGGAGGGGGCTACTGAACCATGGGGCAGGTAGCCACAAGGGCAATCCCAGACGAGCCCCCAAATTTGTAAACACCCAATGGGTTCACTTTGCCCACTGCCTAGACAGAGCCAGTTTATCAAGACAGGGAAATTGCAATGGAGAAAGAGTAATTTACACAAAGCCAGCTGTGAGGGAGACTGGAGTTTTATTGTTACTCAAGTCAATCTCCTACTCTGTTGATAGTTTATTTTTCTGTGCTGAAGCTCTTTAGTTTAATTAGGTCCCACTTGTCAATTTTTTTTTTTTTTTTGGTTGCAATTGCTATTGAGGACTTAGTCATAAATTCTTTCCCAAGGCAAATGTCCTGAATGGTGTTTTTTAAGTTTTTATCTAGGATTGTTGTAGTTTGTAGTCTTACACTTAAATCTTTAATCCATCTGAGTTAGTTCTTATAAATGGTGAAAATAATGGGTTCAGTTTCAATCTTCTGCATATGGTTAGCCAGTTATCTCTCTTTTGGCTATTGTGAATAATGCTGTTATGAACATCGTTGTACAAATATCTGTTTTCAATTCTTTCTGAGTATATAACCAGAAGTGGAATTGTTAGATCATATGTTAATTCTATTCTTTAATTTTTTGAGGAAACTTTATATCCTTTTCATAGCAGCTGTACTATTTTACAATCCTAACGGCAATGCACAAGGGCTCCAATTTTTTTGTATCCTCACTAACATTTATTTTCTTTTCTTAAAAAATAGTCTTTTGAATGGATATAAAGGTATCTTATTGTGGTTTTCATTTGCATTTCCCTAATAGTAACCTTGAACATCACCTCATGAGTTTATCGGTCATTTGTCTCCAGCTTTCATAAGGTTAGTTATGATACCATAATAATGGTTTCAATAAATAGCTAGTTAAAACTATTTATTGAATAGGGAGTCCTTTTCCCATTTCTTGTTATTGTCGACTTTGTTGAAAATCAGATGGCTTTATGTCTGGGTTCCCTAACCTGAAGAAACATACTTTAAATATACACACACACACACATAGCTTAAAAGCAAAGGATCAGGGGCTCTGCTTAAAGAAGCAGTCTGGTCACAATCTGTCAAAACCACTGTGGTGTCCTGCTTGGGGGACCCTTCCTCCTCCAGACTATTTGGACTCCTCAATCTGAAGAAGGATATCTACAAAAAAAAAAAAAAAAAAAAAAAAAAACAAAACAAAACAAAAAAACCCTACAACTAACATCATATTTAATGATGAAAAACTGAATGTTTCCCTTTCTAAGATCAGAATAAGAGAAGGATGTCCACTCTTACTGCTACTATTTAACATTGGCCTGGAAGTTCTAGCTAATGCATTCAGGTAAGAAAAAAAAAATAAAAGGCATACAGATTGGAAAGGAAGAGCTGTTTATTTTGCACCATGATTATTTATATAGAAAATCCCATGGATTCTATTTTTTAAAGCAACTAGAAATAACAAGAGTTCCTCAAGATCACAGGCTACCAGGTTGACATACAAAAACCTATTGTATCTTTATATAATAACAATGAAAAAATAAAATTTGGCATTTAAAAAGGTCACCTAAATAACATTTAAAATATGAAATGCTTAGGTATAAATTTAATTAAATATGTGTAATATCTACACAATGAAAACTACAAAATATTGTCTTGTTCCTTGCCTGGCTGTTTCTACCTGCTAGGACATAAGTTTCATAAGAGCTGGGACTTGATCTTTCTTATTTACTGATGTAACCCCTCCTTGACTATTCTGGTACAGGGACATAGCCCATGCTCAGTAAATAAATACTTGTTGAAAGGAACGTAGAAAGGAAGGGAACAAAAACAAGCAATGGGGAAAGGATTCCTATTCAATAAATGGTGCTGGGATAACTGGCTAGCCATATGCAGAAGACTGAAACTGGACCCCTTCCTTACACCGTATACAAAAATTAATTCAAGATGGATTACAGACTTAAATTTAAAACTGAAAACTATGAAAACTTTGGAAGACAACCTAGGCAATACCATGCAGGACAGAGGCATGAACAAAGACTTCATGATAAAGACGCCAAAAGCAATTGCAACAAAAGCAAAAATTGACAAATGAGACTTAATCAAACTAAACAGCTCTGAACAGCAAAAGAAACTATCAACAGAGTAAACAGACAACCTACAGAATGGGGGAAAAATTTTGCAAACTACGCATCCAACAACAGTCTAATATCCAGCATCTATGAGGAACTTATATTTACAAGAATAAAACAAACAAACAATCCATTAACAAGTGGGCAAAGGACATGAATGGGCACTTTTCAAAAGAAGACATACATGCAGCCAACAATCCTATGAAAAGAAGCTCAACGTCATTATCATTAGAGAAATGCAAATCAAAACCACAATGAGATACCATCTAACACCAGTCATCAGAACGGCTGCTATTAAAAAGTCAAAAACTAACAGATTCTGGTGAGGCTGTGGAGAAAAAGGAATGCTTTTACACTGTGGAAGTGTAAGTTAGTTCAACCCTCATAGAAAACGGTGTGGCAATTCCTCAAAGACCTAAAGACAGAAATACCATTCGACCCAGCGATCCCATTACTAGGTATATGCCCAAAGGAATGTAAATTATTCTGTTACAAAGACGCATGCACGCATATGTTCATTGCAGCACTATTCACAATAGCAAAGACATGGAATCAACATAAATGCCCATCGGTGATGGACTGGATAATACGAATGTAGTACATATACACCATGGAATACTATGCAGCCATAAAAAGGAACAAGATCATGTCCTTTGTATGGAGCTGGAGGCCATTATCCTTAGCAAACTAACACAAGAAGAGAAAACCAAATACCACATGTTCTCCCTTATAAGTAGGAGCTAAATCATTTATGAGAACACAAGGACACATGGGGTGGGTGTCCTCGGAGAGCGGAGGGTGGGAGGAGGAAGAGGATCAGGAAAAATAACTAATGGGTACTAGGCTTAATACCTGGGTGATGAAATAATCTGTACAAAAAACCCCCATGACACAAGTTTAACTATGTAGCAAATCTGCACATGTACCCCTGAACTTAAAATAAAAGTTAAAAAAAGAATAAATGAGCATATATATAACATACACTTATTTTTATATATAAATATTTATATATGCTCATATTATAAAATATTATAATATAAATATATTATGCTTATATTATATATTAACATTATTATATTAAAATATAACAATATTTATATATTTTATATATATGCTCATATTAGCCTGAACTACAATTTCATATCCTACTCCAATATGAAGGAAGTCAGAGCAATCCTTCCAGGGAGAAGCAGAAGGTTTGAAAGTCAGAGGAAAGAAAAATGACCAACTTCTCCAAAGTAAGAGAAGGCTGGTCAGAACACCTGCCCAGGGAGGGAGTGGGCCGCCCCAAAGAAACCACCTTCTCACCAGCTTATCCAGGTAGGAAGGGAAGACAGATGCTCTAGAAGTGAGAAAACTAGAGAAAGATGGTTGGTTTATAATTTCCCAGAGGATAGAAAGGAAACTATGCACTTTTTCTCTCAAGTATTTCATTCTGACTTTTAAGACTCAATAGTCAAACACTCAGAAAATCTGTTCAACGCTAGTGTTTCTTAGGGGAATATTTGCCCGACAAAAAAGCCATCTGGTCACCTGAAACCCAAAACCCAAACTCTTCATCACCCTTCCTCACATTGTGGCAAACACCGTTGTTGTTGTTTTTGTTGACTGTCATTCACCTTCATAATTGTAGAATTTGGGCAATGTCTTAGAGTTAGTAAATGCTAATAGCTACTGAAGAAATGAATGAATTAGTAAAGAATAAACAAGTACACATTATACAATTTGTGGACAACTAACCCCCCCCCAAAAAAAAATAATAGAAGGTGACCCTAATCACTTGCGTTTACAGATTTCTGCTCCTCGGCACACAGTGTTAGTGAAATTTATCAGCTAATATTTCAGAATAACCATTTGTTGCATGTTATAGTCAATTAAAATTCTCTTTCCCATGACCTCCGTTTGTAATTAGCATGGAAAATGGGTTTTAGCTGCTTGCTGGAGTGCACTTTTACTACCGTGTTCTCTCTCTGTCAAGTGACAAAGAGCTGACCTTCATTTAATGGTTGGATGTCTGCTGTAGGCTGCTTCTGCTGCAATCACTGCAAGCAATTGACTAAATTCTTTGCCTGGATTGGGTCAAATCCTGAAGATGCCATTTAGTCCAGTGAAGGGACAAAGTTTTGTCCCTTCACTCATGCTGCCTCCAGCTTACTTAAAACACCACTTTCTGAACCTATGTTAGTTGATAAACATAATAACTGGAGTCAAGGCCCAGGGAAGTCATTGTTAAGATGTCAAGCTAGAGAGATGAACAGAGAAGCAGAGGCAGCAGGAGCCAGGCCAGAGCAGAGCAGGTGGCTCTGACATAGAAGTCAGCCACTGGCTTGCATCAAGACATAGGGAGCCTGCCCAAGATCTAGATAAGAGGCTTCCACTACCGTGTGCCAAGAGGAAGGGTAAAGCTTACACAGTAGATTCATATTTGTGAATATTTGAGTCAAATAAATAAAAAGATGCAACAAAGAAGTGACTTAAATTGTTACAAGCCTTTTGATCTCTCTATAAAGACAGTCCTAGAGTGAAGGGGCAACTGGCAACAGTGATTATATCTTCAAAGGGTCAGGGCATGCTAGTTACCTAGGGACTTGGTTTTATGCAAGAAATCCTTAATGAAAATGGATGACTAAAACACTAACTCAGCAAGCAAATAGCTCAGAATCCATATTGGCAAATGCCACTTCATTTAGAAAGGAGAGGCTATTGATCAAATATGCCTTTTCATCTCAGAAACCAAATTTTATAGCCTAAGAATGTCTCTTTCTCCTAAGAATGTCTTTTTCTTCCAATTAGTTTGAATAGTATGATTACAAGGGCCCCTTCATGCCCAATCTAAAATATCCCTATCCCACCACTTTGCTACACCAAAGCTTTCCTACCACAATATATGGCTTTAGCTTTCATTTTTTGCCCCCTTTTGTAGGCAAATTTCCAGAAAGACATAATGCTTTAAACTCATCACAATTCTTTTTTTTTTCTTTTTTTTAATTATTATACTTTAAGTTTTAGGGTACTTGTGCACAACGTACAGGTTTGTTACATATATATACATGTGCCATGTTGGTGTGCTGTACCCATTAACTCGTCATTTAGCATTAGGTATATCTCCTAATGCTATCCCTCCCCCTCCCCCCACCCCACAACAGTCCCCGGTGTGTGATGTTCCCCTTCCTGTGTCCATGTGTTCTCATTGTTCAATTCCCACCTATGAGTGAGAACATGTGGTGTTTGGTTTTTTGTCCTTGCGATAGTTTGCTGAGAATGATGGTTTCCGGCTTCATCCATGTCCCTACAAAGGACATGAACTCATCATTTTTTATGGCTGCATAGTATTCCATGGTATATATGTGCCACATTTTCTTAATCCAGTCTATCATTGTTGGACATTTGGGTTGGTTCCAAGTCTTTGCTATTGTGAATAGTGCCGCAATAAACATATGTGTGCATGTGTCTTTATAGCAGTATGATTTATAATCCTTTGGGTATATACCCAGTAATGGGATGGCTGGGTCAAATGGTATTTCTAGTTCTAGATCCCTGAGGAATCGCCACACCGACTTCCACAATGGTTGAACTAGTTTACAGTCCCACCAACAGTGTAAAAGTGATCCTATTTCTCCACATCCTCTCTAGCACCTGTTGCTTCCTAACTTTTCAATGATTGCCGTTCTAACTAGTGTGAAATGGTATCTCATTGTGGTTTTGATTTGCATTTCTCTGATGGCCAGTGATGATGAGCATTTTTTCATGTGTTTTTTGGCTGCATAAATGTCTTCCTTTGAAAAGTGTTTGTTCATATCCTTCGCCCACTTTTTGATGGGGTTGTTTGTTTTTTATGTAAATTTGAGTTCATTGTAGATTCTGGATATTAGCCCTTTGTCAGATGAGTAGGTTGCAAAACTTTTCTCCCATTCTGGAGGTTGCCTGTTCACTCTGATGGTGGTTTCTTTTGCTGTGCAGAAGCTCTTTAGTTTAATTAGATCCCATTTGTCAATTTTGGCTTTTGTTGCCATTGCTTTTGGTGTTTTAGACATGAAGTCCTTGCCCATGCCTATGTCCTGAATGGTATTGCCTAGGTTTTCTTCTAGGGTTTTTATGGTTTTAGGTCTAACATGTATGTGTTTAATCCATCCTGAATTAATTTTTGTATAAGGTGTAAGGAAGGGATCCAGTTTCAGCTTTCTACATATGGCTAGCCAGTTTTCCCAGCACCATTTATTAAATAGGGAATCCTTTCCCCATTTCTTTTTTTTGTCAGGTTTGTCAAAGATCAGATAGTTGTAGATATGCAGCATGATTTCTGGGGGTTCTGTTCTGTTCCATTGGTCTATATCTCTGTTTTGGTACCAGTACCATGCTGTTTTGGTTACTGTAGCCTTGTAGTATCGTTTGAAGTCAGGTAGTGTGATGCCTCCAGCTTTGTTCTTTTGGCTTAGGATTGACTTGGCAATGCAGGCTCTTTTTTGGTTCCATATGAACTTTAAAGTAGTTTTTTCCAATTCTGTGAAGAAAGTTATTGGTAGCTTAAACTCATCATAATTCTTAACCAGCATCCTGACGTAATAACAGAGTACTGACGTCTGGACAACCATTTACAGTCTTCAAAACATTTCCACATTCATCACTGCATTTTACCTTCACCATAACAATTAAGGTTATTGCAATAAATTATGTTGGGAAAACTGGAAATCCACATGCAGAAGAATGAAATTATCTCACATCATTATACTGCTCATCTCAATAGACACAGAGAAAGCATTAGACAAAATTTAATATTTTTTCATAATAAAAACTCAACAAATTAGATATAAAAGGGATACGTGTCAAAACAGTAAAGGCTATATATGACAAGCTCACAGTTATCATTAAAAACTTTTCCTCCAAGATCAGGAAAAAGACAAGGATGCCCACTCTCATGATATTTTTTTATAGTACTGAATGTTGTAGCCAGAAGAATTACACAAGAAAAAGAAATAAAAGGCATCCAGATTAGAAGCAAAATTGTTTCTGTTTGCAGATGACATAATCATATATAGAAAACCCTAAAGATTTGCCAAAAGGCTATTATAACTAACAAACAAATTTGGTAAACTTGCAGATACAAAATAAACCTACAAAAATCAGTAGCACTTCTGTACACTAACAAACAATGAACTATTTGGAAAAGAAATTTTAAAAGCAGTCACACCTACAATAGCATCAAAAAAATACATAGGAATAAATTTAACCAATGATGTAAAAGATCTATACACTGAAAACTATAAAACACCAATGGAAGAAATTTAGGACACAAATAAGTAAAAATATATTTTATATTCATGGATTAAAGAATTATTATTGTAAAAATGTCCTCACTACCCAAAGCAATCTACAGAATGAACACAGTCTCTATCAAAATTCCAAAGGCACTTTTGCAGAAGTAAAAACAAACAATCCCAAAATGTATATGGAATCACAAAGGACCCTGAACAGCCAAAGCAACCTTGAGCAAGAAAAACAAAGCTGTAAGCATCACACTACCTGCCTTCAAAATATCCTACAAAGCTATAGTAATCAAAACAATATGGCACTAGCACAGAAATATATATATTGGTGTATATACATATATGTGTGCATATATATATATATACACACACCAATGGAATAAAATAGAATATAAAATGGAATATATATTTGGTGTGAGATTATATATACATACACACACACACACACACACACACACACACATATATATATATACCAATGGTATAAAATAGAGAGCCCAGAAATAAATCCACTTATTTATGGTCAGTTGATCATCAACAAAGGTGCCAGAAACACATAATGGGGAAAGGACAGTCTCTTCAAAAAATAGTACTGAGAAAAACTGGATATCCACATGCAGAAGAGTGAAATTGGACCTTTATGTCACACCATATACAAAATCAACTCAAAGTGTATTAAAGACTTAATTATAAGACTTGACACTGTAAAACTACTACAAGAAAACACAGGGAAAAGCTTCCTGATACCAGGCTGGGCAATAATTTTCTCAGCTAGGACACCAAAAACACAGGCTACAAAAGCAAAAATGTACAAATGGGATTTATCAAACTAAAGAGTCTTCGCACAGCAAAGGAAACAATCAACAAAGTGACAAGATAATCTACGGAATGGGCGAAAATATTTGTGAACCACACATCTGATAAGGGGTGAATATCCAAAATACAGAAGGAACTCAATAGCAAGAAAACAAATAGATTAAAGAATGGGCAAAAGAGCTTAATACACACTTCTCAAAAGAAGACAAACAAATGGCCAAGAGATACATGAAAAAATGCCCAACATCACTAAAATCAGAGAAATGCAAATCCAAACCACAATAGATATCATTCCACACCTGTTAGATGGGCTGTTTTCAAAAAGAAAAGATAACAAGTGTTGGTGAAAAGGTAGAGAAAGTGACACTTCCATGCTGTTAGTGGGATGTAAATCAGCACAGCCATCGTGAAAAATAGTACGGAGGTTTCCCAAAAAGTAAAACTAGAACTACCATATGATCTGGCAATCAATCCTACCTCTGGGTATATATTCAAAGGAAATAAAATCAGTATCTCAAAGAGGTATCTTCATTCCCATGTTCACTGCAGCATTATTCATAATAGTCAAGACGTGAAATCAAACCATATTTCCATCAGCCGATGAATGAATAAAGAAAATGCAGTATTTGTATACAAAGGAATACTATTCAGCCTTTAAAAAGAAGGAAACACTGTCATCTGTGACATGGGTGAACCTAGAGGACTTTATGCAAAGTGAAATAAACAAGGCACAGAAAGACAAATACTGCATGATCTCCCTCTCAGAATCTGAAAAAAAGTCTAACTCACAGAAGCAGAGAATACAAAGGTGGTTGCCAGTGTGTGGGAGTGGCAATAGGGAGATGTCAGTCAAAGGATACAAAGTTTCAGTTCTGCAGGATGAATAAGTTCTGGAAAGCTAATGTATAGCATGGTGACTATATTAGCAATACTATCTTTTGTACTTGAAATTTGCTAAAAGAGTAGATGTTCAATGTTCTCACCACAAAACAACAATAACTGTGTGAGGTTAATTTGCTTGATTGTGGTAATCAATTCACAATGCATACCTACATCAAAAGATTAGGTTGTACATCTTAAATACATACAATTTTTACTTGTCAGTTATACTTCAATGAAGCTGGAAAAAAAAGGAAAAAAAACCACTACAACTTTCATCATTGCATTTGATCTTCACCACAAAAACAGTCTATTATGGTTTGTATGCAGGTACTTTTTGTAACATTATGCCTGGTCTTAACAATAACTCCTCCAGGGAGGTGCTGTTGCTATTCCCACTTGAACAAGACTCAGCAATAGGACCCTTGCTCGAGATGACACAGTGGGTGCTGGGCAGGGTAGAAATGCAGGCTCAGGCCAGGCCATCAACAGAGGCCCTATCTTTTTCCCTGTCCCTACCACTGTTCCTTAAACTGGGGTTCTGAACCCCAAGGGATCCACAGGCACCTTTGGAAGAGCCCAGGATGCCTACAAGAAGTTTAAATTTTCATTTTGTTCACTATCTTCGTAATGTTAACATAAGCCCCTGAGCTTTCTTGAGGTCACTGGGGTGACCACCAGCAGGTGGAACACACCTGTGTAGTTTTGGTGCCTATCCTTGCCGTAGGGTGTATGATGGGTTGACGCCGAGGGATTCTATGGTACTGTGAGACAACGTAGCTAACATAAGAAGCCATACATGCTCAGTTCTGCCTGCCAGCAAAATGTCACAAGCCCCCAACTGTTTGACGACATGCAGCTCTCCAGAACGATGCTCTGAAAACAAAACAGGGGAGAACACATGACCCCAATATCTCTTCCCTGGGTCACCGTATGCCTGAAAAGATGAATGACCCTAGTGTGTCCAGAATTGGTGGGTTCTTGGTCTCACTGACTTCAAGAATGAAGCCAAGGACCCTCGCGGTGAGTGTTACAGTTCTTAAAGGCGGCATATCTGGAGTTTGTTCCTCTGATGTTCAGATGTGTTCGGAGTTTCTTCCTTCTGGTGGATTCACGGTCTCTCTGGCTCAGGAATGAAGCTGCAGACCTTCGCGGTCAGTGTTACAGCTCTTAAGGCGTTGCATCTGGAGTTGCTGGTTCCTCCCCGTGGGTTCATGGTCTCACTGGCTTCAGGAGTGAAGCTGCAGACTTTCGCAGTGAGTGTTACGGCTCATAAAGGCAGTGTACACCCAAAGACTGAGCAATAGCAACATTTATCGCAAAGAGCAAAACAAGAAAGCTTCCACAGTGTGGAAGGAGACCCGAGCTGCTCCAGCAGCCTGCTTTTATTCTCTTATCTGGCCCCACCCACATCCTGCTGATTGGTCCATTTTAAAGAGAGCTGATTGGTCTGTTTTACAGAGAGCTGATTGGTCCATTTTGACAGGGTGCTGATTGGTGCATTTACAATCCCTGAGCTAGACACAAAAGTTCTCCACTTCCCCACTTCCCTACTAGATTAGCTAGATACAGAGTGTCCATTGGTGTATTTACAAACCCTGGGCTAGTCACAGAGTGTTGATTGGTGCATTTACAAACCTTGAGCTAGATACAGAGTGCCGATTGGTGCATTCACAATCCCTTAGCTAGACATAAAGATTCTCCAAGCCCCCACCAGATTAACTAGATACAGAGTGCCAATTGGTGTATTTACAAACCTTGAGCTAGATACAGAGTGCCGATTGGTGTATTTACAATCCCCTAGCTAGACATAAAGGTTCTCCAAGTCCCCACTAGACTCAGGAGCCCAGCTGGCTTCACCCAGTGAATCCCGCACCTGGGCTCAGGTGGAGCTGCCTGCCAGTCCCGCGCCATGCGCCCGCACTCCTCAGCCCTTGAGCGATCGATGGGACCGGGCACCATGGAGCAGGGGGAGGCACTTGTCGGGGAGACTTGGGCCACGCAGGAGCCCACGGTGGCAGCTAGGGGGAGACTCAGGCATGGCGGGGTGCAGGTCCTGAGCCCTGCCCCACAGGGAGGCGCTAAGGCCCAGCGAGAAATCGAGCACAGTGCTGGTGGGCCAGCACTGCTGGGGGACCCGGCACACCCTCTGCAGCTGCTGGCCCGGGTGCTAAGCCCCTCACTGCCCGGGGCCGGCGGCACCGGCCGGCAGCTCTGAGTGCGGGCCCGCCAAGCCCATGCCCACCCAGAACACTAGCTGGCCCACAAGCACCGTGCACAGCTCCAGCCCCAGTTCCCACCCATGCCTCTCCCTCCACACCTCCCTGCAAGCCGAGGGAGCCGGCTCCGGCCTCGGCCAGCCCAGAGAAGGGCTCCCACAGTGCGGCAGCGGGCTGAAGGGCTCCTCAAGTACAGCCAGAATGGGCGCCGAGGCCGAGGAGGCACCGAGAGCGAGCGAGGGCTGCGAGGGCTGCCAGCACGCTGTCACCTCTCACTAGTCCTTGCCTTTTTCTTCATATAACAACTGGCAGGGCTAGTGATTATGCTGTCATTATCAATAACCAGATGTGCTTTTATTTTTATTTATTTTTTTTTTTTTGAGATGGAGTCTCACTCTGTCACCCAGGCTGGAGTGCAGTGGCACGATCTCTGCTCACTGCAACGTCCGCCTCCTGGGTTCAAGCAATTCTTCTGCCTCAGCCTTCCTAGTAGCTGGGACTACAGCTGCCCACCACCACGCCTGGCTAATTTTTTGTATTTTTAGTAGAGACAGGGTTTCACTGTGTTGGCCAGGCTGGTCTCCATCTCCTGACCTTGTGATCCTCCTGCCTCGGCCTCCCAACAGATGTGTTCTTATACTCAACCTTGGTGGGACTCTGCTTTAATGTAACCTATGAGCAAGTGTGATGTGGTTTTGTATGCACTGAACATCCACAGCCCATCTATAAACTAGAAGCTAAAACACTACGCTAGGGCAGTCTAACAGAACCTCTCAGAAAGACTTTCCCTGGGCTGCAGTCTTCAGTAAGACTTCTCAGTAAAACTAACTTCGATTCTTTAACAGCTTAATTTTTTCTTTAGTCAACAGTACAAAGGTAGATATTGCATCTCAGACATATGTTTGTGACATGAGAGCACCAAATGAAGTCACAGCCTCCTCTATGAATGGAATCACAGCGATGTGAAGAGAGGGAGTGGTGTGAGAGCTGAGACACCGCATGGCTCCCATGGCCCAGATTCCCATAGCCCAAAAAACCATGAGCCACTGCACTCAGAGCCTTGGGTGCTCCCACCCCGGGCATTGATATAATTGCATCAAAACAGCAGCGTTTGTCATGTTAAAGGATACTAGTTAATTTAATCTGTATCTGGCTTTATGGCTTTATTTGTATTGTATGGCAATTTCTAGTTTTAGAAATCCATAATACTATAAGCATAAAATGATCTTGTTGCTCATTTCACTGACTAATAAAAATGATTTAATTGGCACGGGTGTGGTGGCTCACACCTGTAATCCCAGCACTTCAGGAGGCCAAGGCGGGTAGATCACAAGGTCAGGAGTTCGAGAACAGTCTGGCCAACATAATGAAACCCCGTCTCTACTAAAAATACAAAAAATTAGCTGGGCGCGATGGTGGGCACCTGTAATCCCAGCTACTCAGGAGGCTGAGACAGGAGAATCACTTCAACCCGGCAGGCGGAGGTTGCAGTGAGCCGAGATAGTGCCATTGCACTCCAGCCCAGGTGACAGTGTGAGACTCAGTCTCAAAAAAAAAAAAAAAAAAAAAAAAAAAAGATTTAATTGGATACCTGGAGGTTATTCAACCTCTTCCCTCTAAAAGCTGTTCAAATGTTGTTTGAGCTTGAGAAGGTACATTAAACCTGCTGTCCCCAACATTCATGGAAGATGGAACAATGGGTATCATTATCTACCCTTGTCTTGCTAACGAAGGAGTTGGAGTTCCACACAGAAGAACTTGCTCAATATCATTCCTCTCATCTGTGTTCGAACCAGAACTGGAGTCCCAAGTCTTCTAGGGTGGTAGAGGGAAGTCTAGAGAAAAGGTTGCAAACTGGTGGTCCACAGGCAGACTTTAGTCTTCTCCTGCAAAGTATTAAAAAGTTGAGATAGTTCACATTCAAAAATCCCGATTTTTCAGCTTCTCTTGAAAAATTAGATCTGATGACAATGGCCCACATTCCTACATGACAATCAATGGTCAGGGTTTGGAGCTTCTTCTCTGCATCAGGGGGGCCCAGACCTACTCCAGGGGCTCTCAAATCTCCTGGGCTTCTGCTTCAATGCAAAGTCTGATTGAGCAGGGTTAGGGTGGGACCAGAGTTTCTAACAGGCTCCCAGGTGGTATGAATACTCCTGGTCCAGACATCTGACTCTGATATCTTCTGCCTCCATCTTTCACTTTAAGGACCCCTCTGATTACATTGGGCGCATTTGGATAATCCAGGACAATCTCCTTGTTTTAAAGTCAGATGACTAGCAACCTTAATTCCCTTTTGCCATGTCACCAAACATATTCACAAATTCTGAGGATTATGTCCTGGGCATCTTTGGTGAGCCATTGTTCTGCCTACTACATTCAGTAAATAAGCATTATTATCGCTATTCAAATTAAGTTAATTTCACCTTTCTAAGCTGCCCAAAGCCTTGGTCAGATAGGCAAGGTCATTAAAATCTGGTTCCTGTAGTACTCAGTAATGTCAGCTCAGGTCCTTATTTGTTTTTCTCAGTAAAACCAACAGTAGCCAGCTGTTATCTTGTGGCTTTATATAGACAGGCTGATGACAGGGAACCTGCTTGGCCCTGAAAATTTCTACAAAGCCAGTGATCACCCACTCAAAGCCAATACCAGCTCAGGGGAGCTCAGAGAGTTGAGAAGGTTAAGAATCAACATCTAATTTTAAAATCAGATGGCCAGGCATTGTGGCTTATTCTTGTAATCCCAACACTTTGGGAGGCCAAAGTGGGCAGTGGGCAGACCACATAAGCCCAGGAATTTGAGACCAGCATGCGCAACATGGTGAAACCCTATCTTTACCAGAAAAAAATTATATATTATATAAAACTGGGTGTGGTGGCACACACCTGTAGTCCCAGCTAATTTGGAGGCTGAAGTGGGAGGATTGCTTGAGCCCGGGAGTTTGAGGCTGCAGTGGGCTATAATTTCGCCACTGCACTCCAGCTTGCAAGACAGAGCAAGATCCTCTCTTAAAATAATAATAAATCAGGGCGGGCTCAGTGGCTCATGCCTGTAATCCCAGCACTTTGGGAGGCTGAGGTGGGCAGATCATGAGGTCAGGAGATCGAGACCGTCTTGGTTAACACGGTGAAACCCCGTCTCTACTAAAACTACAAAATAAAAATAGCTGGGCGTGGTGGCGGGTGCCTGTAGTCCCAGCTACTCTGGAGGCTGAGGCAGGAGAATGGCGTGAACCCGGGAGGGGGAGGTTGCAGTGAGCCGAGATCGTGCCACTGCACTCTAGCCTGGGTGACAAAGCGAGACTCCGTCTCAAAAAAAAAAAAAAAAAAATAATAATAATAATAAATCAGAGCTTAAGCATGACACGCCAGAGCAATGAGAAAATGCTCATTTTTCTGGTGTGTTATGCTTAAGCTCTGATTTATTATTATTATTTATAGAAGTGAGGTGCCTCCCACACCCACTGCGGAGCGGGACCACCGCAGGGACCTCCTGACTGTCCTCACCTACTCCCTTGGAAGAGAGGGAAGAGGCAAGTCTTCAGGCCAACGTGGGTTTGTACATAGGCTCCTTCACTCACAGGCTGTGTGACCTGGGGAGAAGGATTAACTCCCCTGGGCTTCCCTTTCCCCATCTGTAGGATGGGTGTGGTTACCTGAACTTTGCAAGGCTGTTGGAAGGACTTGTGATAGCATGTGGCACAGGGCAGATGCTCAGGGCTCCTGAGCAGTGACATTGCATCTCATCCTCGGTTCCCCTGCAGCCTGATACATCCCAGCAAGAGTCATCTTCTGCTTCTGTGCTTCTGGTTTTCGCTTCTCCATCCCTTTGCCCACAACCTGTTTCTTGCCCTCTGCAGCTTGAATGATCTCTAAGGCATTTAACATTAGTCCCAAATTATTTTTTTAAAATCTTTTTGCTTCCACTAATAATGAATGAATGCTTTCACTGTGTAAAATATTCTAGTAATACAGAAATAAGTTTATAGAAAGTAAAATATGCAAGTCCCTCTTAACTCTCACTCACTGCCCCAAACAACCTCTGCCAATAGTTTGGTGTATATTCATCTGCCCTTTTGTATTCATTTGCATATATGTACATGCACATATACACATATATAATGTCTCATATAAATATAGTACTGTGCATTGAGGTCCAATTAGCCTAGGTAGGGCACTTATCTCTCCTGCACATCTGTGCCCCTGCTGAGCCCCTGAAATTCCTGTGCCCCCTTCCTGTAGGCCTTTACTCTCTAGAAAGGACTGGATCAGATTCCATGGGCTTCAAGCTGCCTTCCCACCTGCCTGCTTCCTCTTCTGAATTCCAAGGACAGTTATTCAGTGAAATATACATTTCTCCATGGATAGATGTAAAGCCCTGTATGCGGTCAACACGTGTATGCTTCCCTGTAGCCCCCTTGCAAGGTCTAGAACTGACCTGGGCATGTTGTAGACAGTTCACAAATAAATAGCAAGCATCGTGCTAATGTTTACCAAGAAAAACTAACATTTATTGAGCACTTATCATGTGTTAGACACTGTTCTAAGAACTTTTACTTAAGAGTCACACAACTAGCAAGTGGGTGAGCCAGGATTCAGAGCCATTCCCCTTGACTTAGAGGTGCTTGCTTTTACTTACCATGTTGTACTGGCTGTGGGTCTGTTGTGGGTGGATCCCATTCAAGCCAGATCACACCTATGCCAGAGACCCCGGTGCTGCTAGTTTCATCTGTTCCTCTCCAGAAGCAGACCCACTCTCCCCAAAAGAAGAGCCCCAGCCACTGGCTTCATTCCCAGTTTCAGCATGGACTTCCCACCCCAGCCCCCGTGACCTCATCGTCTTCCTCCTGCATGGTCTTGATCCCTGGCTTCCCAGCCTCAGTGTCTCAGTCATGCATTAGACTCACACCTGAATTCTGCTCCCTCCACTCCAGCTTTCCTCCCACCCTAGGCCTCAGCCTCATCGTCCTGAGCCTCTGAAAGCTCAGGAAAGGCACAGCACCTGATTGTCTTAGTCATGAATCATCAGTTCAACCCAGGTCCTGCTGACGGGAGGAAAGGGAGATTTGACACTGAGAAGCAGATACAGGTGCAGGTAGGGCATCTGCTCACAGCCATTAAGGCTGGTCCATTCACAGATGTGAGCACTCTGGAAGCTCCACGCAGGAGAGGAAACACAGCGTGAGGCAGGCTGAACGTGACAGTGTGTACTTGTGATGGAAGAATCTCAATGCTCCCATCAAGAATGCTGTCATTCTCACCTCGGGTCCTGCTGACTGGAAGAACCCTGGGTGAGAACAGGGTTTACTCAGCCTCATCAGCCAAGTTACCTAGAAGCAAATTAGCTTTATTAAGCCTTGATATGATGATGATATAAGTATGAGGGGAGTACTGTAAGCGATTTTCCACTTCTGTATTACACTTTTTTTTTTCCTGGCAAACCTATCAAAGTGAATCTCTCTAATTAGCTTCTGTAGCTGACATGATTCCCAGAGCCAAGCCAGCAAATCGAGGGTCAGCTGACACAGTGTTTTGTTAAAAGTGCATTATCAAAGGCTATACGATTTACCATTTTAAAATACATTGTCATGGCATATGCACTTGGCACATAGAACATGCAACACTGCTCGAAAACAAATGTGTGAAAACTCATAGCACTGCTATTCAATGAAATGCAACTAAGACAACAAATTACCATTTTACTTTATTAAATTGACCCTAAAGGATTTTTTTTTCTTTTACTAAATGATGGCCAATGCTGGGGACGCTGAGGTCCTGGTCCACTCATGCCTAATGGAAGCCATGGTCCAGTTGTACAAGGTTTTTGGGAAATAATTTGACAATACACACCTAGAACACACGACACTTCTATCCTTTTGCTTGGTAATAAAAGTTGGAGGATTTTTACCTATTCTTACTTATAAGTGGGAGCTGAACAATGAGAACATATGGACACAGGGAGGGGAACAACACACACGGGGGCCTGTTGCGGAGTCAGGAAGAGGGAAAACATCTGGAAGAATAGCTAATGCATGCTGGGCTTAATACCTAGGTGATGGGTTGACAGGTGCAGCAGACCACCATGGCACACATTTACCTATGTAACAACCCTGCACATCCTGTACATGTACCCCAGAGCTTAAAACAAAACTTTTTTAAAAAGGAGGGTTTTAACCAAAGGGGGAGAAGCTCCCAAATAAAATGCTAAAGATCTAAGGAGGCTTATTACAGCATGATCTAAAATGGGTAAACCTGAAAATAATATACATGTCCAACCATAGTATCTTGGCTAATTAACGCATGTTGCAGCAATATTCTGCAGTCAATAAAAAATGGTAATTATGAATATTTAGCAACAACAAAGTCTATTTATGATAAAATGTTAAATGAAAATAGAATACAACTCAAATTCCTTATAATCTCACCTATGTGCCCATTCAACCAGGGACGCAGAAGGAATTTCCAGCAATGAAAATAGTATCAGCATTTATGTAAGACTTTTTTTAAAATCAAAATTACCTTTAATGTGTTTATAACTGTGTTTATAAAATACATTTTAAAATTGTTGAGCTTGTACATATAAATGCTGAGATGATTTTAATTGTTTTTCCTTTTGGCAAAATATATCTTTTGTGGCTGGAATAATCAGCCTTCTGCTCCCCCAGTGAGTAGTTAAGCTTTTCAGCCTGTATTATTCCTTTATCTGCCTAAGTGCCCTGGGATAAAAGCCCCAAACTTTCAACACAACACCATGAGAGATGGGGCTTGTACCAGCGAATTTAGCAAAAGTCAGTGACATAATGACTCATCGTTGCCCGAAATCAAAGTGTTTTTTCTAAAAAAGGGAGAGTTGCAAACTAAATCCCTGCTTTTTGATCCTAGCCAGGCTAGGGGCAGGAGAGATAAACTTTAAGAAATAAAATAAATGAGTTCAATAAGGATTATGTGCTTACTGTGTGCTCCTGGCTATGCTAAACCATTTAGTGCAGGGAATAAACACCTGTGTTCTGGAATCCAGGAACCTGGATTTGACTCCAGGTCTACCTTTTACCAGCTATGTGGCCTTTAGTTTAAGTTACTCAACTACTATGAACCTTACCCTTCTCCATTCATCAGGTCTCAACTACATGTCAGGCTCTAGGATGAGCACTAGGGAAACAAAACCTTATGGCTAACCGCTAGATGGACCTTATCCTTCCTAAGTGACCATGAAACTTTTATAAAATTACCATATTCTAGGCCAATTACCCTTTGGAGAAGGGTAATTGCTCCTAATCTCTTACAGTTACCTTTTCTCTGAACCCACTGGGGATAATCTCAGTACTCAGCTACTTTCAAGGAGTCAGCAATATCGAATAGATCTGTAAAATAGGCACCTTCTAATGAGAGGGATACCTGCCAGCCCTTTTAAGAAATGAGAACGCTGAGTAAATCTCCTAAGAAACATCACTGAAGACTTAGCAGTAAAGACAGAAAACACTACATACCCCACGGAAGACTTTGCCCAACCCCCACTCTCACACCTCCTTCCCAAACGCCAGAAGGAGCAGTGGGGGCTGGCAGGGGCTCTCCCTTGCCCACCTGCCACCGGCCCAGCAGACTCAGGGCTTCTCTGTCCTCATAATGTCTCCCTGCTCCGACATAGCCCCTCCCAACCTGCCAGCCCACACCCACCAGCGAAGGTCACTGTAGCTACCTCACCCTCCCTCCTTAAAATGCATGAGGGGGAGGGACTGCAATTATATAATATATATTTTATTTTCTTGTCCTGCGTGCTCTGAAAGGTACTGCTTAATTGTCATGACCTGTGTTTGTCAAATGGCTCTTTAGGAATCTTTGTCTAACCTTTGTTCTTCAAGAATCATTAGATCAGTAAAGTTGTGACAATTTGTTTTTAGTTCTAAGGGAAGACAAAAGGTATCTTTGGTATATGATGAGTATATTCAAGTATGTATGTGTGTGTGTGTGTGTGTGTGTGTGTAGCAGGATAAAGAGGGGGAATCTATGATGATGAGGATGAAGGTGGAATTTTTACTGAAATGGGAAAAGGCTTCTGGCTGAATGACTCCAAGTTATTATGACTTCATCTCATACAAAAAGGGATAAGTTTCTATTCAGAGTCTAAAATAAGCTTGAAAAAACACCAGGCAAGCCCAATGCCTGTCATTCTTTCTCTGGAGAAGGGTAATTGCTCCTAATCTCTTACAGTTACCTTTTCTCTGAACCCACTGAGGATAATCTCAGGGGCAAATTTCTGAGTCATGAGCAATACCAGAAGGCTCAGTGGCCTGATGGGGAAATCCTCCTCCCTTGGGTGACCTCTGAAATTATGCTTCTAATCCTGGATAAAGGAGGCAAATGAATCATTGTCAGTCTGGAGGTGCCCTGAAGCTTATCCAAGAAACTGGTCAAAGGGCTACAACGAAAACAAGAGCTGGAAGAGAAGGCACAAGTATGGTGCCTCTGGGGCTATTGCCCTACTGGGTAGGGAAACTCAAGTCATTGCATCAAAAGAGCACAATACGTCTAGATCCATCAGATTCCTAGTGCTTACGACCACCACAAGAGTAAATTGTTATGTATTCAGCCATTGGTCATTCAACTGCTATTGAGGGCCTACTATGTATTCGCTGAACACCCAGGCACTAATACTCAACAACAAATATACACCAGGCACTGTTCTGAGTTCTGGAAATTCAAAGTGAAAAGGCACACAAAAATCTCAGACCTTCTAGTTGAGAGAATTTGAGCACTTAGCAATAAACTAATAGATACGTATTAGGGTTTTCCTGCAATGGTCTCAGGTTGTATGTGTTATTCCAAAGAAATTATTAATAGCATCCTCTTTTACTTTTAAAATTATTAGTTTGGAAGGAAAAATTACATGGCCACTCTACTAATAAGTCAAGGAAGATAAAGATTGGATTTATCAAAATAACAACTGTAACAGCTGAAGTTTAAGTGGAACGCCTGGGGAGAAAATCTAACTGAAATTACTTGAAAAAGAATGGGCAAAAAAAAGCAATGGACACTGTGAGTGAAATCAGTTCTTTTGAAGAGTTTGCTTTAAAGGGAAGCAGAAAAGTAGAAAAAAAACTGGTGTGCATCCAGAGAGTTTATTTTTAGTATGAAATAGGAGGCTGTTTGCATGTTAATGGATTCACCTGCTTAAATGGGAACCTTGATGATGAGTAAGGAGTGAAGGCAATTGCTGAAGAGCTGTCCTTGAGTAGGAGAGAGGAGAGGAGAGCCATTGTGGATGCAGAGGGAATGCCATGGATAAGAGAGAAGAGGACTTATCTATCGTACTGGAAGAAAGATTATGGATGGATAGATGGATGGATGGATGGATGGATGGATGGATGGATGGATGGATGGATAAATGGGTACCTAGGTGGGTAGGTGGGTGGATGGATGAATGAATGGATGGACAGGTGGGTGAGTGAGTAAGTGAGTGAGTGGGTGGGTGGGTGGATAGATGAACAGATGGATAATAGATGAATGAATGAGTGGAGACATGAATGGATGGATAGGTGAGTGGGTGGGTGGGTGCCTAGTTAGGTGAATGGGTGAATAAATGAATGAATGAATGGACCAATGAGATGAGATAGTCACAAGCTTAGGTAGATGTGGTAATGGATGCTAGTAGAAATTCTCATTATATTGCCTCAATTGTCTTAGCAAAGTAAGAATCAAGGCCTTCTTTGGTGGGGAAGAGGTGTTACAGGCTTGAGGAAGAGAGGAGAATTTGTGAGGTTGGTATCTGGAAAAATAGGAGAGTGAATGAGTGAATAGACTTGGGAAAGATGCAAAGATTATCTGACATCCCACGTGGATGCTTGGGATGTGTGGCCTTCACTGTGATGAAAGAGCATCAGCATGGTTATGGGGTTTCTCTTCAGCCACATTTGCTGGTTGAGTGCATACTTGAAGTTCTGGAAAGCTGGACATAACAAGCTTTCGGATCTTGTCAATGACATTGAAAGTACAAGGTAATGAAGGGATGCACACAGCAGTGATTAGAATGTTGAAATATGTAATATAAACTGGGCAGGGAGAGAAGTAGGGGGCATGAGGAGAGTGACTGGTAGGGAATAGTATGTGGTAGGGCCTTTGGACTGGAGGTCTTAGTAGGGTGCAAATTTTGGATTGGAGGCACTAAATCTGGAAAGATAGGAAGTAGCAATCAGAGAGTGGGATGGCAGAGGGTGAACTGATGGAGGAAGTATAGTTATTGGTAATGACAGCAGGGCACGGGAGTGGGCACCTGAAGTAGAAATATCAGAGTCAGCTAGGCACAGTGGTTGTGCCTGTAATGCCAGCACTTTGAAAGGCCAAGGCAGGTGGGCATATCACTTGAGGTCAGGAGTTCAAGACCAGCCTGGCCAACATGACAAAACCCTGTCTCTACTAAAAATACAAAAATTAGCTGGACGTGGTGGTGCTTGCCTGTAATCCCAGCTACTCAGAAAGCTGAAGCAGGAGAATCATTTGAACCCAGGAGGCAGAGGTTGCAGTGAGCCAAAATTGTGCCACTGGACTCCAGCCTGGGCAACAGAGCAAGATTCTGTCTCAAAAAAAAAAAAAAAAAGAAAGAAAAAAGAAAGAAAGAAAGAAAGAAAAAAAGACATATCAGAGTCACACTGTGTAAACTGGTGGCTTGTTGATAGATTTAATAGCTGAAAAACGCACCTCAAAATGCCTGGGCTAGAAAGCATACGCAGATGTATTTTACTCAGGCTCCCACAAATAAATATACAATTTTTGGAAACGTTGTAGCTTTTAAAAATCTTAAGTTTTCAAAGTGGGTCATATGCAGAAAGATATCTATTACACTTTGTTGAAATATAGTAAGAGGAGATTTTCCTGACAACTCTTCTAGCCATACTTACCCTGAGTCCTTGGAGAAGGATGATTTTGTCTGAAAAAAGCATGTTTCTCTACTATTTCTCAAATAACAGATGGTCTGAGGGTAACAGAAGAGTTAATTAACTTGAGTTTTATCAGATGAAGACTGCCCACATACCTTGGACTGAGAAACAAGAAGAAAAGGTAATTGGTTTAAAAAAAAAAAAAAAAGTTCAGGGCAGCAGGGAAAGCATTAAGAGATTTGGAATTTTTAATGAGAAAAAGGAGTCAAATAAAGTCTCTTAAGACCTTTATTCTGCAGAAAGAATTCATTGCAATTTAACCAAAGAGGGACATTTGGTGGAACTGACAGGAAGAGCCAAACGTACCTTATGACGCCATCAGATGAAGTCTGCGTGAATCTGCCAAGGCTGAAATCCGACAGGAGGTCAGGTTTGAGCTCCAGTTCCTTGGAATGACTCAGCTGTAGTTTCCTAAAATTGGTACCCCATTTCGAGATTCTGTTCCTTTGTATCAGCTTCTCCTTCTGCTTAGAACGTTCTTTCTGATCTAGTTGATAAAATACCTTCTTATGTTAAAGCTCATTTACACTCCTGCCAAAATTAAAATTAGGAACCACTTTTTTTTTTTTTTTTTTTTTTTTTTAATGAGACAGAGTCTCACTGTGTCGCCCAGGCTGGAGTGCAATGGCACGATCTTGGCTCACTGCAACCTCTGCCTCCTGCGTTCAAGCAATTCTCCTGCCTCAGCCTCCCGAGTAGCTGAAATTACAGGGGCCCACCACCGTGCCTGGCTAGTTTTTATATTTTTAGTAGAAACAGGGTTTCACCATGTTGGCCAGACTGGGTTTTGAACTCCTGACCTCCGGTTGAGAGGTGAAGCTGGCTGGGCTTCTGGGTCGGGTGGGGACTTGGAGAACTTTTCTGTCTAGCTAAAGGATTATAAAGGAACCAATCAGCACTCTGTGTCTAGCTAAAGGTTTGTAAACACACCAATCAGCACTCTGTAAAATGGATTAATCAGTGCTCTGTAAAATGGACCAATCAGCAGGACGTGGGCAGGGCCAAATAAGGGAATAAAAGCTGGCCCCCCAAGCCAGCAGCAGCAACCTGCTTGGGTCCCCTTCCACATTGTGGAAGCTTTGTTCTTTCCCTCTTCACACTAAATCTCGCTGCTGCTCACTGTTTGGTTCCGCACCACCTGTATGAGCTGTAACACTCACCGGGAAGGTCTGCAGCTTCACTCCTGAAGTCAGCGAGATCACGAACCCACTGGGAGGAATGAACAACTCTGGACACACCATCTTTAAGAACTGTAACACTCACTGCGAGGGTCTGCGGCTTCATTCTTGAAGTCAGCAAGACCAAGAACCCACCGGAAGGAACCAATTCTGGACACAAGGTGATCCGCCTGCCTCGACCTCCCAAAGTGCTGGGATTACAGGCATGAGCCACCACGACCGACTAAATTAGGAACCACTTCTATTGCACACATCTCTTTCTGGAATTCATTTCATTGTATGGTGATTATTTATTGGTAGATGTTCTTACTCCAATTCAAATATTTATTGAAAGGATTATTAAATATCTATATTGCACTAAATACTTTGGACACAGTGAAAAGTTTCAGTAATTGACCAAATGATGTAGTGAGTGTGATATGGACAACTACCTAACAAGAAATTTTGAGTACATTTTTCACTTTTAAAGCATATGATTTACAACTTACAGACATGGTTCTATCGAACATTTTTCTTCCTTTCTCTTTGGGATTTTATTTCTTTTCTATATTTTAATAAATATAAATATAAGGTGTAAAAAGCCCAGCTCCTTCCTAACCCTTGGGCAATGGTGAGGAGTCTGCAACAAAAATTTCTAAAGGATGCTCTCTTCTTACACACTTCTGCAACTGTACGTCATTGGACTTGTAACGGGAAGAAGGATCTCAGCCTAACGTTCTGCATTCGGGCTGCCTTTACCTATTCCTTTTGTCATTTTGCTTTTTGCCGTAGAGAAGAAACCACCAATTCGATTTGTTATAGCTCAAAATACTAACAGGGTGATGATTGCTAGTAGGCAGAATCACTGGGTTAAATACATGTATTTTACTTCTGAAGTATTTCAGGATAAAGCTCTTTCAATATGAAAACTCATAAACCCCTCACATCTGAAATGTTATTTCTTTGATAAGGTTCTAATATTTTGTTGAGACTCTTTTTCTAATATAAACTTATATTTTGGGGAGAGAAATGTTGATTTCTTTATCAATAATTGGTAACTTGCCTCCATTCCTATTCTGCATTGAACTAAATGTAGTAGCCAATGCAATTACTAGGTTGGTGCAAAAGTAATTGTGGTTTTTGCCATTACTTTTAATAGATAAGAGGATAAGAGAAGCCAATTACAAGCATAAGAATAGAAAAGAAGCAGCAAAACTATCTCTTTTTACAGATGTTATAATAGTATAACTAGAAAATCCCAGATAATCAATGATGACACTCGCTCAAACAATAAAAGAATTCCATAAAATAGCAAGATATAAAATTGACATAAAATCTCTGCAGCCTTCAGTTAGAGGATTCTGGGAAGATAGTAGAATAGAAGCACCAGAAATCTGTCTACCCACCTAGACAACAATTGCGCTGACAAAATATGTCTGATGTAAGTATTTTGAAACCTGGGATCTACTGAAGGCTTTTAACTTCCAGGGGGAGGCTTGGATGGTAAATTACGGCTAATTTTAGTCCATTGCAGCTCTTAGCACAGCAGTGGCTACGCAGCCCCCACCCAGCCCCATGGCAGGGCAGCTGTGCATGTGTTCCTGGAGCAGCTTGCTTGTAGCCTTATAGAACTGGAGTGGGCAGAAAGGACCCCGTTCTTCAAATATTTGGGATCTGTGCTCTGATTACTGATCACTGATTGCAGCTTCTGATCACGGAGGTGCACACAAAGAAGCAGGAGGCCATTGTTGCTGGAGTTTATATCCTAGCTCTGGGAGGGTTAGAAAATATGAGCAGGAGAGCTCTTTCCCCATAGGAGACACTCAGCAGATCTTTGTTGATATTACCCTGGTAGAATACCAGAATTTGGTAACAAACATAATTTAGAGAACTTACAAGAAGAAGAAATAGAAACATCAAAAATGCTTCTAAGATGGCAAAAGCCTGGGCACTTGAATGGAGAGTGTTATGCTGATGTAATTCAGAAAGTTGAAGAATAGAAATATCAGAGTCACAGTGTGTGAAGTCGCGGTTTGTTGATAGAACTAACAGCTGAAAAACTAATCTACCCCAAAATGCCTCGGGTTAGAGTATATGTAGAGTGTACATAACTCAGACTCCCACAGACAGATATGCAATTTGGGGAAAGATTGTAGTCTTTAAAAATCTTAAGTATTCAGAGTGGGTCATATACAGAAAGAAAGAAATATATTCATCACACTTAAAAAAAAATACTAAGAGGAGATTTTCCTGATAGCCCTTCTAGCCATCTTTACCCTGAGTCTCTGGAGAAGGATGATTCTGTCCTGCTGAAATGACTTCCAGGGCATGCAAAAGGCTGGTGCCTTAAAAAACAAACAAACAAACAAACAAAAAAAACTATTTCTAAAGATATCCATCAGGTAGGTTTGTTGTAAGAATTAAACAGGATAATGCTCTTAAATCGGCTAGCAAGGTTTTTACTTAGGGCTCTTCAGTAACAGGAGCTACTACTGCCACTACTCCTCTGCACAGAGATAGATCGCAAGAAACCAACAAATGAAACAGCAAACCCTGAGGAAGGAAGGCACCTGATTTTTAGAGTCACTACTACTCTAAATTATCAGACATTATTGGATTCAAATGTCCAATGTTTAACACAAAAAATCATAAGGCATAAAAAAAAACTCAGAAAAATATGGCCCATTTAAAGAAAAAAAAGATAAACCAGCTGATACTGTTCCTGAAAAAGACCTGATGGTAGGTCTACCAAACAAAAACTTTAACATAACGGTCTTAAAGATGCTTCCTTCAACTAAAGGAAGACATGGAGGAAGTAAAAAAAAAATGTATGGGCAAATTGGAAATATCAATGAAGAGATAGAAAACAGAAAAAGAAACCAGAAAGAAATTCTTGAGCTGAAAAATACAATAATCGAAGTTAAAAATTTACTAGAGGGGAGAGAGGGCCAAGATGGCTGACTAGAAGCAGCACTGTTTGGAGGCTCCCATCGAAAAAATTCATAATAAGTGTGTGAATCTTTCACTGGCAACCAATGTATCCAGGCTCTGTCATCAAAATTGACTGGACATGGCAGCTTATGCCTGTAATCCCAGAACTTTGGAAGGCTGAGGTCAGGAGCTCAAGACCAGCCTGGCCAAGATGGTGAAACCCTGTCTCTACCAAAAATACAAAAAAAAAAAATTGGCTGAGCATGGTGAATACAAAAAAATTAGCTGGGCGTGTTGGCACAAGCCTGTAATCCCAGCTACTTGGGAGGCTGAGGCAGGAGAATTGCTTGAACCCAGGAGGATGGAGCTTGCAGTGAGCCAAGATCGCACCATTGCACTCCAGCCTGGCCGACAAGAGTGAAACTCTGTCAAAAAAAAAAAAAAAATGACTAGAAGGCTGGCATGACCTATGGAGAGAAAGAAAAGAAGTGCGGTGCTGCAGCCCACCTGAGAGCCACATAGGGAAGGAGAATCCCCTCCCCACAGCAAGGGAGGCAATGAGTGAGCACACTACACAGTTAGGGAAACTGTGCTTTTTCCACAGAACTATGCAACCCACGGGTCGGAAGATCCCACTCACAAACCCACGTCACCAGGGCCTAGCATCCCAACCCCAGACAGTGTGAATTCTTACAGCCTCTCAGCTGGAATCTGTTTAAGCCTACGGAACTCCTGAGGGGAAGGGTGACCAGCATCAGCTGTGGCTGCCTGCTGTCTAAGCCGTTTGAGCTCCTTGGGGGAGAGGCAGCAGCCAACACTGGGACTCGCAACTGACTAACACGCTAAGCTCCCTGGGTGGGGACAGGGTGGCACCCATTTCTGTAGCTCCAGGATGAGCTTTTCCCCTGCTGGGGCAAGGGAGGCTGGATAGCTTGGTCCCAAGACTTGTCCCCACAGCCCAACACACTGGCTGTGGCAGTCTGCAGCCAGAGTGCCTCTTCAGGTTTAACCCTGACCCATCCTTCCTCAGTGGGCAGGGCTTCCCTGCAGGATCTCCAATAACTCCAGCCAGAAGCACAGGGACAGATTTTGGATCTTCCTGGGCCTGAGCCCCTTGGGGGAGGGGTGGCCACTGTCTCTGCAGACCAGCAGACTTAGCCTCTCCTCCTGGTAGTTCTGAGGAATCCAGGCAACCCAGACAAGTGGGTTTCCGCCTAGCAAAACACACCTCCACCACCAAGGGACAAAGTGCTTCATTAAATGGGTCCTGCTCCCTGTGCCACCCAACTGGATGAGACCCTCCAGCAGAGGTTGTCAGACACCCTGTACAGGAGCAATCCTACTGGCATCAGGTTGGTGCTCCTCGAGGTCAGAGGTCCCAGAAGAAGGAGCAGGCACCCATCTTTGCTGCTCTCCAGCCTCCTTGAGTGACATCTCCAGGCACAGGAGTGAATCAGATGAATAAGGCCTGAAGTGAACCCTCAGCAAACTGTAGAAGCACTACAGAAGAAGGACCTGACTATTGAAAGAATAACAAACAAGCAGAAAGCTACAACAACAGCATCATCAACAACAACAAAAAGGCCCCCACAAAAACCTCATCCAAGCATCAGCAGCCTCAAAGACTGAAAACAGACAAACTCGCAAAGATGAGAAAGAATCAATGAAGAAATGCTGAAAACCAAAAAGGGCAGAGTTCCTCTTCTCCAAACAATTGCACGTCTCTCCATCAAGGGCACTGAACTGGATGGAGGATCAGACAGACAAATTGACAGAAGTAGGCTTCAGAAGATGGGTAATAAAAAACTACGATGAGCTAAAGGGGCATGTTCTAACCCAATGCAAAGAAGATAAGAATCTTGATAAAAGGTGGGAGAAATTGTTAACTAGAATAACCAATTTACAGAGGAAAATAAATGACCTGATGGAGCTGGAAAACACAGCATGAGAACTTCGTGAAGCATATGGAAATATCAACAGCCAAACTAACCAAGTGGAAGAAAGGATATCAGAGTTTGAAGGCCACCTTTACTGAAATAAGACATGCAGACGAAAATAGAGAAAAAAGAATGTAAAGGAAGGAACAATGCTTCCAAGAAATATGAGACTTCGTGATTGGAGTACTAGAAGGAGACAGGGAGAATGGAAATAGGCTAGAAAACACACTTCAGGATCTTATCCAGGAGAAATTCCCCAACCTAGCAAGACAGGTCAACATGTAAATTCGGGAAATATAGAGAACACCACTGAGATACTCTATGAAAAGACCAAACCCAAGAAACATAATCATCAGATTCTCCAAGGTCAAAATGAAGGAAAAACTGTTAAGGGCAGCCAGAAAGAAAGGCCAGGTCACCTAAAAACAGAAGCTTATCAGACTAACAGCAGACCTCTCAGCAGAAACTCTACAAGTCAGAAGAGATTGGGGACCAATATCCGACATTCATAAAGAAAAGAATTTTCAACCCAGAATTTCATATCCAACTGGACTAAGCTTCATAAGCCACGAGAAATAAAACGCTTTCCAGACAAGCAAATGCTGAGGGATTTTGTTACCACCAGGCCTGCCCTGCAAGAGCTCCTGAAAGAAGCACTAAATATGGAAAGGAAAAACTGGTACCAGCCATTGTGAAAATACACCAAAATATAAAGGCCAATGACACTATAAAGAAACTTCATCAACTAGTCTGCCAAATAACCAAATAGCATCATGATGTCAGGATCAAATTCACACACAACAATACTAACCTTAAATGTAAATGAGCTAAATGTCCTGGTTAAAAGACACAAAATGGCAAATTGGATAAAAAGTCAAGACCCATTGGTGTGCTGTATTCAGGAGACCCATCTTACGTGCAAAGACACAAATAGGCTCAAAATAAAGGGATGGAGGAAAATTTACCAAGCAAATGGAAAGCAAAAAAAGGAGGGGTTGCAATACTAATTTCTGACAAAACAGACTTTAAACCAACAAAGATCAAAAAAGACAAAGGAGGGCATTACATAATGGTAAAGGGAACAATTCAACAAGAAGAGCTAACTATTCTGAATACATATGCACCCAATACAGGAGCATACCCAATACCTAGATTCATAAAACAAGTTCTTAGAGACCTACAAAGAGACTTAGACTTCCACACAATAATAGTGGGAGATTTTCACACCTCACTGTCAGTATTAGGCAGATCAAGGAGACAGAAAATTAACAAGGATATTCAGGACTTGAACTCAGCTCTGGATCACATGGACCTAGTAGATGTCTACAGAACTCTCTACCCCAAATCAACAGAATACACATTCTTCTCAGTGCCATATGGCACTTATTCTAAAATCAACCACATAATTGGAAGTAAAACACTCCTCAGCAAATGCAAAAGAACCAAAATCATAATTTGATTTGCACTGAGAAACTGTTTATTAACAGTTTCTGTTAATAAACAGTTTCTCAGTGCAAATCAAATTATAACTCAGAATTAAGAAACTCATTCAGAACCATGCAATTTTACAGAAGTTGAACAACCAGCTCCTGAAGGACTCCTGGGTAAACAACGAAACTAAGGTAGAAATCAAGAAGTTCTTTGAAACCAATGAGAACAAAGAGACAAAGTATCAGAATTTCTGGGACACAGCTAAAGCAGTGTTAAGAGAGAAATTTATAGCACTAAATGCCAACATCAGAAAGCTAGAAAGATCTCAAACTGACATCCTAACATCACAATTAAAAGAGCTAGAGAGGCAAGAGCAAACTAATCCAAAAGCTACCAGAAGACAAGAAATAACTAGGATCAGAGAATTGAAGGATTTAGAGACACAAAAAACCCTCCAAAAAATCAACAAATCCAGAAGCTATTTTTTTTAAAAAATTAACGAAATAGATAGATCACTAGCTAGACTAATGAAGAAGAATACAGAGAAGAATCAAATTGACACAATAAGAAATGATAAAGGGGATATCACTACTGACCCCACAGAAGTACAAACTACCATTAGAGAATACTATAAATACCACTACACAAATAAACTAGAAAATCTAGAAGAAATGGATAAATTCCAGGACGAATACACCCTACCAAGAGTAAACCAGGAAGAATTTGAACCCCTGAATAGACCAGTAACAAGCTCTGAAATTGAGGCAATAATTAATAGCCTAGCAACCAAAAGAAGCCCAGGACCAGAAGGATTTACAGCTATATTCTTCCTGAAATACAAAGAGGAGTTGCTACCATTCCTTCTGAAACTATTCCAAACAATTGAAATGGAAGGACTCCTCCCTAACTCATTTTATGAAGCCAGCATCATCCCGATACCAAAACCAGCAAGAGACACAACAAAAAAAGAAAACTTCAGGCCAATATACCTGATGAATATCAATGAGAAAATCCTCAATAAAATACTGGCAAACCAAATCCAGCAGCACATCAAAAAACTTATCCACCACAACCAAGTCGGCTTGATCCCTGGGATGCAAGGCTGGTTCCACATATGCAAATCAATAAACATAATCCATCACATAAACAGAACCAAAGACAAAAACCACATGATTATGCAGAAAAGGCATTTGATAAAATTCAGCATCCCTTCATGTTAAAAACTTTCAATAAACTAGGTATTGATGTAACATATCTCAAAATAATAAAAGCTATTTATGACAAACCCACAGCCAATATCATATTGAATGGGAAAAAGCTGGAAGCATTCCCTTTGAAAACTGGAACAAGACAAGAATGCCCTCCCTCACCACTCCTATTCAACACAGTATCAGAAGTTCTTGCCGGGGCAATCAGGCAAAAGAAAGAAATAAAAGTTATCTAAGTAGAAAGAGAAGAAGTCAAGTTGTCTCTGTTTGCAGATGACATGATTTTATCCCCATCATCTCAGCCCAAAAACTTCTTGAACTGATAAACAACTTCAGCAAAGTGTCAGGATACAAAAATCAATGTGCAAAAATCACAAGCATTCCTTAACACCAACACTAGGCAAGCAGAGAACCAAATCATGAATGAACTCCCTTTCACAATAGCTATGAAGAGAATAAAGTACCTAGGAATACAGCTAACAAGGGTTGTGAAGGGCCTCTTCAAGGAGAACTACAAACCACTGCTCAAGGAAATAAGAAAGGAAACAAACAAGTGAAAAACATTCTATCCTCATGGATAGGAAGAATCGATATCGTGAAAATGGCCATACTGCCCAAAGTAATTTATAGATTCAATGTTATTCCCATCAAAATACCATTGACATTCTTCACAGAATTAGAAAAAACTATTTTAAATTTCATACGGAATCAAAGAAAACCCTGTATAGCAAGACAATCCTAAGCAAAAAGAACAAAGCTGGAGGCATCATGCTACCTGACTTCAAACTATACTACAAGGCTAGAGTAACCAAAACAGCATGGTACTGTTATAACTCAGTACAGTATAGCAAGACAATCCTAAGCAAAAAGAACAAAGCTGGAGGCATCATGCTACCTGACTTCAAACTATACTACAAGGCTAGAGTAACCAAAACAGCATGGTACTGGTACCAAAACAGACATATAGACCAATGGAGCAGAACAGAGACCTCGGAAGTAACACTACACATCTACAACAATCTGATCTTCGACAAATCTGACAAAAACAAGCAATGGTGAAAGGATCTCCTATTCAGTAAATGGTGCTGGGAAAACTGGCTAACCATGCAGAAAACTGAAACTGGACCCCTACCTTACACCTTATACAAAAATTAACTCTAGATGAATTAAAGACTTAAACATAAAACCCAAAACCATAAAAACCCTAGAAGAAAACCTAGGCAATACCATTCAGGACATAGGCATGGGCAAAGACTTCATGACAAAAACACAAAAAGCAATTGCAACAAAAGCCAAAATTGATAAATAAGATCTAATTAAACTAAAGAGCTTCTGCACAGCAAAAGAAACTATCATCAGGGTGAACAGGCAACCTACAGATTGGAAGAAAATTTTTGCAATCTACCCATCTGACAAGGGTCTGATATCCAGAATTTACAAGGAACTTATATTTACAAGAAAAAGACAACCCCATCAAAAAGTAGGCAAACGGTATGAACAAACACTTCTCAAAGGAAGCCATTTACATGGCCAACAAACATATGAAAAAAAGCTCAACATCACTGATCATCAGAGAAATGCAAATCAAAACCACAATGAGATACCATTTCACACCAGTGAGAATGGTGATTATTAAAAAGTCAGAAGCAATAGATGCTGGTGAGGCTATGGAGAAATAGGAATGCTTTTACACTGTTGGTAGGAATGTAAATTAGTTCAACCCATTGTGGAAGACAATGTGGCAATTCCTCAAGGATCTAGAACCAGAAATACCATTTGACCCAGCAATCCCATTACTGGGTATATAACTAAAGGAATATAAATCATTCTGCTGTAAAGACGCATGCACACATATGTTTATTGCAGAACTATTTACAACAGCAAATACATGGAACCAACCCAAGTGTCCATCAATGATAGACTGGATAAAGAAAATGTGGTACATATACACCATGGAATACTATGCAGCCATAAAAAGATGTGAGATATTGTCCTTCGCAGGGACATGGATGAAGCTGGAAGCCATCATCTTCAGCAAACTAACAGAGGAACAGAAAACTGAACACTACATGCTCTCACTCATAAGTTGGAGTTGAACATTGAGAACACATGGAGGACACAGAGAGGGGAACAACACATACCAGGGTATGTTGGGGGGTGAGGGGAGGGAACTTAGAGGAGGGGTCAATAGGTGCAGCAAACCACCATGGCACACATTTATCTATGTAACAAATCTGCATGTTCTGCACATGTATCCCTTTTGTTTTTAGAAGAAATAAAGAAAATAAATTTACTAGAGGGATTCAAAGGTGTATTTGAGCCGGCAGAGAAAAGAATCAATGAATGTGAAGATAAGACAACAGAAATTGTTGAGTCTGAGAAACAGAAAGAAAAAAAGACAAAGGAACAGGGAACGGTGCCTAAGAAACCTGTGAGACACCACAAGCAGGTCAACGTACACATGGTGGGAGTCCCAGAAAGAGAAAGGGGTAGAGAGAATATCTGAAAAAAAGGGATGAAAACCTCTCACATTCACTGAAAGACATAAATATAATCAGCCAAGATGCTACAAGAATACCAAATACGAGGAACTTAAAGAGACCCACAATGAGACACATCATCAAACCGGGGAAAGCTAAAGACAAAGAGAAAATCTTGAAAGTAGTAAGAGTGAGGTGATTCATCCTATACAAGGGATCTCTAATAAGATTATCAGCTGAGCACAGAGGCTTGTGCCTGTAATCCCAGCTACTCAGGAAGCTGAGGTGGAAGGATCACTTGACACCAGGAGTTTGAGACCAGCTGAGCAACACAACAAGACTGTCTCAAAAGAAGGCTTTTTTAATTAGGCAGACATTGTGGCATGCACCTGTAGTCCCAGTTGAGGTGGGAGACTTGCTTGAGCCCAGTAGTTCAAGGCTGCAATGAGCTACGATCAAACCACTATACTCCATCCTGGGTGAAGAACCAAGACCTTGAAGATTATCATCAGAAAGTTTGGAGGCTAGAAGGCAGTGGCTGATATATTCAAAATGAAAAACAAAAACAAGAACCTGTTAATCAAGACTCGTATATCCAGCAAAACTTTCCTTTAAAAGTGAGGAAAAATTAAGACATTCCTAAAAGCTGAGAGAGGCTCGTGCCACTAGATATGCCCTGGAAGAAATGCTGAAGGGAATCCTGCAGAGTGAAATTAAAAGATACTGGACAGTCACTCGAAGTCACATGAAGAAATGAAGATCTCAGTAAAGGTTTTAAAAAAGTGAGTATTATTATAATAAAGGTTCATAACTCCACTTTTGTTTTCTACATGATTTAAGAGAGTAATATATTTTTTCAAAAATTATCAGTCTAAAAGCTAGTACTCTTAAAACTTTGGTTTGCAATGCTACATGTTTTTCTACATAATTTAAGAGAATGAGGCCGGGCGCAATGGCTCATGCGTGTAATCCCGGCACTTTGGGAGGCCGAGGCGGGTGGATCACCTAAGGCCGGTAGTTCAAGACCAGCCTGACCAACATGGAGAAACCCTGTCTCTACTAAAAATACAAAATTAGTCGGGTGTGGTGGCACATGTCTGTAAACCCAGGGAGACTGAAGCAGGAGAATCACTTGAATCTGGGAGGCAGAGGTTGCGGTGAGCCAAGATCACGTCATTGCACTCCAGCCTGGGCAACAAGAGCGAAACTCCGTCTCAAAAAAAAAAAAAAAAAAAAAAGAGAGAGAATGATACATTAAAACAATTATATTTAAAAAAATCAATAGCCTCCATATCCACAAATAATAAGCAAAGGGCATAATATTAAGGAAAACCACATTTTGAATCACAACTAAGATTAAATGCTTAGGAATAAATTTAGCAAAAAATGTGCAAAACCTATATGCAAAAAAAGAATTATTCCTGAAGGATACAAGAAGCTTTACAATAAGGGAAGGCAACCCATATGCAAAATACATGACTATACCAGTAAGCACAAAACATTGCCCCTTCGTGGTGGAAGTTGTCCAGTGAAACCAGTCTTCCACAAGGTAATGGGCTGATCCCCCAAGGCATGGTGCCATATCGAAGGCTCTGTGTTGGTCTTTGCTGTTTGCAGATTGTGCACTCAGCAGGGGCTATAGCCAGGTCAGCCTTCGTAAATGGAAGTCCACATTGCTGAGCCCATATATAATCTCCACCCCCTCCACCATGACCACTTTGTTCATGAGCCCATGGGACAATGACAGAAGTGTCTGGAAAGGAGGCTGGTCCACACAGCAGGTCCTTATTAGAATTCTTTCTCCTGGAGTCATCCTTAGTAGCACTCACATAGTATATATTTGATATTAGATTTGGTTTGGTTATTTGTCCCCTTCAAATCTCATGTTGAAATGTGATCCCCAATGTTCGAGGCGGGACCTGGTGGGAGGTGTTTGGGTCATGGAAGTGGATCCCTCATGAATGGCTTGGTGCCCTTCTCATGGTAATAAGTGAGTTCTTGCTCTGATTCTCACTCTGTGAGTTCATGTGAGAGCTGGTTGTTTAAAGAGCCTGGCACCTTCTTGCCCCTTGCCTCCTCTCTTGTCATGTAACAGCCTGCTCCTGCTTTGCCTTCTGCCATGAACAAAAGCTCCCTGGGCTTCACCAGAAGCCAAGCAGACCAGGCAGCATGTTTCCTGTAAAGACTGCAAAACCATAACCCAAAACTTAAACTTCTTTTCTTTAAAAATTACCCAGTCTCGGGTATCCTTTATAGCAATAAAAATTGGCTAACACAATATTGTTACATTCTGTGCCCATTACAAGTCCATTCACATATTTCTTTCCCAGACTTCTCTGTCACCAGAGAAGTTATCCATTTGGTTCTAAGTCATTGATTATGTCACCAAAGTTTTAGCCACAACCCGTGATCAATATAGACCCATGTCTTCTGCCATGTGTTCTTCCATGTGAAAGGAACAATCAGATGCATTGTTCAAAGTTCTACCCACTGGGAGGATTTCTCTTCACCAGTGCTCCTCAGATCCATCTCAGAGTGGAGATGCAGCATTGCACCTCTCCAATGTTGCATGATTCCTGTGTATCATGTAAGCCATGCATAAGCCAAGAATAAGCATTTTCTTTCTCAGTCAAACGGACACAGGGAACTCACTATGGGGCCATAGATGCAGGTTGGAGGGAGAAGACAATGTAACAGGAGTAGGGGTTGTGAGAATCTGGGCCACTTCCTCATGCGACTTCTTTGTAACTTCATGACCTGCTTATGCTTGACGTGACATACACCATTTCCGCTTGAGGCTGACATCCTGCTTTGTACCTCCAACTTTATGACTTGGTGGGTCAGACAGTACCCTGTTTGTGATGGGCAGCTCAGATCACTTGGTAACATGATCAGTGTTTAGTCTCTGCTAAGGTCTAGTAACAATCCAAAAGCTGCTTCCCAAAAGGAGAATAGTTATTCACAGAAGATAGCAGGTCTTTGCTCAAAAATACTAAGGATCTAGCAGGGTATCATGGCTCATGCCTGTAGTCCCAGCTACTCTGGAGGCTGAATGGGAGAAATGCTTCATCTCAGGAGTTTCAGTCCAGCCTGGGAAGCATAACAAAACCCAGTCTCTGGAAAAAAAAAAAAATTTTCTAAGAATCTGCACTGTGATTTACCTGCAGGGACCTTCCAAAGGCTCCAAGCAGCTTCCCTATGTAACACTTTAGAACTGTGGGATATGCTTGGTCATATGGTTCAAGTGACAGAGCAGGAGGGACAGCAGCCTGTATTTTTTGGAGAACCCTCTTTTGTTCTGGGCCCCATTCAAAACTGGCAGCTTTTCAGGTCACTCAGTAAATGGACCCAAGTGAAACATATGTTGCCTTCAACTCCCAAGTGGCACACTAGGCATTGTGTCTTTTTAGTAATAGGAGGGACCAGATGCAGCAACTTGTTCTTTACGTTAGAAGGGATGCCTTGACAAGTCCTGGACCATTAAATCTCTAGAAATTTCATCAAGATAGCTAGACCCTGAAGTTTTCCACCCTAGTATATTCAGGTGTGTTGCTAATATGTCTAAAGCAGTTGCTACTTCATGCTCACCAGTTTCAATCAGCATAATAGCATCAATGTAATGGACCAGCATCTTCTAGAAGAAAAAGGCAATTAAGATCTCTGAAGACTATTATAAGTTAGGAGTAAAGAGTGGATATACCCCTGAGGTAGAACAATGAAGGTGTGTTTCTGGCTTTGCTAGCTGAAAGTAAGTTGCCTTTGATGGTCTTTGCCAGTAGATAGAGAAAAAAAATGTCACTCAATAGCTGCAGAGCAGGCCAGGCATGGTGGCTCATGCCTGTAATCCCAGCACTTTGGGAGGCTGAGGTGGGCGGATCACGAGGTCAGGAGATCGAGACCATCCTGTCTAACACGGTGAAATCCCGTCTCTACTAAAAATACAAAAAATTAGCCAGGCATGGTGACAGGCACCTGTAGGCTTGTAGTCCCAGCTACTCGGGAGGCTGAGGCAGGAGAATGGTGTGAACCCCGGGAAGTGGAGCTTACAGTGAGCCGAGATCACACCACTGCACTCCAGCCTGGGTGACAAAGTGAGACTCCATCTCAAAAAAAAAAAAAAAAAAAAAAGCTGCAGAGCAGATGCCAGATAATGTGATAATTTGCTTCAGCAACAAAACCACAGCAGCTGCAATTAACAATCACCACCTGATTACATTTGAAATAGATCTCTGTTATTCTTTAAGATCTATCTTCCATGCAGGTCAACTAGGTGAGTTGAATGGGAAATGCGGTAAGAATCACTGTCCTTACATCTTTCAAGTCCTTGATGATGATGACACAAATCTCTGCAACTCCTCTAGGAATACAGTTTGCTATTTTCATCAGTAGACACAGTTCTGGTGCTTTCCACTTGATCTTTACCAGCATAATAGAACTCACCCCATGAGTCACGGAACCCATGTAGGGGTTCTGCCAGTTGCTGAATGTGTATATAGCAACTATGCAGAGAGCTGGAAAATAACCAGAGGATGGCCTCTGGGTTGCACTGGGCACACTGCAGGATAGACATGAGTCAAAACTCCGTTGATCACCTGACCTCCATAAGCCCCTACCCGACCCAGTGGACCACAGTAATGTTTTGGATCATTAGGCATTAGTGTCAATTCACAGCCATTGTCCAGTGATCCTGGTTGAGTCTTTTTATTTTCCCTTCCCCAGTGTAAATAGCCACAGATTCCATTGTGGAAGCCTGGGGAGGAAGATTAACAGTATATATTCTCTGCAATATAGCAGGGCCATTCTTCAAGGGGATGCAGCCTCCTCTTCATTCAAGGGGTGTGGGGTCTGTAAATTAACTCAAGTCTGAGAATTAATTGAGGGGTCGTAATTCTCTGCTTTGATCCTTCAAGCCAGAACTCTGATCATTAGATCTAGAGCTTGTCTGTTTATACAGATCAAGTAAGACTTCAGTATGTTGACCATCTCTTTCAGTTTTAGGGATGCCACAACCAACCAACAGATGCCAAAAATCTCTGTAACTCAGGTTGCTCTGATGACTGACTTGGCTCCTCTGTCCATTACCTAACCATGTCCACCTTGTCTTGTGATTAAATGCCACCTCTTGGGCCTTCCCACCTTAAATCCCATTATCGCCACTGTGTTAGAGTCTCAGTTCAGTGGCAGAAGTTCGCAAGCTAATTTCTGACAGCCACCATGGAAAGCTTCAAGGTTGCCAGATTTTCCTCACTAGTTTATTTCTCACAACCGTGATGAGGAGCATGTCCTCTGGGCCCTCCCAGGGAATGTGAACAGGTCAGAAATGATGAATTTACTGCAGCATTCCAATCTCCCTAAGTTTTGGGCGCCTTCCTCCATAGTATGGCAAAGGAATTCCGCCATTTTCACTTTTATTTAGTCTAACGTACCTCTGGGTCCATATTTCAGTTGACCCACCAAGCAAACTTTAGAGTCACTCCTGGCCCTGTGAGCTACAATACGAAATTTGCAGTGTGCTTAATGGACCTCACTGTGGACTAAATGTGTCCCCACCACCCCTCTCCTCAAATTCATATGTTGAATCCTAACCCGCAATGTAATGTGTTAGGAGGTGTGGCCTTTGAGAGGTAATTAGGTCATGAGGGTGGAGCCACTGCAATGTCCAGTCCTGCCCATTGCTCATGGGGAAACCCTCTGAGTCCTCTGAGGCCCCGCTGGGATTTAGGCGGCACAGGCCCCACTGCCATCCCCCTCCACTGTCCTTTGGGATGCTAGAGACTCTGCCATAGCCCCTATCTCTCCTCCTCACACTCACCACACTCGTGGGTACACAAAAACACATTTAGGACCCTCCCAGTTTCCTCTCTTTGTCACAGCCCAAATACTCTTCTTCATTTCAAGGGCTGCAATACTGTGTTCTATAGAGTGGTAGTATTAAAATATGCCCACAAATTCTTTAATATGCCTCCCATCAAAGAAAGAGACTAATTCTTTTCTCATTTTATATAAGCCATCCTTAGGGACTCAATTCTAATGAGTGGCAGAGGCAGATGTGACGTGGCCTGTGCTCGAGGCTGGGTCATGGAAAAGGGTATGGCTTCCACTCAGCTCCTGGTCTTTCTAGACATGTTGCCCTGGAGCCAGGAGCCACTGTATGAAGAGTGCAGCTACTCTGAAGCCATCGTGCTGGTGAGACCACTTGGAAAGAACCCAGGGAGACAGAGAGGTTGAGGATCCCCAGCTCTCCCAGCCCCCAGCTGCTGAGTCTTCCCAGCCCAGGCTTCAGATGTGTGAGAGAAAACGCATCTGAGATGACCACGGCTCTAGTCATCATGTGAGAGCAACCTCATGTGAGGCTCCAAGCCAGATCCACCCAGCTGAACTGTTCCCAAATTCCCGATCTACAAAAGCACAGATATTCTGTAAGGTGATTGTTTTAAGCTACTATGTTT